>NC_000018.10:78756506-79057862 GCF_000001405.40 Homo sapiens
TCTAAATCTTGATCCCTTCTGCTGCCAGAAATTAAAACAAAAAGGCTGTGTGGCTCTCTTGTTCTGACTCCCAAGGGTCCAGAAGGAAGCCATTGTTAACTACAAACGACATTGAATACCTCACTTGGTACGGGTTTTCCACTCAATTCTAATTATTAATAATTACCCTAAAGTTTTGGAGCTGGGTGTAAAAAGCAATATTCTTGTTCCTACACCAAAGGATCCTGTCCCTTCCCATTTACCCCTGGCGAGGCTTCCAGAGAAAAAGGAAGGGGCGGGAACGCTTATGCCAGGGTACATTGTTTTAGGAAATAAATATATTCATGGAATACCGTGCCATCTATAACTTATTTTTAATAAATCACGAGAATTAACCAGACCCCAAATAATAAACCCTTTGGTATATCAATCACTCTCTGTAAATAATCATCTGTTTTCTGATCTGGAGATTTTTAATCATATTTTTATACATCTGACTTTAGTAAAGTAGGAAGATTTCATAATTAAACGGAATACAATTTTTTTCAGGTCATCTTGGAAACATAATCTCATGCAGAGATTTAAAATAAAGCCTGATGCTTTGACAAACCTCCTATGTGGGGACCCTGTAAACACGCCAGTTCTGGCATTAGGCAGAGAGGCCAAAAGGAACCCGCCCTCCTGGGCCTGGGGTCAGACCTGGCCACATAGTGGGGTGCCAGAGCACCCGTGACGGATGGCCAGCCCCCGACACGCCTGATCCATCCGAAAATGTCATCCGAGACTGGCAGACCAGCACGTTCCAGCCTCACTGTTGCTAAACTGAGGTGCAAAAGCTGCCATGATCCCTAACCCTTCCTAGCTTCCAGCAGCTGAATCCTGAAGAAAAATGGGCTCATCTAATTTCAGATTTTAATTCTATAAACTTGAAAAACAATATAGAAATTAAGCTTGGTATAGAATGTGCAAAATTTTCAAAATTGCTTTTCCAAAAGAGAAAAATATAGATTTGTGTTGTTCAAGTGTTGATGAAATTTTACAGATGCTTTTTTTGTTTGTTTCACAATGATTTCTTTATTTTCCTTCTCCTTTTCCTTTTCTTCCTTTCTTCCTTCCTCCTTTCTTTCCTTCCTTCCTTCTTTCTTTCCTCCCTTTTCTTTCTTTCTCTTTCTTTCTGTCTTTCTTCTTTGCTCTCTCTTCCTTTCTTTCCCTCTCTTTTTTTGAGTCAATCGATTTGAAACAGTAAGCACCCAGGTAGTCAACTCACAGCTCAATCAGTCATGGCACCACGAAAGAAATGGTGAAGCCAAGGGCAGTCACTGTTATCAAAATGATGGTGAAACACCCACAGAGCATCTGCTTTGTGGATCTTAAGGGGGACACTGGCAGAGTGGGCATCTCAAGGGGCTTGGTCCCCTGGTGGAAATCCTGCCCTCCAAGCCGTGCTGCCTCTTGAGGCTGTTTCGGGGACATAGGATGACAATCCATCACTGCCTCTGATCAGCAGAATCGGAATTTATGAATTCAGTGGTGGAGCGAAACTGGCAGAATTATTCTGCTATCAACCCCGCCAAAATGGAGAGGGAGGGAACTGAGGCTTCTTTCATTTTCCCTCCCACTGCTACAGCACTGTATTTAATTGACTTACAATTTTTTCCTAATATAATTCTTTATGAAACCTGCCTTAAGCAAAGGACCCATGATTGTTCACCAAGGGTCGTGCCTCATTTGTTCCTGTAGATTGTGCCTAATTAACGTTAACTTGTCTGTACATAAAAAGTACAATCGGCTGTCCTTTCCAATTTAATTCCGACAGTTTAATCGAATCTGTATTCTTTCAAAAATAATTAGATCATTTACACTTCATTAACATGTAGTGTAATGTTGGGACATTCATCATAATGATTTCTTATTTTTCTTGTGCAATATTATCTCCTCTAATGAAACTGTTAACACCATGCATGCCTTAATTAGCTGTATCATATCACTGACAATTTCTGAATAAAGCCATTTTTACAGATGAAATTGAATTATCTTGGTAGGTATATTTTCAGCGGAATCTATTCTTTTCTTATTAAAAAATACCTTCCCATGGTCCAACCTCACAGTGCTGTGGGCCCATCATAGCAGCCTAGTACCGACCCAGTGGGCAGGAAGGGCCAGTGTCTCTCCCGTGCTGGAACGCAGCAGAGCCAGCTCTTCATGCAATGTGAAGTGTGGCCTCCTGGGCTGCCATGTACACCGTGACCAGGAGGAAAAGGGCATAGGTATGTGATGTGGCCAACAGGTAACAAGCAGCGCTGCTCTAACTTAGAGAGACAGAGAAGTAAATCCACAGAAGGCTAGACGTGTGGTGCCCTCGAGACAAAAAAGGGAAGCTGCAGACCCACCTGGCTCAGGTAGGCACGTGAGATGAAGTTGTAGACACACCTGGTAGGCAGATGAGATGCTGCAAACCCACCTGGCTCAGGTAGACAGGTGAGATGAAGCTGCAGACACACCTGGTAGGTAGGTGAGATAAAGCTGTAGACACACCTGGCTCAGGTAGGCATATGAGATGAAGCTGTAGACATACCTGGTAGGCAGGTGAGATGCTGCAGACATGCCTTGCTCAGGTGGGCAGGTGAGATGAAACTGCCATCTCACCTGGCTCAGGTATGCAGGAAAAAGGCCACTTACCAGGCTGTGGGCCACCCTTAACCACAGGTTATAGTTATGCCATCCACAACAGTATATTCAGACAAAGACCACTCATTGTAGGAAGGGTGGCATCTGATCCTAAGCTGAACTCTTGCCTGGGACCCAAGAGGACAGGCAAGCGGATGGAGGTGGACCCACGGGAATCCACCGCATCTGCTGAGCTGCTTAAGAGGAAGTTCAGAAAGTGAGGAAGGGAAGAACAGGCTGAAAGGGCTCTTCCTGTGCAGGAACTGCTGCTGAGATGCCCATACCCAAGTCTTCATCTCCAAAGTCTGTGGATACCTCTTCTCATACTCACCCCCTTCTCTCTCATCTCTAACCACTGGGCCTCATTTTGCACCTGCACCACTTACCTCTCCCACAGCTTTATTAAGGTATAGTTGACAAATAAAAAGCATATCTATTTATTGCATGCCACGTGATGTTTTGATATATGTATACATTGTGAAAGGATTAAATCAAGCTAATTAACATATCCATCACCTCATATACTTATTATTTTTTATGGTGAGAACATGTAAGATCTACTCTCTTAGCAAAGCTCAGGTATAGAGTACATTGTTATCTCCCCAACCTCTTCCCCCAAAACGCCAGTAAATTCCGGTAACTACCATTCTGTTCTCTGTTTCTACAAGTTCACCTCTTTCAGACATGAACATATAAGTGAGATTACACAGTATTTGTCTTTTGAGTCTGGCTTATTTCACTTAGCATCCTGTTCTCCAGGTTCATCTGTGTTATCACAAATGACAGGATTTCCTTCTTTTTTGAGGCTGAAGAGAATAAAGACTCCACCAGAAAACAACCGTTGGAACTAATAAATTAATTCAGTAAAGTTGTAAGAGACAGAATTAACAGCAAAAATCAGTAGAGTTTAAGAAAACAATCTCATTTATAAGCATAAAGAAACAGGAATAAATTTAACAAAAGTGGTAAAAGATCTGCATAGTGAAAACAAGATATTGATGAAAAAAATTGAAGACACCCTGTGTTGATGGATTGGAAGAATTAATATTGTTAAAATTACCATAGTAGCCAAAGCAATATGCAGATTCAATGCAATCCCTACCAAAATGCCTAATGACATTTTTACAGAAATAGAAAAAAAATCTAAAATTCATATGGGACCCCCCAAAAAAATACCCAAATAGCCAAAGCAATCTCGAGCAAGAAAAACAAAGTTGGAGGCATCGTACTTCCTGATTTCAAAACATACCACAACATCATAGTGATCAAAACAGCATGCAACTGGGATAAAAACAGACACATAGACCTATGGAACAGAACGGAAAGCCCAAAACTAAATCTACACATTTAAGGTCAGTTGATCTTCAACAAAGTTGCCAAGAACACACAATAAGGAGAGTCTCTTCAATAAATGGTGTCAGGATAACTGGATATCCACATACCTATGGAACGCTATATAAAAAATTGACTCAAAACGGATTAAAGATTTAAACATAAGATGTGAAACTATAAAACTACCAGAAGAAAACAGGGGGAAAGCTCTATGACATTGGTCTGGGCAATAATTCTTTGAATATGACCCCAAAAGCAGAAGCAACAGAAGCAAACGTAGACAAAATGGGACCAGATCAAACTGAAAAGCTTCTGCACAGCACAGGAACAATCAATGGAGTGAAGAGGCAGCCCACAGAATGAGAGAAATATTTGCAAACCAGGCATCTGATAAGGGATTAATATCCAAAATATAGAAGGAACTCAAATAACTCAACAGCAAGAAAACAAATAACCTGATTTAAAAATGGGCAAAGAACCTGAACAGACATTTCTCAAAAGAAGACATGCAAATGGCCAAGAAGAATATGAAACAAAGTTCAACATCACTAATCATGAGGGAAGTGCAAACCAAAACACAATGAGATATCATCTTACACCTGCTAGAATGGCTACTATCAAAAAGCAAAAGATAAGTGAAGGTGAGGATGCAGAGGAAAGGGGCCCAGTCAGTGCACACTGTTATTAGAAATGTATGCTAATGCAGCCGTTATGGAAAACAGTATGGAGCTTCCTCAAAAAACAAAAACTAGAACTACTCTATGATCCAATAATTCCACCACTAGGTATGTATCCAAAAGAAATGAAATCAATATGTCAAAGAGATATCTGCATGCCCATGTTTATGGCAACACTATTCACGATAGCCCAGATATGGAATCAACTTAGGAGTCCATCAATGAATGAATGGATAAAGAAAATGTGGTGTAATATATATACACAATGGAATACTAAACAGCCTTTAAAAAAGAAGATCCTGTCATCTGCACTTGCCTTCCAATTGGATGACTACACACCTGTCCTGGCCCTGTTTCCCTCAGGATCTGTCCAAGATGCAAGTTGATTAAGTCACCCATCTGCCAGCAGCCCTTTGGCAGCTCCTGCACCTTTCAGGATAAATTTCACCTCCTATGTTAGCCTGCATGGACCCCAGCTCAGCCCCTGCCATCTCTTAGCTCATCTGCAAAAATACTTGGCTTCAGCCATGCCACATTGTTCTTCACCTCTATCGCTTCACAACACTATTCCTTCTACCAGAAATTCCTTTCCCAAATTACTTATTTATTGAACTCCTTCAAAACATGGCTCAGATGGTGCCTCCTCTGGAAAGCTTATCCAGATTTTGAGTCTCATTCAGATACCACTGGACTATGTGTCTCTAGAGTGAGCTGTAGATGCACAGGTGTTCACATTGCCATTTAGTTCCTACAACTCTAGATATGAAACTAGTATTCTGGATATAAAATGCACCCTGGATTCAAAAGGATTCTTCTCACAAACTAATAAGAAAGTAGCACAAATAGTCAGGAGACATGGATATGAGTCCCAGTGCTGAGAGCTGTACCTGCTCTAGTGCTCACTTAACCTTCGTGAGCCTCAGCTTTTTCATGGGTAAAATGGAGGTTATAATATCTACCACTCAGGTTTGCGAGGTTCAAATGAGAAAACCCATTGAAGAGTGCTTTGTGGAGTATAGTAAGGCATCTATAAATAGGAGTTGCTATTTCAGCTCCATTAACAACATTACCCAGCAAATCTTTATTGGGCACCAGTGGTGTGTGAGCCATGCATGAGCCAGTGCGCCTTGAACACTTCCCCATTCCTGAGTGCAAGAGTGTGAAACTGAATATCCAAGACTTACCTCCATCCCACTTTATCTAGCCTGCAGGGTTTCCAGTCTCCCACACATTGTAAAACTTCCAGAGCCAGAAGCAGGATCCTAGACACACAAGTTCTTGTAGCTCATTCTTCTAGAAAAGGCGACTCAAGTTCAGCTGCCCAGGAGAGTTCAGGATAGGGTGGAGAGGTGCATTAGTCTGTTCTCACACTGCTGTAAAGGACTGCCCAAGACAGGGTAATTTACATAGGAAAAAGGTCTAATTGACTTGAAGTTCCACGTGGCTGGGGAAGCTTCAGGAAACTTACAATCATGGCGGAAGGGAAAGCGAACACGTTCTTCTTCACATGATGGCAGGAAGGAGAAGTGCTGAGCAAAAGGGGGGAAAGCCCCTTATAAAACCATCAGATATTATGAGAACTCACTCACTATCACCCGAACAGGAAGGGAGAAGCCATCCCCATGATTCAATTACCTCCCACTGAGTCCCTCCCACAACACATAGGGATTAAGGGAACTACAAGATGAGATTTGGGTGGGGACACAGCCAAACCATCTCAAGAGGTGACATCTGCCCTCCATATCCAGGAGGTCAAGGGCATCTCCGGGTGACAATGGGAAGGATGGCTTCCAGTGAGGTTGGGTCGTGCCCAGAGTATGGGAACCGCACATGCACCGGGTGGTGTGCTTTCCACCCGAGAACTTGGAAGCCAGTTTCCTTGCTGTGCTCCTTCCATAGGAAGCCGAGTCTACCTATGTGAGTCACACAGAAACTGGAACAAAGCAGCAAGGTGGGAAATGGTAAAAATATTGCTTGGGTAGAATCCGATCTTTGTCCCAAAGATTATTATATACGTGGTATTTGTATTGTTCTGAAAAATGGCATGAAAGGAGAAGGAGAAAATGTGTTCCTCTAAACCTGGCCTAGGGGTTGAAGCTATTCACACCAAAGTCCTAAAACAGGAATCCTCTGTCTTGATCAAGCTAGTTAACTTGTAGATTACCTACAAGTACAAAACCAGGAAGCCAAAGCTAAAATGGAATACAATGGGAAACCCCTGAGAAAATCATGATCATACTACCTACATTTTCTGTGTCCAGAGAAACATGCTGTCCCTGCGGTGTGGGTGCATCAGTGGTTTGTATCCCATTGGGCTGTGTGGATTTGCTGTTGGAGTTCTTGGCTCGGGCGTGGCCACAGTTAAACACCCCAGTGTATGTCAAAGGCACAGACCCCTGCTGCACACAGCTCTATTTTTGCTGTGGTGGTGGCTGCTTTTACAACCAAGCATGTCTCAACCTCATTCTACTTACTCTCTCCATCTTTCCCCCCACCATTAACCGAATGAAAAACATATGTCGATTTTTAGTTCTGCAAAGAAAATGGAGGACAATGTGGAATATGACCATTTCAATGTTATTTAAACACCTTTTCTTTACTTCCTCTTCCCTGGAATATGTGTGAAGAGAAGGCTGGTGCAACAGGACGGGAAGGCAGAGGTGGCCAAAGACTGCTCTCGTGCATGGAGGCTTTTGAAAGCAGTGAGCGTAATTGTCCTGCACATGTTTTGGGGAAGCAAGGCTACTCATTAACTGCTAGTGGATCAATTAGTTATAACAGCTATAATAGCGCACAGACAATGGCGTGAAGCTATGTGCTGCTGTGCCTCTCCTCACTTTGGGTGGGCACTTTTTTTAGCTGTTGCTTTGAAGATTTAAGTTAATAATTTATCCCTAATGAATTTAATCTTTCTGTTTCTCTGGTACATAGGGCACTTAATGGATGAGAGAAACAATTGTGCCATTAACACGATTTTGTTTTAAAGAAAATTTCAACATTGAGAGCAATATTTTTATATCAATGTCTCCAAAGGTACATTAATGAATTTAGCTACTTCAGCAAAGACATTGAAAAGAGGTCAGGGTAAGACGAAGTTATAAGGAGGAGATTTGTCTTTGGTTGGTCATGTGACATCTCATGAAAATATAGTTCCACCTTCTATAACATATAGAAGCTTGTGCAACATACACAGCTATGAGTAAAAGGAATTCACAACCGTTGGGGCTAGGAAATGACATCCTAAAGCAAAGGCCTCAGAAGCAAAGTGTCTCTAAGCATCTCCCGCCCCTGTGTCTCTCAGCCTCATCTCTCCCAAAGCCTCATCTCTCCCACAGAACCTAAAAAGGTCGCTCTGCTTCCCCGGCCTTTCTGTATAAGGCCTGGCCATAAAGAGATCTCTGCCCTACATTGTCTGATGGGGGTCCTAAACCCCACCAATTCTACAAGGTCTTGCCTCATCCTAGGAAGAAGAAGCAGTGCCCAGAGGCCAAGACGGATCTGAAGAGACAGCCCTGGAGGCTCCCCTCACTCTAGCACCACGGAGCACAGACGGCCTTGGGGGCTCCCCTTGGTCCAGCACCACGGAGCACAGACGGCCTTGGGGGCTCCCCTCGGTCCAGCACCATGGAGCACACCCATCTGCCAATCCCATTGCAGGAACACGGCCGTCCCTGCTTCACTGAACCTACGCATAAAATCAGACCACTTCCGCCCCTGTATCTTTGGGTCTTCCCTCTGAAGGCTTCTGTGTCACACAAAACTATGATCAAACCAATGTGTTATGCTTTTCTCTTTGTTAACCTGTCTTTGTTATTTTGCTGTTGGCCGTGACCCTTAGGATGGGGAGGAAAGAAATTACCCCCTTTCCACCCCACACAGTGAAGCAAAATTGTTTAGAAACCCAACTTCTTATTTCCATTTGATAGGGGAAGATGACACACAGAAGTAAATCTATTTGCTGAAACAAATTCCAAGTAATAAAAACCCTCCTGGATGCTTCTGCAGCTGTCCACACCCCAGAGAGATGCTCTGGTACGCAGCGCCGGGAGCCACTCTCCGTCTCCCTGCTCCATGGTGGAACGAAGCCCCACGTGTTCCTCTCAGGCTCTTTGGTGTCTCCCGTGTGGCTTTAGAGCCCTCCCTGCTGCCCCTTCACACTCTGTCTTTGACCAGTGGCCCGGTCTGGGCAGCGCCTTCTGACTGGATATGCAGCCCGGGCACTTGACCCTTGACCAGTGGCCACCACTCAGGAGGCAGGTGCCACCACTCAGGAGGCAGACGAGGGAGCCTGGCTGTGATGGAGGAGGGAGGCCATAGCGCCCAAATGCAGAAAAAGTTGCACTTGGCAGCTTTAAAATATTTGCATTACTGAAATGTTTCAGTTGAGAAACAGTTTTTAAAGCCGTGACGTTTGGGAAAGTGCTTTGGTGTCTTTGAAGCTGGATGAACAGGAAGCCTGGTCTGACTGAGGCACTCCCAGACTTTGAACTATGAAAAGCCATTGCTGCTCTGAGTTCTGTTTGACACACGTGGACCATGTGAGCAGGACGAACGAAACACAGCAACAGGAGTGGGGTCAGGAAATGGTGCTGATTTCCCCAAGGACAGAGCACGGGTCAGGATGAGGCCAGCAGGCTCTTCAATTCTGGCTCTGGGGAATGGGTGTCCACCAAAGACAGACAAGGTGGGTCTCCAGAAGTTTCTGTCGGGAGGGTCGTGCGAGCCAAGGAGGATTAACCCCACGGCTAGGAAGGATCGCTTAGGACTCCCGAGTCGCCAGGCAAAACAGGTGCCAAAGACCCCTCCTCAGGTCAGGGATTGAGTGAGAAAAGCAGTGTGGGCTGGAAAGCCATCGCGGTTGTGGGGGTGTCTGCACACGGCATTAGCCCCTGACAAGCCAGGAGGTCAAAAATGACCCTGAAGCCAGCAACGGGAAGGGGTCCCGAGGCGAGGAGCGTGGGCACCATGGCAGAGGCCATCTCAGGTATATCGCCAGCTCCCAGCTAGATGTTGTGTCTAGGCTCGAAAGCCCCTAAATGGTGCTGAATACCTGGGTGGGACCGGCCTGGCCATGTGGCAGACATTGGCAGATAAGCGCTCATCTGCAAATAAGAGCCTCGCATGCCTGCCTCGTTTTCTCTCTGTGTAGATGGCAGCTCTGAGTGCAAGATACACGGAGTTCTCCTCCTTTCTCATCTTAGAGAAGTCATCTGTTCCGGTGGAAGAACAGACAGAGTATTCCCCTAAAATCACGATTCAAGGCAAATAGTGTCACCATCTTTTATCTGAGGCCAAGGAGTTTTTAGTATTTGTTAGACTGGACTTTGTGGTTTTCTGCATTTTCTTTCAAACTTTCCAGATAATGCCATTGTTTGTGTGCAGACAGTTTAAACAGCATGGCCATGGGCTTCAGAGAGACACAAGAGTGATGCCCAGGTGCAGTGCATGGGGCAAGAGGGCCAGCCTGGCATGCACCGCCACTCACCTGGGCGGCCTCAGTGTTTTCTCCAGGGAAAGGTGGGGGTCCTAGGCCTGTTTTGCCAAAGTCGTTTGATCATGGACAGAAAAGGGGAGAAGCGAACTGGGTCACCTGGAAATCAGAAGGCCCGGGATATCTGACCCAGGCTGGAGCTGTCCCTAAAGACTCCAGCGCTCCCATCTCCCGGGGAAGAGGGAAGGGCTGTGCCAGGCCCCTGAATCCACCTTTGCTCCTAACCGGGGCTGGAGCGAGGATCCAGGGTTTCCTCTCCTCTCCTCCCATCTTGCTTCCTCCCTAGTTGTCCGTGCCCTTCAGCGTCCTCCCCACTCTGATTTCCTCTATCCCCACCTTCCCAGGGTGTGGCCTCCGCATCCTCAAGGCAGCTCTGAGGGGCCGACAGGAGTGCTTTCCTCTGGGCCCACAGGGATCGCGTCTTCGTGGGGCCGTGAAGGAAGGAGGAGGGCAGCGTCTATAAAGTAACCTTCACTATGGGAAAAATCCTGACGTCGGATTAGGGAGCTGGGGCCCAGCCCAGCTGGCAGCCGGTGAGACACAGACATCCCAGAGCACAGCGAATCCTGCCTTCATGTTCCGCATTGTGCCCCACGACGTGACACCTGCACCTCTCCGTCTTCAGCGGACAAAGGGGCACTAGAAAGCAAGCCATGGAGAGAATTTGGTAGAAGCCAGGAACCTGTGAGCCTGACACCTAGGCGCCTGTGACCTGCGCCCTGTGACCTCTAACCTATGGCCCTTGATCCCGCTGCCTCCAGGCATTCTCTGTAGATGATGTTGAGCGAGTTCCTGAAGCCCTGGAGCCCCCATATCTCCACCTGAAGAGCAGGGCCCGGCTCACCCTCAGGGTCAGCAGCCCCCATATCTCCACCTGGAGAGCAGGGCCCAGCTCACCCTGAGAGTCAGAGGGCCCCATATCTCCACCTGGAGAGCAGGGTCTGGCTCACCCTGAGGGTCAGCGGCCCCCATATCTCCACCTGGAGAGCAGAGCCCAGCTCACCCTGAGGGTCAGCGGTGACCCGTCGGCATGCACCCGTGGGATGGGGGATGGACAGCTGCAATCACCTAGGTGCAGGGACAGGGAGGGTCCCCAAGAGTGCACACTCCCTTCACACCCCGTGCCTGGCTCCCGCCTGCCTGTGAGGCTGGCAATCCACGCGTTTCTGCTCTAACACTGACGCTGAAAAAGCCAGGCAGATGTCTCCACCCCTGTGCTTCACCTGAGCCCTAAATGCAGGCCCAGGTAGCGGCTGATGTCCAGGGCCTGGGGATCTGCCTGTGGCCACCTCACCCACGCTAGGAGGTGCCTCCGGGGATGTGACAGCCTGCAGGAGCTCAGGATTCTCTCCCCAGCTTGGCTCTGAGGGGCTCCGGGCAAGCAGCAGTGCCCTGAGGGTGGCAGCGTCATGGCCAGGGCCGGCTTTTGAGTCCAACCCTCTCCCTGTGGACATGGGTCCGAGGAGGGCTGCACTGGGTCCCCACCATGCTGAGGCTCCCCGGACCTCTCCTTACAGCTTCCCTCAACACTGCCTGGAATTCACAGCTGTCCTGAGGTGGTTCACCTTTGAAGATTATTAACGAGGGTTCTTTGTTCTGAACTCGAGGAGAATGAACCCCAACATGACTGACGTGTGCCAGCTTCCATACAGAGTGAGGCCGCGTCCTGGGCCTCTCTGCAGGTGAGGCTGTGCCCATCATGGGCTGCTCTGCCAAGATTCGCCAGGAGCCAGAGGGTCTGCCGAAGCCGTTACCTGGAGGTGAAGAGGATACGTGGGCATGGCTGTGCCAGGGGTTGGGACGGCTGCACGCGCTTCCCTCCAAGGACATGGCTTCATGGCTGTTTACAGACATTCCTGAATCCAGACCATTGATTCCACATTTGATGTGAAAAGAAATTAAAGGTCTGGTCTCATTAGATAAACCGGTTCTGGGGAAGGATCACAGGGAGAAGCTCTGCCCTTTTGTACGACACTGAATGGCCACGGCAGGCAGCTCCTGGCACACAATTGATTTCGAGCCGAGTTTTGTCTGAAAGATGCTTCTAGATTATGGCAAGAAAGCATTCTATAATCCTCCTGCCAATGCAGTTATGTTTAACAGACGTGCAACTCTTATCACTGATTGATAACACTTAACTCAAAACATATTTCAGCTTTAGGAATGTCAATATCCGGCCTCTGAGTGAAGGTGACCCCTGCCCCGCGTGTTTGCTAAGTGTGTGCCATGGTTTGCTGGTAAATTTCTCAGGTGGTTGTGTGGGAAGGCTGTTATGGATTTGCTATCTTAGCCTGAAGTGTTTGCTGCTGATTATGTGATTAAATCAATAATAATTTCTGCCTGGATCCTGCGCTTCTCCACTCATCTTCTGGCCCAGGCTGTGGAGCAGAACAATGCGCCCAGCACCGGAGCCGAGGGGCTTTGCTGTGGGGAAATGTCAGAGGTGTGGCAGGGGCCTCCGGATCTCCTCTGAAAGCAAAATATTGTAACAGCTCTGCAGGTAAACAAACAGGCGGCCTGTGCCGCGGCCGGAACCCGACAGGTGGGGGCAGGGCCGCCTAATGGATGGGGCTGTTGATTCCGGCTTCACCTGAAGTCGCGTGACCCAGAGCCTTCATCCCACATTAAACAGATATTTGTTTACTCTGACGAGGGGCGTTTACAGTTAAACAGTCAGGGGGCTCGTTAGCCACATCTGGCCTTTAAGTCACACAGGCAGTTTCATCTCACCAGGTGTGAAGGCCACCTGGCACGGAGGGACCAGGGCTGTGCCCGCAGGGCAGGGCCCCAGGGACTGTCCATCCAGTCCCCCCACCCACATCCAGGTCCCCCTGGAAGACACACATCCCCTGCTTGTGACTTTCTTGTCTCTGGGTGTCCTCAGCAGCACAGGCAAGTAGCTTCGTTTACAGCAAAGGGCATCAGAAATGCCGCCTGCACCACCCCCCTGTCAATCCGTGGCAGCCGGAAGGAGCTGGGCTCCGGGGGATTCCTCCTCGATCTGCCCTGGTGCCCTGGTGGCTGGAGAGTCTTTACCTCACCCACAACATTTATACCACCCGGCTCTCAGCAGGGACATCGGGACAATCCAGTCTCCCAGGGAAATCACAGGGACACCAACCGATATTTGAAAAACCAGAACATCTGGTCAGTCACTTTCTCCCATCTGAGTAAACAGAGCTTTGTGAATAAGCCATGTTCGAACACTGAGGGAAGCAAAGGTATTGTCAACGGAGATGGGCTGGCTCTGGGCTCGGGCCTCAGCCCTGGGAATGTCGTGCCCGGCGGTGGGCCACTTTGCTGCTCAGTGCTTTTAAACCACAAATTGCTCCCAGCGATGTCAAATATCACTTTTTAAAAACATAAGACAGCCCCAGGGACGGTGATCATCATTGTGTTTGAAAAAGGCAAGTCTCCTTTGCTTGTTGCGTTGAGAGGCAATTCAGGATTTATCACTTGTATGCAATTGTAATTGTAATTGCTATTTACCTATTGGGAATTTGGCTTTTAGAAAAAGGAATATTTTGTTGGAAGAGGGGGCCAGGGGAGAAAACGCTCTCCATTGGAGAATGAGCGGAGACCGCTCCTCAGGCCTCCGAGGCGGGAATCAGGTGGCGGCCTTCCCTAACAGGCAGCTTGCGTGCCCCGGTGAGCAGCTGTAATTACGGCTGTACAAAGTAGCAGAGTGCCTTTCCAGGCTGCCTCAAAAGGCTGGGGTGTTCCACTCCAAACTGTCGGTGCATTTCCATGAAAATAAAAGGCAGCCCCAGCCATGGACATACAGGAGAGCCTGCGGTCAGGGGAGCTGGTCTGCATCACGGGTCCCCGGAACTGCAGCTCCCAGACGCTACAGGGCCACCAGCTCCTCCCTGGCCCGAGAAGAGTCCAGAGAAATTTTTACTTAGTTAAATGTTTTTTTTTAACTTTGTAAAATTTTTAAAAGCGGGAAACTGGTAGACGAGCATCAGGTTTTCTATTCCATGCTGAACCAAATTTGGAAACACCAAATAGCCCTCTGGGGGCAGCCTTCACCTTCTCTCCTCAGGCGGTTGCACCTGGCCATTGTCCTCAACCTGGTGGCTGCCTTCTCTAACAAACACCCCCCCGGGACACACTGCATCCGTCTCTGTAACACCTCGGGCAGCTCCAAGTAAGTAACCTGTGTGAGTCAGCCTCTTATTCCAGCAGATAGCCTGAACACAGACCCGGCATACGCCCGGCTTTTGGAAGGCCCCGAAAACAAATCGGGGACAGAAACAGAGTCCCTCCCCTTTGACGACCAACTGGGGGTTCAAATCCACGCTCCCAGGGCCAGCCTGCCCAGCTCAGTGGGGTCAGGAGGCTTCGTCCTATGAAGGCAGCCTGGGAGGGAGGCACATTACTGCTCCTTGGGGTGAGAGAACAGAGATCACGCTTGCTGTCGTTCTATCATTCCATCACCTTTCCAAGTACCCCTGAGGCTCGGAATTCCCTGGTGGTCCCGGAGGAGGCAGCGGCGTGCTGTGCGTCTCGGCTGATTCTCTGGTCTCCATCCCTCCGAGGGTGTCGCTGCACCATAGGACAGAGGCGGACATCCAGGTAACTAAGGAAATGGGCAGAATTTTTTCAATAAAATTGTCTGGACTTAATCCAGAGAGAGTGGGCTGGACCTCGGCCTCAGACTGTGACCCACGACCTGCGCTAACAGCTGTAGCCCAAGAGTGGTTTTCCAGTAAAGATGATAAGAAAATGCCTCTGTGACATTCGTGCCACCCTCATCAATATTCTGGGGCTCCAGGGTCCCCCCCAATACTGCTGACACCTGCAGGCTCCCGGCCTCCCAGGGAAAGGTAGGGGCCGAGGCTTTCGAGGCAGCTGCCGGCAGCACTCACAGGTGCTCAGAGCCTCCTGACCCTCTTGTTTAGAGTGACCTGAACTCAGACAGGGCTGGGCAGGCCGAATCACTTCACCGTGCGTTGAAGGAAGCAGCTCAGCTATGGGTGTCTTATGTCCTCTACTAGGACAGCAGGAAAGAGACGAGACAGGGGTGCAGGCCCCATGCACAGGCTGGGGGGCTCAGTGCCGTGAGCGGTCCCCACACCTGCCCAGGCAGAGTGCACGGCAAGGTGGGAAGCATATTCTACTTCACCAATTCCCATAACCGGGTGTCTTTCTGCAGTCTGAGCAATGACCTTAGCCCCTGACAGGGTTGCGGCTCTCAGCCCCGAGGAAGAGGGCCTGGCTGTGTCCTGAGGCTGCCGGCCCTTCGTTGCCAGTGCTGTGTCACTGCTGTTGTTCCTAAAGAGTGTGCGTCACCTGAAGCAGATCCAGGTATAGCTTCCTACACAGGGAGCACATGCGCACAGACCTGCCTTTATGCCAGCAGGCTTCTAGGCAGTGTGACACCTTGTTTTAAAACGTAAGGGAGCGTGCTCCCAGCCAGTGCCCTGAAGTGATGATGTGTTAGTCCCTGGAGGTTCACACTCCACTGACCTGAGGGTGGACAGCTCGGGTCCAAAGAGAATTCTTCATGGGAGCTGCAGGGAATAGGAAGCTGCAGGGAATAGGAAGGAATAGCTGCAGGGAATAGGAAGCTGCAGGGAATAGGGAATACGGAGCTGCAGGGAATAGGAAGGGCGTCATTTCACGAAATGCAGCTGCATCATTTTGTGTCATGGGGAGGCAGAAAAGCTCTGAAGATGAGTTGAGCATAGGGAAAAGCATGATTTATCTATCGCTATTTCCTGAAAGAAGCGTCTGCAGAATTCAGGGGCCCGGGGACCCACTGGCAGCTGAAATCATTAGAATGTTCGATAAGCAGCTGCTCTCTGGTGCTCACTGCACCTCATACCCGGGGGGGCCCTCCTGTCAGGTAGCTTCAGGGCAAATTCTGGAGGCTACTGATGTGAGGCCACATTGTCCAGTGTCCACTAACCCCATGGCACATGACAGTTAATACAGGGTGAGGTGGCAGAACTCTGTGCTGGTCCTCACTCTGCAAAGAGAGGTGGGCTGGAGGCTATTTTACAACTGTAGGGGGCCAGGATGGGTGTGAGTGCAGCACTGCCTGCCATGGGGCAGCTGCGGGAGGCAGCTCTGCAGGCCGGGCGGGTGGTGTGCCCTGAGGACAGGGTGGCCCACGTGCCCGGTGTCAGGGGTCCACGCTTTGCAGCAAAAGGAGCTCTGCAGGTGGGCGGGTGGAGTGCCCTGAGGGCAGGCTGGCCCCCTCGCCTGATGTCAGGGGTCCACGCGTTGCAACAAAAGGAATCTGAGGCGCCTTGGGAGGATGCTCACCCCATCCGAATGCGAGGCTTGGCGATGACCTCCTGGGCAGCCGCCCAGAGCCAGAGGAGCCTGGGAGGCAGGGCGGTTGATGGCTATGAAGCTCACTGCCTAAACTTCAGGGTCACTGCTGTGTCCCCATCCCCCACCTCTGGGCCGTCTCAAGAAGAGCTGCAGTGGCAGGCAGGCATCCCTGTAGGTCCATGGGCTGTCTGCAGCATCCACAGTGGGAGCGGACGGTCACGTGGTCTGCAAATGCACCGAAACACACACCCTCCACCAGGAGCCACTGTTGGGGTTACTCCTTGGCCTACTGTTAAAAATGACCCATTGCACTGGAAATCACATGTGCATTTGCCTCAGGGTTGCTGCATGGGGAGGGTGCAGCACACCGAGGCCAGCAGGACCCTCCCCTGCACACTCAGCTCCCACAGCCCTGCTGCAGGGGCTCAAACCCTCCTAAAGGGGCCCTTCTTATCTACCCCATAAAGTTCCCAGCTCAGAACTCCGGGACCACCTTCCCTGGCAGTGAGGAGCCCCATGCACAGACCCCTCCCTTTTGATGGCCTGGCCCATGCCCCTCCTGACGGTGCCCTGGGACACTGTGCAGGATTTACCTGAGGAGGGAAGAAAACGAGAGAACTTGCCACACAGGAGCCTGGGCTTTCCCCACAGCCTCGTGGGCCCCTGTCAGCAACCCCAGCTCCTGCCTTGCTCCTGAGGCCCAGCGCTGGCCCCTGTACCCAGCTCCAAATTTACCTCCTTTCTGGGGAAGCCCCACTCCCTGTCGCTGCAGAGGGTCAGGCTTTTCCCAGGGAACCCCTGGGCAGGCAGGAGGCCCTCCTAACTCCATGGTCATGTTCCTCAGATCTTAGTGAATGGGCGGGAAGCAGCAGCTAGGGGAGTGAGGGGCAGGGATGGAGAGAGGGACAGGCTTTCACAGGTGGCTCAGGGTGTGCCAGGCCAGCAGGACCACAGAGTTCACCACCCAGTGCCCAGCCCCAGCCCCCACGGCCCTCACCTGCCTGGGCTAGAGAACAGCCTCTGTATCCGTCTAATGTTAAACCAGCACCTTCACACACACAGGCACACACCCCGCCGAGGGCAACACCAAACCTCAGGGGTGCTGAGTCTGAAGGGGAAGGAGGAACAGGAGCCCTCCAAAGCCGCCTGGCTGTGGGGGACACAGGGAGTCTCTTCCTTGTACCCCACCTGGTCACACGACACCCACCCGCCACCCCCCACGTCCTGCCGAGTGCAGACCACCACATCTGAAATTAAGAGTGTAAGTGAATTCCAAGATAAGGATCATCTCCCTTCAGGGTGTGCTTAGGGAGTCAGGGAGTGGCAGCTCTTTCATCCCACGTTTTATGAAACATTGCAGTGAGTCCTTTCACAAACACAAAGTAACCTCCAGTTGATGTGTAGATAAGATTGGACATGGCCTCTGTGCAAGCAGCTATCTAGAACAAAACTGAAAATATTCTCGGCACAGGAAGTATTTACATCCAGCAAATTGTCTAAGAAGAAACAGGCATTCTGTTCCTGAACATTCAACTGATCATTTGAAGACCTTTTCCACTATAAGTGGGCCCCAAGGTTGCCTCCAACAGGGCAGGCACGGCGCCTCCAACAGGGCAGGCGCCCCAGAGCCCTCGGCCCCAGGGAGTCCTCCAGGGTTGTTTCCGCATTGTTTCTCTCCTTTCAGGCTTCTTCATCGAGGATAATTTTATAGAAAACACATCTCAGGGAGGCAGGGCCACCTCTCAGGTTTCTGGGGACCTCAGGTTAGCCTCAACCTGGGACGCCTGCAGACTGAGCCCAGCTCTTAACCCCACCGATGTTTCCAGGTTCCCTGGCACCCGCTCTCTCCCGAGGCTCAGAGTGGGCGTTGGTGTGGAACAGCCCCTAAGAGGCACCTCGGCCTTCCCGGAGCCCCGGAACGTGGAGGCTAACCCAGGACAGAGACGGTCACTGCAGGAGAAAAGACGACACCGTCAGTCCTTCCCCCGGTGCACAACCGAGGACCTCCTCCGCATTTGCCCCTGCGTCTGAGGCAGCATCTCGGGAATCTGCAGTCTCCAAGTGCGAGAGAGGCAGCCCCAGACCCATCCATGATGCACCTGAGCCTGTGCAGGAGGCTCGCAGGAGGGTGGGGACGGCGAGGACAGCTGCATGAGTACCCCTAAACCAGCAGCCGCAAGGCCCTCGGGTGACTGGGAGATGTTTGTATAGGGAGACTGGAGGTGTGATAACTCCCCAGCAAGCTGGGATTTCTAGCCTAGGCCAATTCCACTCTTCTTATATTTTTTAATGTTGAAGACGGTTACCCTGCAGCAAACCAGTCTGACCCACCTTGAAAAGTATCTGGCCGGGCACAGTGGCTCACACCTGTAATCCCAGCACTTTGGGAGGCTGATGGGGGTGGATCACCTGAGGTCAGGAGTTCGAGACCAGCCTTGCCAACATGGTGAAACTCCATCTCTACTAAAAATACAAAAATCAGCTGGGCGTGGTTGTGGGCACCTGTAATACCAGCTACTGAGGAGACTGAGGCACGAGAATCACTAGAACCCGGGAGGCAGAGGTTGCAGTGAGCAGAGATCGCGCCACTGCAGTGCAGCCTGGGTGATGGAGGGGGACAGAGAAAGAAAGAAAGAAAAAGAAGGAAAGAAAGAAAGAAGGGAAGGGAATGGAAGGGAAGAAAAGGGAAGGGAGGGGAAGGGAGGGGAGGAGAGGGGAGACGAAGGGGAAGAAAGAAAGGTATCTTATAAAATATTCCTTTTCTTCATTTCTCTGTGATAAAAACCCATACATACCCAACTATGGGGACAACTTTAAGTGGTGAGTGAAACTGACTTGGAAATTTTTACCTCCTAGGCGATAGATATATGTTTAAATAGATGTATGTGTGCATATATATATATGAGTAATTTTTACAGATAAGAATATACATATGTGGAAGTCATATCCAAATGACAAGTACCATTTTGGCACCTAAGTTCTTGCCTTTGTTGTAACAGTAAACACAATGCTAATACAAATGCGTCTTCCTGATTAGTCGTTACCAACTAAAGTTAACAAGGTCTACGTGGACTTTCACTCTTCTAAGGAATTTTAAAAATAAGCGCAGTATTAGAAATGATCAACCCTGGGCATAACGACAAAGTGCTTCTGCAGAAATGGATGACATTGACCTTGAGCAAGTAAATGTGTGGTCTCCCTCCAGGAGAAGCACTGCATCTCTCCCAGGCTGGCACACTTGCAGAGCATCAATCACAAGGGCACCAGGCCCTTCCACACCACAGTCTTGTGGTGGAAAAATGTGGAGGAGGAAGGAGACTGGGCTCCTGGGCCCTGAGCTCATCTGTCTCCAGCTGGTCACCCACACCCCCGTGATGCAGCCAGCCACACCACCTGTCCTGAGCCCACCTCTTCAGAGGAGAGGGGCAGAGAAGGGCCATGGCTGGGGAGTCCCCCAGGTCCACAGTAAGTGCACAGGAAGGTCCACAGATCAAGCCACACACAGACAGGAAAACAGTTGCTGAGCCTCTCGGACGCCATTCGGCTAGTATGGTACTCAGCAGTGCTGCGTCTTAGATTTACTCCAGCACACAGGTTTTGGTGTAATTTATTTTAAAAGTCACACAGTACACCATTTGGCAATTTTATCACTCCAGGTATAATAAAAAAATATTCCATGATTATATGTCATTTGGTTAAGTCTCCATCAAACTCTTTTCAAATTCAAAGCAGCCAGCTCCACAATAAGTAACTGCAGCCCAGAATTAGTGAGCACATTTTTTTCCTTCGCGTTTAATTGAAACTGATGTGTTTTGAAATCATAGTGGGGGTTTCTCAAGAAAAGTGGTATGTGTTATTCAATCGGCATAAAACAGGCCTCTGCCAGCAAGAGGCTCACGCCCCAGGATTAGTACCCGTTGGCAGCGGTGGGCCCGAGCACTACAGCCTCTCCCAGTGGGTAAATATTTAAATTATATATATGCCAGTGCACAGAGCAACCTGAAAGAAACCTGTTCTTTTTTCCTTCTGTCCCCCGGCTGTGAATTCTGAATAAAATCTAGGCCAGTGCAGACGCCCTTCGGTAGATCGCAGAGCTAACTGGCCTTTGGGGAGCCGCCTCCTTCTGTTCCTGAAGAGTCGTTTCTCCAGGCCTGGCAGGGGCATTTCCAATTAATAGCAGTGCAGCTTTGGATCACAGTTTTGCAAAAGGGTCAATGCTAAGAAGTAAACACTGGAGCGCTCAGCGACAATAATTCATAAGCAGCAGGAAGGAAAGTGCTCGCTCTTCTTGTTGGGCTCGTTGGAGCCAGTTCTGGTTTATAGACTCCCATGCCAGCCACCCACCATAAACTTTTCACAATGATGCTAAGATTCCTTTTTATTTTATTCTCATTTCTCCACCCCTTTTGTTGCTTCCAGAGTTTATTCATGAATATGAAGCATATCTGCATGGCAAAATCCTCTATGAAACGCCTCAAGACCCACCACGGCACTGTCATTTGAATTGAATGGACGGAAACCCCAGCCTGTTGGTGAGAGGACACTGGACTCTGCTAATCAGCACAATAGCCAGGTTGTGTTTCCAGCATGGGGAACACAGGTAAACAGATGACCTGGTGAGCAACGCCGTTTTAGCAAAGGGCTGGTGACATTTGCTGCAGAGAGGAACTGGCGGTGACAGAGTGCGGGGTGGTCCTGGAGAAATGGGGATTTTGTTCTTAGAGCAGTCAAAAATACCGAGAGAGAGAAAAGGTTGCAAAGGCTTGTGGTGTGTCTGTGCGCAGGGCATTTCTGGAGAGGCGTGATTGGTTCCATAAGCAGATCACGGCATTTGGATGAAGGATCCTTGTCAGCCTGGAATGACCAAGGACTTGGGATTTGGCTCCATGTGGCACGCGGTGCTCTTAGGAGACACTTCTGGATGAAAACTCAGGGCCTCAGTCTTTCCCCTGTCTTCCTCCACATCCACACACCAAATAGACTTCTTGGAAACCCTGTCATCACCTTTTTAAAACCTTTAAACTGGTCTACATAGGTTGCAGAGTTGGTCTTTCCATCTTCACGGGCGAGGCTGGGAGATTGGAGCTGGTGCACAGAACAGGTCAGGGGACGGCGGCTGGAGCTGCTCCCCGGCAGGTGGGGAGACCCCCGTCTGCAGTGGCCACTCAGAGAAGGCGGCACCCATCCCCGTCTGCAGTGGCCACTCAGAGAAGATGGCACCCAGGGCTCTCACCTCTGGCCTCCCAGAATTTCTTTTCCTCAACCCCCACCCTAGACACAGCACCACGAGGAGAGCCCCACTTTGCTTTGACAGAGATGCACCGAGTTCACCGAGCCCTCCATGAAGCCGGAGGACGGGCTGTAGGAGACTGTGCGTGCCCTTCGGCCCCCTCCTTGCCCAGCACCTGGGCGCAGCTGTTACCCGAGGGGAGTGTCAGGCCCCTGGACCCAGTCTTGGGGGCGTGGGCATCTGCAGTGGCTTTGCTTCCAAGGAATCAGTTACTGTGAGCAACAAAGGATGGATACTTTCTAGCTCTGGTTATCTCTGAGCAAAATTATACAATTTGGCATATTTTAAAATAGAAATAAAGTTTATGCTATAATTTTAATTTTTTTTAATTTAACTATATCAGTTCTTCCAACCAGTGTCAACCCAAAATTTAATGGTTTCGGGATAATTTTTGTCTCTGCTATGAAATATGCATTTAATCCAAATGACTCTCTCCCACTCCCTGGTTTCTGTTCTCACCTGAAATGCTGACGGAGGTGGGAAGTCCAGCAGCGGGGTACGGGAAGTGGTAACATTGTGAAGACGTAGGTTCTCCATGGGAAAGACTGTTGTCCGGAAGTTTCCACACAACAGGTCCCCACTGAGATTCCAAGGCTGACAGCACGGCGGGAGTCCCTGGGACCCCTGGGCCCGGCACAGCGCCACCGCAGCAGGCAGGCACCGGGTGGCCAGAAGTCGATCATTCTCTTAAATGGCCTGTACATATCTTTGACTCTGATCCCACTGATTTTTAAAATTACGGGCATGCACCACCACGCCCTGCTAATTTTTGTATTTTTAGTAGAGATAGGGTTTCACCATGTTGACCAGGTTGGTCTCGAACTCCTGACCTCAAATGATGCACCGGCATCAGCCTCCCAAAGTGCTGGGATTAGTTGTGAGCCATCACACCCGGCTCAGCCTGGATTTTTAATTACAAAATTAAACTGTCTTGTTGGAAGAATTTGGACTATTTTCACCATTTTAATAAAATTACTGATGATGGAATTACAGTTGACCCTTGAACGACTCGAGTCTGAACTGCACAAGTCCATTTACACGGAGATTTTCTTCCATGTCTGCCACCCCTGAGACAGTGAGACCAACCCTCTCTCCTCCCCAGCCTACTCAACTTGAAGACGACGAGGTTGGAGACCTTTAGGATCAGCCACTTCCACTTAATGAACAGTAGATGAGTTTTTTCTTCCTCATGAGTTTCTTAATAACATTTTTTTCTCTAGCTTACTTTATTGTAAGAATCCAGTATATAACACAGAGCGTACAAAACATGGGTTTTGTACAAACCCATGAGTGTACAAAACGTTGGCTCTTCATGTTCTCAGCAAGGCTTCTGGTCCAGGGCTATTTGTAGCTCATCGTGGAGGGGGTTAAACGTTACACTTGAACTTTCAGCTGCGTGGGGGTCGGTGCTCCCAACCCCTATGTTGTTCAATGGTCGATTGTACTTAATTGAACATATTCCTATTTGTATCTTCTCAAAGTTTACTAAAATCCCATTCCCAAGCATTTCAGTAGCCAGATATCCCCACCACCCTTACGGAAGCTCCACGACCCAGAGGAAATGTCTGGGGAGAAGGAATTGCACGTCCCCCCACCCCCTGCGGCAGACCCCAGAAGGCCTCTGTCCCTCTTGGGCTAATCCTCAGCCGAAGATGTACCCCTGACAAAGTGCATAGGATGTCTTCATGGGTCGGCGTTTTTATTTTTAAGAAGCAAGTCACCCATTTTAAAGCTGGAAGCAAAGTGTTTGGTGAGTGTGATGGATGCACCCCCAGATGGCTCATGGTGACCTTGGAGGAGGCTGGGGTCAGAGGGTGCAGTGGCTTCCGAGGGTGCAGTGGCTTCTGAGCCCCGGACCTGAGATGCCCCCTTCCAGGTCTCCTTCCCAACGCCACTCCTGCAATGGCCAAGGATACACCAAGAGGCGCCTGCAGGGAGGTGACATGCCTCTCGGAAAACGCTCCTGCCTATCCAGCTCCTCTCCAGCGCCTCTTATATGTCTGCAACCTCAGTGTTGGACGTCAGACCCAGAGAGCAGGGCATGACCAGCGCTGCCAATCAGCCTGAGTACTGGAGGGAAGGCCGCCAGGCAACCAGACCGCGGCAGGATCAGATGGAGGAGCTGGCCACGTGGCAAGCGTCCGAGGCCAGGCACGGTGTCGGGTGGCCCTGGCCACGCCAGACCTTCCAGTGGCCACATCTTCCTACAGGTGATCCGTGTCAGTGAAGGAGAGGCCCAGAGAGCAGAGGCTGAAACAGTATCTCCTGGGCCCTCCTCGCAGCTCCCCGGCAGCCAGCAGCTCTTGGGCCAGCTTTCACAGCCAACTTCTCAGAGTGACGGAGACCGCGACTGCCTCCAGCACGAGGCAGATCTGTCTGCCCACCCAGGCCAGCACTCCAGCAGAGGGGCCCAGACAGACGACTCGGTGCTCAGAGGTTTGTTCATGGCACCCCAGGTGCTGAGAAACGCCGAATCAATTCATTTATTAAGACAGCTCCAAAGAGCTCAGGAAGTATTTATTTATGTCTTAACAACTTAGTGGCCACATTAAAAAAAAAAAAAAAAAGCTACATAACTGTAAAGAAAAATAGTTGTGTCATCTGTGTGTGCCTTAGCCACAATCACTGGATCCTGGGCTGTGTGCCACTGTTAACACCTGGCAGAGTTCTCGAGCCTCGGGTCTCAGGGTGCCCTCACTGCCTGTTCTCCACTGGTTCTTACTCAGCACCTGATCCTTATCACAGCAACCACGGAAAACCCAGCCTCACAAAATCTGGCGTCCACGTCGGGAGTGTGGTTCCATCCACTGCGAAAGCCCCACACATCTCCCCGGCCTTTCATGCGGAGTCCAGCAGGCGCCCACCCGGCATCTCAGATTTCCCTGGAAATGGAAACTGCAGGTGGTGCCTCAGCACATTCCGAGGCGTTCCCGTGGCTGGATGTTTCTCACGCGGTGAGGTGAAGAACGAGTCACCTGTTTAGCTCCTTTCTCACCAAAATCACGGATGCCAGCCAGCGCAGCTGCACCCTGACTGCGACAGGCCCAGGTGCCCTCAGTGCCGGGCAGGGGGTCCCACTCGGACCCCGGCTTCCGTCAGAAGTGCTCCGGACCTGCAGGGAAAGGGCTGGTGCCGTCGGGGAAGCTCAGGCATGCTCAGCTCCAGTCCCCTCTTTTCATTCAGACGCGGCTTCGCCCAGTGCCAGGTGCTCGGGGGAAGCTGAAGATCCACGTTCTCCACAAACGTGGGCTGGACTCTCAGGCGGGGTTTTCTCCGACGGCAGACCTGTGCTGCCAGGCTCGGGACGAAGTGTCTCACTTTCCCGCTGTCCTCTGGGTGAGGCGGAGCCGCTCCTGAAGGATCCGATCCAGTTCAAAGCGCAGGCCGTGGAACAGGACGGCAGCTCCTCCGGCTTCGGCGCCGCTGCTCTCCGCTGGACTCCACGTGGCTGTTTTAATCCCATAACAGCATTTTAATGTCATGGTTGGGAAAAGCTGCGCTTGGAATCACACTCTCTGCAGATCTGTGAAGTGCCCACACCGGGCCAGGCACTGCGAGCGTAGGGGTGACCGTGCCGCGGGAGGCGAGGACCGGCGACTCCGTCCGTCAGCGAGTCCTGTGGGTACACGGAGGGTTCGGGAGGCCTATCCGAGGTATTGCGGATGGAGGGGGTGCCTCCGCTCATCACAGAGGTGTCCGGGGATGGAGGGGAGCCCTCTGGTCATCACAGAGGTGTCCGGGGTGGAGGGGAGGCCTCCGCTCATCACAGAGGTGTTCGGGGATGGAGGGGAGCCCTCTGCTCATCACAGAGGTGTCCGGGGATGGAGGGGAGCCCTCTGCTCATCACAGAGGTGTCCGGGGTGGAGGGGAGGCCTCCGCTCATCACAGAGGTGACCGGGGATGGAGGGGAGCCCTCTGCTCATCACAGAGGTGTCCGGGGTGGAGGGGGTGCCTCCGCTCATCACAGAGGTGTCCGGGGATGGAGGGGAGGCCTCCGCTCATCACAGAGGTGTCCGGGGGTGGAGGGGAGGCCTCCGCTCATCACAGAGGTGTCCGGGGATGGAGGGGAGCCCTCTGCTCATCACAGAGGTGTCCAGGGATGGAGGGGAGGCCTCCGCTCATCACAGAGGTGTCCGGGGTGGAGGGGAGGCCTCCGCTCATCACAGAGGTGACCGGGGATGGAGGGGAGCCCTCTGCTCATCACAGAGGTGTCCGGGGTGGAGGGGGTGCCTCCGCTCATCACAGAGGTGTCCGGGGATGGAGGGGAGGCCTCCGCTCATCACAGAGGTGTCCGGGGGTGGAGGGGAGGCCTCCGCTCATCACAGAGGTGTCCGGGGATGGAGGGGAGCCCTCTGCTCATCACAGAGGTGTCCGGGGGTGGAGGGGAGGCCTCCGCTCATCACAGAGGTGTCCGGGGATGGAGGGGAGCCCTCTGCTCATCACAGAGGTGTCCGGGGGTGGAGGGGAGGCCTCCGCTCATCACAGATGTGTCCGGGGATGGAGGGGAGCCCTCTGCTCATCACAGAGGTGTCCGGGGTGGAGGGGGTGCCTCCGCTCATCACAGCGGTGTCCGGGGATGGAGGGGAGCCCTCTGCTCATCACAGAGGTGTCCGGGGTGGAGGGGGTGCCTCCGCTCATCACAGAGGTGTCCGGGGATGGAGGGGAGCCCTCTGGTCATCACAGAGGTGTCCGGGGTGGAGGGGAGGCCTCCGCTCATCACAGAGGTGTCCGGGGTGGAGGGGGTGCCTCCGCTCATCACAGAGGTGTCCGGGGATGGAGGGGAGCCCTCTGCTCATCACAGAGGTGTCCGGGGTGGAGGGGAGGGTGCAGGCGAGGCCTCCGCTCATCACAGAGGAACATGTGCGTTCTGCCACCAGAGAGGAGGAGGCTGGGGAGCCCCGGGTGTCCAGGCACGAGGGAGCAGTGCGATGTTGGGCCCCACAGGCCTTCAGGACAGTTCTGGTTTTATTTCTAAGGCAATGGCGAGGCATCTTGAACGCTGGCTGTGGGTACTTTCTAAGCGGTGAACTTTCATGGTGCAGCCTGGGACAAAGAGACCGGAGGGTGGGCTGGCTGGAGACCCAGGTGCAGGTCCTGAGGGGTGGCAAGGACAGCTGACTGAGGAAGTGGAACCGCAGGGCTCTGTGGCCTGCTGGACGTAGGCAAGGTAGAGGGAGAAGCCCAGGCGGCCCCATGCCTGGGAGGAGGCGGTGGCCTTTCTGAGAGACAGGTTGTCTCAGGGTCGGGCAGTGCTTCTAGGGATGCCATCCCCCCTGCGCCCTACGCCAGCCTCCTCTCTGCACTCCCCATGCAGAGAATGAGTGAAGGGTCAGACAGCTTCAGAAACGGCCTGGTTCCTTCTGACTTCCTGCAAGCCTCCCATAAAGAACTGTGAGGCCACCACGAGCACTTATAGCCCCTTCAATTGTGGGTAAAGAGGAAGTCCCAGGAACAGGGATTGGGCAGCCACAGCTACCCAGAAGTGAAGGCAGCCGGCAGGGCAGGGCACGTGGGGGCTATGGGACCCCCTTCCCACAGGCCAGCAGGGATCCACGAGGGACTGCTAGGGCCCCAAAATGCGGGACAGGCCATGGGGGAGACTTCGGAAATCTCCTCATTGCCCTCTTCAAAGCTGGGAGCCGGAAACTTCTCGCTGTGACGAAAACACACATGGGCACATTCGTACCCATACACTCCACACTCACACATGGGTGCATGCACATCCACACGCATAGGCACACACAGGCACACACCCACACATGTAAATATGCACATATACACATTCACACACTACACACATGCATATGGGTGCACACATGTCCACACGCATGCTTACACACATACACACACACGCACTCACAGTCTCAGCAGCTGCTGCCTGGGCTGTGGGCAAATCACCTATCCCAACTCTATTTTACCCAGTTCCTGTTTTTCTCTTTCTGCCCTAAGACCCTGGAGGCACATGTCCCTGGTTCTAGCAATCTGACATTGTTTTCACTTGTTTTTAATGACTCTTCATGTGATAGAGAAGGTTCCCACATAACTGTATTCCACCTCCAATTACAAGGCTTCTGAGAAAGATGTATATCCTGAGAGCACGACTTCATCATTGATGCAGGAACTTATCACACCCATATTTACTCTATGAAAAGTCTTCAATGACTTTGAAGAGTCACCAATGGATCTGCCAAGAGTCAGGTCACTCACACGCAGTCTACACAATCTAAGCGCCTTCTGCGTGGAGCAGACAAATTAACAAAACATCATGAAACCCTCTTATGAAGTGAGTACCCAGCCAATGTACACTTTTTTTAAACGTTCACCTTTGTTAACGACTTAAAAATACAAATTAAAGCAACAGTGAAATGTCGTTTTCTCCTTCCTAATTAGCAAAGATTGTTAAAAGCAACAATAATAGGTGTTGACTAGGATTTGGTATTACAGACACTTTTGTACCTCCTCATATAAATACAAAGATACTCAACCTTTCTGGGTAGCAATTTGAAACTATGTGTCTATGGCCTTACAAATGCTTATATCCTTTGAGTCTAAAATTCCACTTTCAGAATTCTGTCTTAAGAAAACAATCAGACATGCAGATAAAGATTTATGTACAAGATCTGCACAATTATAAGAATATAAAAGCATTGGAAATATCCTACATTTCAGAAAAGCAAATGTTTAAATTAGTTAAGCTACATTTCTATAACAGAACCAGTGATGTGCTGATAAATGGTTATTAATTGTCCCTTTGGGAAAAAAAAATTTTTGAGACAGGGTCTCAATCTGTCTCCCAGGCTGAGGCACAGCGGTGCGGTCATGGCTCACGGCAGCCTCAACCTCCTGGGCTCAATCAATCCTCTCACCTCAGCCTCCCGAGTAGCTGGGACTACAGTGTGCACTACCACTCCGGGCTAATTTTTTTTATTTTTAGTAGAGACAAGATCTCTCACTATGTTGTCCAGGCTTGTCTGGAACTCCTGGGCTCAGGCAATCCACCCACCTCAGCCTCCCAAAGTGCTAGGATTACAGGCGTGAGCCATGACACCCGGCTCAAGAAAAACGAAAAAGTTTTTAAAGCCCAGATTTGTAGTGATTGCCGAGGTCTGTGGTGCCAGTTAGGACCATGGAATCGGTGGACACAGAGTTTTGAAGATATGCACATTTTCTCTTCCCCAAGCTGCTAAAAGCCAACTCCCACTCACCACTGAAGGAATATTATGTAACCATGAAAAATTGTGCTGGTGAAGGAAATTTAATAACATGCAAAAATGTTCACAGTATAATATTATATGGAAAAACAAGACACAATGCCACATTCCTTGTGTTTCAAATTTTGCTGCATAAATCATAAGTTTTACACTTGACAGAATACCATAGTCTTAGGTATGGACGTGCAGGTAGGTATAGATATCTGTAAGAAAATAGCGCAAAACTTTAACAGTGGTTGTCTCAGGATTATCTAACAGTGGGATATTCTCCTTTATCATTTTTATGTCTAATTTCCAACTTTTCTAAAATGAACTTGAATTATTTTAAATTCAGAACATAATGTTATTTTAGAAAAGAAAATGACTGAGGTGCTAGATATTGTTGTGTGGCAGTGTTCCCAGAAGCTCTTCAGATAAGGTTCTTGGAGATGGAAGAGCCGCCTACTTTGACCTTAACCTCCACAGCTCCATCCTTCACACCGGCAACCATCCATCACATGGCCGATTACTGTTCCCTCAAGCAACTCCCAAATGCTTTCACAATGGGAGTTTCCAATGAAATTGTTGGTATCACAAAAGGCATGTAATGTTTTGGAAAGAACGAAGAAGCAAAGATTTCAGAAATCGGAGAATGGAGCTGTTACACTCTTTGAGGAAGTTTCTCACTTGCTCAACATACCTTGGCCCAGCAGTGAGGAGTTGGGGAGGAGTGGGTGCCGCAGCACCCTGAAGCTCTGCGTACACCCAACTGTGCACTGTTCAAAGTGTCTTCAGAGAGAAATTCTGTTGTCTCTCCTGGAGAAACTAAAAATGAGCCAGAGAAACCCCGAACTGTGCCCTTATTCAGGAAAATGTGATTAGAAAATATTCTACCCCTTGGAAAGTCTATGAGGCCATGTATGATTTCTTAAAATAATTCCCACCATTGAGGACTGAGCCCATATTTTGTGCAGAAGTAAATATGTGTATTTTAACATTAAAGAAAAAACTTTCAAAGGGGAAATTTGAGTTTCATTCTTTAGAAAATGGAGAAGAAGAGTAACTATCCCACCTATGAGGCAAAGACATACAAAATCACAGCGTGGGGGCTCCCACCCCCGCTAGCATTTGATGGTATTTTGACCACAGAGAGATAAAACTTACATCACTGCTACTTCCTGGCCCCCAGTTCCATTAAACATTTATGGCTTCCTACACCCGTGTAACTGGAAGACAAAGAGATGGGCTGGGATTTTAGTAAACAGACAGCTCACAGTCATAACACTCATATTCATGTCATTTTCCTGGTTGCCTTCATGGCCTGTAAAAACGAAATCTCTCCCTTTAGATCTGTTTCTTCCTTAGTTATGTACCCGTGCGTGTTCATGCATGTGTACACATGGATGTAAATATACATACCAATCTCCCGCACACGCCACACGTGCAGGAGAGGGAAGGAAGGCGGCTGCGTTGTCACCAGTCACCAACCCTCCTGTCCCGCTCCTGGGTGTTCCGGTGCGACCCTCAGCCTCTGCACCTGAGGTCACCTGTGCCAACTCTCACCCTCTGCACCCAAGGGCACCTGTGCCAACCCTCAGCCTCTGCACCCGAGGACACCTGTGCCAACCCTCAGCCTCTGCACCCGAGGACACCTGCGCCGACCCTCAGCCTCTGCACCCGAGGGCACCTGCGCCGACCCTCAGCCTCTGCACCCGAGGGCACCTGTGCCGACCCTCAGCCTCTGCACCCGAGGGCACCTGTGCCGACCCTCAGCCTCTGCACCCGAGGGCACCTGTGCCGACCCTCAGCCTCTGCACCCGAGGGCACCTGTGCCGACCCTCAGCCTCTGCACCGAGGGCATCTGTGCCGACCCTCAGCCTCTGCACCCGAGGGCACCTGTGCCGACCCTCAGCCTCTGCACCCGAGGGCACCTGTGCCGACCCTCAGCCTCTGCACCCGAGGGCACCTGTGCCGACCCTCAGCCTCTGCACCGAGGGCATCTATGCCGACCCTCAGCCTCTGCACCCGAGGGCACCTGTGCCGACCCTCAGCCTCTGCACCGAGGGCATCTATGCCGACCCTCAGCCTCTGCACCCGAGGACACCTGCGCCGACCCTCAGCCTCTGCACCCGAGGGCACCTGTGCCGACCCTCAGCCTCTGCACCCGAGGGCACCTGTGCCGACCCTCAGCCTCTGCACCCGAGGGCACCTGTGCCGACCCTCAGCCTCTGCACCCGAGAGCACCTGTGCCTCCTTCCTTTAACTAAATGTGTTTATTAACCAAACGATAAGGCTTTTCCCCCAATAACTGAAACTCTGCCATACCCAGAACCAGGCTCACACTCTCCCAGCCCCTCCTGCCCGTCCCCTGCTGTCTCCCAACTCCCACCTTCCGGATGGAGCCCATCCTGCCATGCCTGGTGCTGCCCTCAGCTCCTCAAATTCCCTTGCCCAACGTCCAGCCCAGCTCCAGGACCTGGCTGAGCTCCTGGGCCATGCACCTCACAGCCTCCTAATAGGTTGCCTCGAGTCCACTCTGCCTCCTGCACATGGCGTTTCTGTGAGCTCCCCAAAGCACAGATCCCATCTTGACACTCGGCTGTGACCTTGCAGTGGCTTCCCAGAGCCCCGGAGGTGACATCCACAGCCATTACTGTAGCCTGTGAGGCCGCACAACCTGGCCCACCCTTTCCTCCATGGCCACCCCACTCCCATCCACCTCCTGGCTCTGCAGGCCCCCCCGACCCCCGCCCCCCACAAAGCTGAGACACGCCTCACACAATGGCCTCCATCCCCGGAGTCGACTGCTGTGTCCCCTGCAGAGGCCCTCACGTGTTGGCTTCAGATCCAGCCACTCAGCTAAGCCTCCCCGGCCTCCTCTCAGAGAAGCCGAGGACCCCATTCCCACTCCCAGTGCCCCTGCACCTCCTCCTGCTCTCTGGCCGGCTGCCACCGTTGCAATTGCTTGTTGGTTGTGCCCAGCAAGCCTGGTCAGTGTGGTCGCGCTCACTCCTGCACCTGGGTCACCGCCTGAACAGCCAGCTTCATTGGCCACGTGTGGACAGGACGGGGCAGGAAGGGAGGGCAGGACAGCTGGAGACACTGGCTGGGGGAGGCTTGGGACATGGTTAACATTGGGGTGAATGTTCTCTTAGGTTATTTTCGTTGGAGTGATTCATTATTGTTATACTTAGTTATTCCCAAGTGTTCTAGAACTTCTGGTCAAAGTTGCCTCTAGGAAAAAAGGAGGTGTGGAGCATTCAAACAAGAATGTCACTGTGGGAGAGGAGCGTCCAGCCCACAGCCCAGCCCCAGTAGCACAAATTGTGCACGCTACTCATGGAGATTGCCCGAATCTTATCTTTTAAAGTGGCTGATGTGATCCTTTTATTTTAGAAAATAAAAGGCTCAAAGGTATTACAGTTGCCTCCTCATGCTGCAGTCCCTACAGAAAACGAAATATAGCAGTAGAACATAAATTTGATTTTTTGGATTTCTAATAGGGAGAAATTCAAGGCTCTACAGGAAAAAAAACATGCAGGTCATATAGCAGGGCTACAGAGGAATCATTCCCCAACAAAGACAATATTTAATTTGCAGTTTGGTGATAAAATGCAAACCATAACGCACAGTGAGTGCCGAGAAGAGATGCAGAACATCATTCCATTTGCCCAAAGTAAAATTAATAGCAAAATGAAATACATAAAGTCTTTGAAGTCATCCTGAAAAATATGTTTTGTTTTTGAAGTTATAATTTTCCTCTTAGGAAATCAAATAGTTCATAAAAACTCTCACTATTAGAGAGAAAACTTCAACTCTCTATTCTCCAGAACAGATTTTATATCTTTTCCTCACAGATGCAACATACTAAAATAGAATCATGTTACTGTGGATGCCGCAGAAATACTTGCAGTGCGAAGAAAGGTGCCTCAGACACCACCTCTCGGCCCCGCGACTCCTCCCGGGAAAATGGCTCTGTGCCATTTTATCAACTTACAGCTTTGGGTTCTCCACCAATTACAGTTTCTATTTTTCTTCAAAAGTTTTTATGATAAATTTAAAATAGGCCAGAAGGCTTAGAACACCTATATATCACATCTATATTTAGCATTTGTTGTTGATAATTTGATAATGAAGTCCAAATATTTTGCTGTCTGCCAGGAAACCACCAGGAAAACAGCTATTTCCATCATTAAATCCAATGCAAACAAGTTCTGTTGGCAGAAGTTGGCTCAAGTTTCTCATGAAAACAGAAATATAAAATATTTTATTTGGTGGTTTTGAACAAATCCAGTATTTAATGTATTCCTTAGAACTTCGTAATCTGTTTTTCTCATAAAGTAAAAACAAAACACATTTTTTCACAAAACTTTTTACAGATGTCCCATTCCCCGGTTCCCCTCGTTCACTCCAGAGACCACACGACACCACGCTCTGCCTAGACCGGGAGTGGGCAGCACCTGAAGTGGCCATGGCTCATCCTGGTGATCAGAGGAGGCTGCTCTCAGCCTGCCCCAGGCCTCCTCACTGCTCAGTGGCAGGGCAGTGACCCCCCGTCCTCCCCTGCAAGGCGAGCCCTCGGGAACCAGGCTCCCAATCTCTCCCGCTGCACCCAGCACCCACAGAGCTTGGCAGTCAGAAGAACTCCGAGGGTGCGGAGCCAGCAAGACCAAGGATGACGCCTGACGTTCATCACGCAATGACCTAGAACTCTTCCCAAGGGGCTCGGCACTCACAAGCCCATCTTGGCCCCACCCTGCTTGCTCCCAGCCCTGCTCCCTCCTGAGGTCATTCCACAGTGAGGGCTGTGGAGGGAGGTGGACAGGAGAAACTTGAGAAAATGCCACATTAAAGATGAGGACAGGAAAGAATTTAACAAGAGAGCCAGGAGACACCGCAATGCAGGAACCCAGGGCGTTGGGAGCTCCAGGGTCCACGTCCGTGCCTTTATTGCGACAAATGTGAGATCCCCATCCCCGCCACTGAAAGGAGGTAGCAGGCAAGAGCGGGGGACGCTGCCTCTCATCACAAACCTCAGTGGCAACTGGCTGAACACCAGGTTCTTTTCAGTTGTGGTCCCATGTGGCTGCTTCTGGTCATTGGGTGTGGCTCTGGCCTCTGCTCCCATTCATGGGTGGCTCTGACCTACCGCAGGGCCCCAGACTGCTCTTGATTCAACCAATGAGGCCACAGGAGAGGGTGGAGGAGACACACCTGCACCTGCAGGTCTCACCTCAGCCACAGGTGACAGGCATCCCTGTGCCACAAGTCCGCCGGGAGCACCAGAAAGGTGGACACACAGATGGGGAGCGGGAGGAGGGGCAGGGAGATGTGGGCCACAGGGGCACAGCGCTGGGGGACAGTCAGTTGTCTCTGCCATTATCTTTCTGCTCACCCAATAACTGAGTATACCCCTGTTCCCAGGCACAGATCACATCCATCCCCAAATCCCGCCAGCTGTGGGGAGGGCCACTCCCTCAGCCTCAGATTTGAGCAGGGCTGACTCATTTGGTTCAATAGAGAAGGCTTTGCAATTCAAAATATGTTTCAATCTTATCTCTTTCTTTTTAGGATGCAGGCGCAACCATTTCATCCAATTCTGTAAGGCTCTTGATTTCTAAACTTGTCATGTCTCCTATTTCTGCTTGAAATCCACCAGCCATGGCCGAGTTCATGCTTCCTGTAGCACCTGCCAGCAGTGGCCCGGGCAGCTGTCACGCACTGGGCCTCGGCTCCGTCAGAACCTCGGCAGGCGTGGAGGTCGCCGTCCAAGTCCTTGCAGCTGTGGTTTCCCCAAAGGCACTGCCAGCACTGACTGTGCCTCTCCAGCCTCCAGCACATTGTCAATTCCTTGCTGCCCACCCGCAGACTGCACACACCACTGTGACTGAGGTTCCTCTTACACCTGCACCCTCTTCCAAAAACAACAGCAAATAAGTCCTCAAGTTTCATTGGCTTCACCAGTGAAGAGCTTGTTTCTCATTCACCTAGCAACCCATCATGGCTATTCCTATCAGCATCGGTGCTGTACACACGGCCACGCTAGGGCAGAGGCTCCTCACATCCTGGGCTTACCCCCTCCTGGCTCTGGCATTCTCTGCATTCAGACACAGACAGGGGAATAGCCAACAGCTTCTTCACTGCTTTGGCCCAGAAGTGACACATGTAACTCCACTCCCATTCCACAAGTGAGGATGAGCCATCTGGTTCCACTGAGGCACAAAGGGCTGACCAAGATGCCTCCCTATCTGGGCAGCAGATTCATACCATGGAGGAAGAAACCAAATTTTTGAAGCCATCTCTGCAATGAGCGTGGAAAAGACTCAGAAGAGTTTGGGCACGCTCTCCACAGCCTCTCCATGCACAAGAATCGCCCCAGGGAGCCAAATAAGAATGCGGCTCCCAGGCTCATGGAGCAGTGGCTCATGCCTGTAATCCCATCACTTTTGGAGGCCAAGGCGGGCGGATCACGAGGTCAGGAGTTCAAGACCAGCCTGACCAACATGGTGAAACCCCATCTCTACTAAAAATACAAAAATTAGCTGGGCGTGGTGGTGCATGCCTGCAATCCCAGGTACTCAGGAGGCTGACAGAGGAGAATCACTTGAACCCAGGAGGTGGAGGTTGCAGTGAGCCGAGATCACGCCACTCCACTCCCACCTGGGCGACAAAGCGAGACTCTGTCTCAATAAATAAATAAATAAAATTTTTAAAAAAAAATTTTTTTAAAAAGAATGTGGCTCCCAGCTCCTCCACCCTGCAGTTGGGTCTCCACAGATCCAGGCACGGGGCCCCAGGAGCCTGCATTTGTAACCAGCATCCTGGAAGATCCTGCCAAGGGCGCCTTGAGAAACAAAGCAGCAGGAACCTGAAGGAGACTGGGAGACGGGCTGGTGAATGCCACTGCTTAGCAGGCGGGGGCTCACCCAGCTGGCGGTGCCCCATCCTCAGCAGGCCCAGCACAGCCTCCAGTCGCCCCGCTCTGCATCGTGGGACCCCGGGGAACAGAATCTCTCACAGCCACTCAATTTGCAAGCCTGATGCCTGCAGGATAAGATTCTCACCAGTAAAATCAAAACAGCACACACAGTAAACTGAGAAATCAGACATCCTGCTCAAATTTTGGTCAACATTTTTTAAACAAATACATCTTCATAAAAACAGCTGCTGCTCAGTTTAGAACATTTGAATTCTGAAGTACATCAAAACTTTTCACAAGCACTTAATGAACACCTACCAAGTAGGCAACCCGGTGCTAAACCCAAAAGGGCTGGAAAGAGAAGCGGAGACAGCTTCTGCCTCTGGAAAGCCATTCAGCAGGCAAGGTGGATTCAGCAGGCAAGGTGGTGTGAGAGCAGCGGGTGGCGTGAGACTGGCGGGTGGTGTGAGATTGGCGGGTGGCTTGAGGATGGCGAGTGGTGTGAGGACAGCGGGTGGCATGTGGATGGTGCGTGGCCTGTGGACGGCGGGTGGCATGAGGACGGCAAGTGGCGTGAAGATGGTGGGTGGCCTGTGGATGGTGCATGGCCTGTGGACGGTGGGTGGCATGAGGACGGCGGGTGGTGGGTGGCGTGTGGCGTGTGGACGGTGCATGGCGTGTGGACAGCAGGTGGTGTGTAGACAGCGGGTGACATGTGAGAGGCACCACAAGCCTCCCTGCCCACACAGGAAGGGCATGCTGGCTCCTCCAGTGATGATCAGTACCCAGGAGTGCCTCGGAGGCTTCACACAACACATACCGAGCACGTACGGAGCAGTGCCTGGTTTCAACACAGGAATGGGGAGGAGCAGATTGTCATTTGTTCGTTGTTTCTGAACAGCATAGTGCTATAATAAGGAGGACATGGCCCCTAAAACTAAAATAGAAACAAGGAATTGCTTCTGGCCCGTCAGCAACCACACCTTCCCGGCTCTGGGTGGCTCACAGCATGTACCTGTGTCTCGGTGGGCTTCTCTGTGATTAGCGACACTAACACCATTCTCAGAGGCAGATGGGGCAGTGAGAGTCCCGGCTCCCTAAGGTGACTGCAGATGTAAGGAAGCATCCATGCCCATCTCCAGCGGGGGCTTCCTTCCCATCCTCTTTCCAGCCGTGGAGCTGTCCGTGGTCTTGGCCTTCTCTGGGCACATCCTCTGGAGTACTGACTTAAGGCTTCACCTAAACTTTTCTGTGCATAAAACGTGATTATTTATTCCCCTAATACAAGGAATGGAGTGCTGAAAACCATTAGTGAGGGCTTCCGTGCAGGCCAGATCGCAGCAGAGATGACTGCCGGTGCCTGAGGAGCTGGTCTCCTAGAAAGTTGATTTGCTATTCATCATCGAAGCAGGAGGAAAATAGGATAGGAAGTTTTAATTATCCTGACAGCCAGGTTTTCAAAGGCGTAGACACTTGAGGCTCTCTGACGAGAGCATCAGATGAGCTGAAATCACCAAGGAGAGCAAGCACACGTGTGCAGGGCAGACATTTCTCATTCCCAAAGTGTATCGTTTCAGCCTGCTTACACTACATGCAGGATATGAGCGAGTGGAGACTGGCCCTTCACAGGGCATTTTGGGATATTCAGAAAGCCGGATCTTCTCTCCAGCTGTCATAGGCCAGACTCCCCAGGACTCAGACCCTGAGATGGGAGAGCCAAAAGCATATAGGCCGTGCTCCTGCCAGCAGGTGGGGCAGGGTGGGCCACAGAGCAGAGGCCCCGACCCAGGAGGCCCCTGAACCTAAGGATCCTTCAGCATCTCCCCACGAGGCAAGTGGGCCAGGCATGAGTAACCTGCATGAGTCAGCATCTGGCAGCTGGTCCCAGATGGGGCCACCCCAGGGAGAGAGCATGGCATTGGAGGACGCAGCCCAGAGTCCTCAGGAGCCACACCCGTGTAGCAGGGGTGCCTGCAGGGGTCTGTGCCTGGGATGCATCTGATACAGAGCATGACTCTGACAGCCGTCAGCCCCCAAGTGCTTTCCCCGCTGTTAAAACGGCCTTCTCATGGCAGCCACCAAAATATCCCACTACGGCCCTGGGGTCTGGTCACCAAGGACTTCCCCTAGCTGCCCCTGGACCTAGACCTCAAGTCCTACTGGCCTTGCAGCAGTGAATTCTGATTGGTTATATTTCTCTGCAAATTGTTTTTGGTCAAATTAATGGAGAATGAAAGTACAAAACTTTATCTTCTTCTTTTAATGTGATATTTTATGCACAGAATTATGTTATAATAAAAAATTCTTTGTGCTCTATAAAACAACTGATTTAAAGCTTAGAAAGAACTATCTTGGTTTCCTGGCTAACACCAGCTGCAGTAAAACATTTACATGCATAAGACAGACATCCGAATCATCCCGTTCTGCAAAAACCTCCTTTAATATCCATGCACCATTTTTCAGAAAGACGGAAGCATGAAGACATATAGTGCCTGGAAAGATGTTTTTTCCATCGTTTTTGAATTAGTAGCTTCCGCTAATAAATTGTTTGCTTTCTCTGAACTTTTTTCATTGTCTATATTTAAACATGTGAATTTATACTGACCCTGTGTTATTATTTCAAAGAATTTTGATTAGTACCTGGTGCTGAATCACAAGATACTGTCTTAAGTGGTCAACAGTCTTAAAATGGCGCATTGAGGTGGACACATACATGGGCAAAATGTCATGAATTCAAAGAGAAAATAAAATGATACCAGACCTATGAAGATGTCCTAAATAAATCCCAATATAAAGGTTTAATTCCAGTGGACATTTTCAGCCAAGCTTTATACATGGAACCACGTGAATTCATGGTAAGATCAGTCTAAATGTTCCAAATTCCAACATGGAAATAAATAAAGTAAAATAATGGGTGGAAGGGACAGAGCTTCCTTATGGAGAATTTCCAAGTGGAATTTGGAAATTCTTCCTTATTGGAATTTCCAATTAAATGTAAAAGAAATGAGGGAACTAGATAACCACACTAGAACTGTTGTGGGCAGTCTACCCAGAGATACTAAAATCAGTGAGCAAAAGTTTAAATATAATAGAATATTTAAATACTTTCAAAGTATCTCTGCTTCCTGGAGTTATTTACTAAGTACAGAGGGAGAGACAGTAACTTTGTAACCCTGGGAGACCTCGCCAAGCAATCATGGGCAACATCGCCAGGATAAGGCACCTCTACGTCACACACCTCTGGATATGATGTGTTGAAAATCATTCATCGTTGCTTTTATGATGTTCTTGCCCAAAATGCATCACTTTAATCAGGAGAAAACATCAAGCAAACACAAATTGAGGAACATTTTGCAAAGTGACTGGCCAGTACCTTTCCAAAAGGTGAAGGTCATGAACAACAAAGAAAAACTGAGGAACTGTCACGCCATGGAGACGGTGGTGTGAGGAGTGGATGCAATGGGAGGCACTGGGTTGGATCCTGAAACAGAAAAAGGACCTTGTTGGGAAAACTGGTGAAATCAGAGTAAAGCTTGCCACTTAGTCAACAGCATTATGCAAATACTAATTTCTTAATTCTACAGTCCTCCCATGGCCATGCAGGATGCTGACACCAGACAGGTAGGGGAAGGGCACATGGGAACTGTCTGTACAATTTTTGCAACTTTTGCGTAAATCTAATACTATTTCAAAAAAATTTTTTAAACTGTCCAAAAACCTCCCGCTGTAGTCATGCTGATTTTCCTAGTCTGTCCAACGTAACCGCAGGAATCACCATCACAGGACTTTATCTTGGAAGAGAAACAGGTTAACACCTGATTTGGGGTGGGGGGAAAGAGAGAGAGAGAGCCTGCAGAGAAGAGCCCCCAGTAGTCTCTGATCAAATTCCCACCAAAACTTCAGCTGAAGCTTCGGGCTTCTGGTCTTTCCTCAAACAGCAGACTTTCTCCTGATGCCACCATCAAAAAAACCCTGCCCATCTCGACGGCAGGGTGCTAGCTGTATAGATCAGTGAATAAGTCAGTAAGATTAAAAGGTGATGGAAATGCGAAGGTCAGGGAGACTTGGGGGCACGGCTGTACCACGGGGGCTTCCTCATGTCCCCACGTTTTCCATGTGGAACGTCACTCCCATCCCACTCACTTCATATCCAGCAAGTATTGAACAAGAAGTCCTGTCATTTAAAAAGAAAGGGAGAAAAGTTGGTCACAGCCAGAGAAGCGTGTCGTCACTCAAATGCAGGAGCATCTGGCGGGCTGAGGATATCTTTTATACCATTAAGAAGGACCAAGACATAGTCCTTTCTAAAACTGGGCTAGAGGCAAAAGAAAAAAAAATGCCTGGAGTTGAGGCAGAAACTCATAAGCCCATAAAGGGAGGCGGACACGAAGGCGGGACGGAAGCACGTCATCGGCGGACAGAAGGCGTGACGGAAGTACGTCATCACCGAGGCTCTCACTGTGCTCACGGCCTCATGAGCCCATAAAGGGAAGCGGACACGAAGGCGGGACGGAAGCGCGTCATCGGCGGACAGAAGGCGTGACGGAAGCGCGTCATCACCGAGGCTCTCACAGCGCTCACGGCCTCATGAGCCCATAAAGGGAAGCGGACACGAAGGCGGGACGGAAGCGCATCATCGGCGGACAGAAGGCGTGACGGAAGCACGTCATCACCGAGGCTCTCACAGCGCTCACGGCCTCATGAGCCCATAAAGGGAGGCGGACACTAAGGCGGGACGGAAGCGCGTCATCACCGAGGCTCTCACAGCTCCCAGGACCTTATGAGCCCATAAAGGGAAGCGGACACGAAGGCGGGACGAAAGCGCGTCATCGCCGAGGCTCTCACAGCTCCCAGGACGTCCGCAAGCATGTTTCCAACAAGCCCTGCCCACGTGTGGTTTCCCGTGTGACTGACCACGGACCGAGGAGAGCTGGGCCCGCCCTGGGCACGAGGGACCACGGGGCATCCTTTCGGCTGGTGCTGCCAACAGGCCTCCTTCCAGGGCAGAGCCACTCTCTGTGTTAAATGTTTGCCCAGAAGCCGGCCACGTTTCCAAAACCGGGCACAGTGACTCTGAGATCAACACTCAAAAATATCATTTCCAAAAGAATTCAAATTCCCCCAGAAGGGAAGCTACAGAAATCATAACTGCTGTGTGGCCGTGCAGCCCAGAGCATGTGACAGCCGGTGATGAGTGTCAGAGCCGCATTGCCACCCGGCACAGGCAGGAGGAGATGAAACATTTATGGTGTGAATTAAAACAAAAGGAAAAAAACAATTTTTTTTTTTTTGAGATGGGATCTGGATCTGTTGCTCAGATCCAGTGGAGCGCAGTGGCTGGAGTGCAGTGGTGAGATCTCGGCTCACTAGAGCTTCCGCCTCCTGGGCTCAAGCCATCCTCGTGCTTCAGCCTCCGAAAGTAGCTGGGACCCCAGGGGTGCATCACCGTGACCAGAAAATTTTTACATTTTTGGTAGAGACGCGTTTCACCATGTTGCCCAAGGTGATCTCAAACTCCTGAGCTCAAGCCATCTTCCCACCTCAGCCTCCCAAAGTGCTGCAGTTAAGGTGTGAGCCACAGTGACCGGCCGAGAAATGATACTTTAAGTAAAATGCCTATGAGTCCATCACTAAAGGGAAAATCATTTCCATGGAGGCCTGTGTCATAGTTTATCCAGGATTTTAAAGAGATGCTGCTACTCTGCAGGTGTCTAATGTCATAGGATGGCAAAAGAGAGAAGCCTGAAATATTTATATGAATAGAATATGAAACTTAACTAATGGTGCCCGCTTCGATTACGTGCATTTTCACATTGCTACTAACCTGAAAGCCGCCCTCAATATTTTATAGGCTACCATTTCCCGCCTGGGCTACACGAGGCCTCTGGGTTCTTTTACGAACATTGTCTGTCATTTATTATGTGATAGATGCATAATTGTAAATTACACGGAAAGCCAAAATAAAAACATGTTTACGTTTTACACTGGAATTTTATTCCTGTAGTGTATTAATTATGTGAAGATAAGATGTCTGTTGAAATTTTTCAGGAAATATTTTTCTCCTCTCCAAAAGATTTTCATAATTATCAATGAGCAAAGCATAAAACCGTGGCTCTGCCAATTCTGTGACCCCACACTGTGTCACTACAGATTTTTTTTTTTTTGGTCATTACCCTTGACATCGCTTCAAGACTCAGTGGTGGCCCCCGTCCTCTTCAAAAGCAGAGCGGGAACCTCCTGAAGGAGAGCCTGTCAAGTCGGCGACTCCCAAGCCGGCCTCTCTGCTGCGGGAGGCAGGAGGACCCTGCGTTTTCCACGCACGCACACAGCTCCAATTAGCTTTAATGAGAGTTCCACATGCGCATCCGAAACACAGACCCCATCATGCTTAAGTTAATGTGGGGTAAATTATATTAAGGGAAATATCAGTGTTTCTTAAAATGAAGTAAACAAGCTGTGAGACTCATTAGCTGTGGAAGTTATTATGAACGCAGCAAACGTCCGTGGCCTCCAGGCCCCACAGGTTGCATGTATTGAGCACCCACTGAGCAGCGGGTCCCTGGCTCACCTGGCGCTGTGTTATTGCCCACAGCCTGCAGTGGGAGGAAGGCGATGCAGGAGGACGGCGGGTCGGTGCCTGGCTCTGAGCCCCGTGGGGGCCTGACCCGCTCTGAGGCTGCACTCTGCTCCTACCCCACACCACCTCCCCACCAGGCGTTGGTCAGGACTCTTGAGGGGCTGCTAGAGGTGAAATGCTGTCCTTACCACCCTAGTATAAAGCGACCTCAGCTCAAACCCAAACCGGAGTTACCTCCTTCCCACCAAAGGCAGCGCTCCGCCAAGGGGGCCTCTCAGCTCCTAGCACCCAGTCCGTCCCTGGTGCAAATCAGGGCCCTAGGATCCATCCATTTCACCAGCACCACACTGCTGGTTCCAGCTTCCATGAGCCTCATTACCCTGCGATATGGCAGGGGCCTCTAGACTGACCCCTTACGCACAGCCACCCCTTCAATCCATACTTCAGCCAGAGGCACCCTCAAACCTGTGTCTCAGCTCATCCTAGCAGCATAAGTCTCAGCACCTCCCACTACACATGCAAGCACACGCACACACTTGCTCACAAATCTCAGCAACTTCACACACACATACACGCTCACAAATGTCAGTGATGTCCCACCACACACACAACGCACACACACTCGCTCACAAATCAGTGACATCCCCACCACACGCACACACATACGACTCACAAATCTCAGTGACTTCCCACTGCACACGCGCGCGCGCACACACACACTCGCTCACAAATCTCAGTGATGTCCCACCACACACAATGCGCACACACACGCACACATACGCACTCGCTAACAAATCTCAGCAACTTCCCAAGTTCCTGCATGACTGCTTTCTGCACAGCCAAGCCCCTACCTGCCCTAGGGGACAACCGTCCTTCTCCCCATGTCCATCCACAACTCAGGAAGCCACGCCCCAGCCTCCGTTGCATTTAGCGGGGCCAGCTGGCCGGCTCCAGCATGCAGGCCTCAAGAAAGTGGTGCGGCCACTTCTAGGAAAAAGCACTGGCTCTAGGTGTGAGTCCCGCCGTCCCATTCAGGCAGATGTGGACTCCCAAGGTCGGAAACTCCACCCGGGCACAGAGTCGCCCACAAAGGACAGCTGCCTCGGATCGTTGCAGACTCACAGTGGACTTTGGAAAGGAAAGAAAGAGACCTTGGAGGTGTCCACCTGCTGATATTCAAACTCGTCCATCCCAACTAAGCCGCTGTCTCTCCAAATCCCGGATGTCCGTCTCCACTTTGTGACTAAGACTCTGGGACCTGCCGCCACCTCCCCTAACTCCCATCTCCTCTCCCCGCCTGTGCCTCTCTCACTCTCCTCCTCTAATTAGTCCCCATTCATCAGGATTTCAGCTCGATGATGTCTTCCCTAACCAGCCAAGGGGTAGCAGCCCCACGGCCGGCACCTGGCCCCCGTCGCTCCCTCCCTGCACTCACCTTGCTGACCAGCCTCCCTCACTCCCTCCCTGCACTCATCCTACTGACCAGCCTCCCTCACTCCCTCCCTGCACTCACCTTGCTGACCAGCCTCCCTCACTCCCTCCCTGCACTCACCTTGCTGACCAGCCTCCCTCACTCCCTCCCTGCACTCATCCTACTGACCAGCCTCCCTCACTCCCTCCCTGCACTCACCTTGCTGACCAGCCTCCCTCACTCCCTCCCTGCACTCATCCTACTGACCAGCCTCCCTCACTCCCTCCCTGCACTCATCCTTGCTGACTGGTCGGCCACTGTGTCTCTTCAACACCAGACCTGGTCCCACCTGCTGCGTTCCCTCTTCCCGCCTCAGGACTCTTGGGTTCCTTGTGTGTCCTCAGTAACACACTTACTGCAGTCTGAATTGGTGCCGAATTTCAGTGCTCCTACCAAATACACTTTTCACAGAATTAATAACCAAATAGCCACATCTTCAAATCAGGCTACAAAATTCTGTTTTATTTATCAGTTTTAACACAAATGCGAATCACTGTCATCTAATTTTCAGAACATTTTTATTTTGCTTTTTATAGGTCAGTTTCCTTTAAATAGCACAGGTTGTGGGATTCGAACTGGAAGATACCTCATTGAACTTGGAAATATGTCTCAGTGCCAGGTCTGCTTGGTCTCACCCAGCACCTGAATGGATGACATTAATAGAATCTCCTGGCATGGGAAAGGGGTGGTCTCCTGGAGGCTGTGGTGGCAGCTGGGAGGCCTGGAGCCAGCTGCTTCATCCCCACTGCTCTGTGACTGCCCCGGCCCCCAGGCTGCAGGAAGAACGGATCCCAGAGTTACAGAACGCCAGGCCCGGGGGTGGCTAGGACTTGGCTGGGGCCAGCTTCACTCACCAGATGCAGGGCATACATTCCCCAGGACACTTGCTGAGGCTGCCTGGCCCAACAGGTACAGAACCAAGACACGATCATCACATCACGTGGACAACCCGGTCACCCACCCTGTCAGGACACAACCAGGCCAACAAGAGCCATCTGGGTGCTTCTCTCTGGCCACTGAGGTCTCACAGATGCTATCAGATATTAACTTACCTGACCCAAAACAACCAACAAATTTAAAGTTGTTTCCAGGGACAAAAATGGGGAGTTGGTATCACAATGGAGGGTAGGGCAGGAACGAGGTACAGTGAGAGGCAGCAGGAGAAGTGGCAATTCCTCAGATTAGTCAGGGTGGAGTAGGCTGTGCTGCAGTAACACGAGCACCCTACATCTCAGCAGCTTCACCCAGAGCATGGAAATTTCTCACTCAGCTCCATCTGGCACCCAGGATCCCATGTTTATCACCATCTGGGAGGAGAGGCAGGGTCTCCAGCTCCTGCCTGCCCGTTCCCTGAAAGGGCAATGACTGCCTTTTCTCCACCTTCATTGCCAAGGGAGGCTGGGAGGTGTGGGGCACTCCTGGAGCATTTGGTGGGCATGGCCCACCTCCGACCACAGCTTTCTGTGCAAAGCCTGGATATCCTGCCCTTTCTGTTCAGTTGAAGAGAACCTGTGAGATCAAATGGCAGGAAGCATCACTTCCAACAAACTCATTCCTGTCCCTCCAATTGCAGATGTTTGTGTATTTGAGTGATCTCATCCACACGCAAATGTCGTTTCTTCCAGATTCTTTCCGCTATCCCAAGACACCAAAAAGTGAAGCTAAAGTGACAACCCCCAAACTTCAGACAAGGCTTTCTCCGTTTGTGGAACCTCAAACAATCAAAATGCCTTCAGGCAAACCCAGGAAGCGATGGGGAGTGCCAGCTCGGTTGCCTAAAAAGCCCATCCCATCACCGTCCACAGCTTTACGTGGTTCTGCGACATGGGACAGTGTTTACAGGAGAAAGGGATGGGGGAGGGGAAACGGAGGCTGGAGGGGCACAGTTGATGGGCAGAGTAAAGACACAGCCCTCGCACCTCTTCCATGGAAGGACAGTCACACTCCTTTTCATGAGATATGACCACATTGCCCCAGGGAGACTCAGCAATAGTTAAAGGGGCAGATAAACAACTTTTTTTTTTTTATTCTACTTTAAGTTCTGGGATAAATGTGCAGAACATGCAGGTTTGTTACATAGCTACAGATGTGCCATGGTGGTTTGCTGCACCTATCAACCCGTCATCTAGGTTTTAAGCCCCACATGCATTAGGTATTTGTCCTAATGCTCTCCCTCCCCTAGCCCCCTGCGCCCCCAACAGGCCCCAGTGTGTGATGCTCCCCTTCCTGTGTCCATGTGTTCTCATTGTTCAACTCCCACTTATGAGTGAGAACATGGGATGTTTGATGGCGAGGCTGTGGAGAAATGGGAATGCTTTCACACTGTTGGTGGGAATGTAAATTAGTTCAACCATTGTGGAAGACAGTGTGGTGATTCCTCAGGGATCTAGAAGCAGAAATACCCTTTGACCTAGCAATCCCATTACTGGATATATACCCAAAGGATTATAAATCATTCTACTATAAAGACACATGCACATGTATGTTTATTGCAGCACTGTTTACAATAGCAAAGACTTGGAACCAACCCAAATGCCCATCAATGATAGATTAGATAAAGAAAATGTGGCACATAGACACCATGGAATACTATGCAGCCATAAAAAAGAATGAGTTCATGTTCTTTGCAGGGACATGGATGAACAACCTTTTAGAGCGTGCCAAAAATCTATCCACCCTCTCCAGCTGTTAGCAGCCAAAAAAAAATTCACCGGCTTTTCCCTTCTGCCTGACGACCTCATGGTCCTCTGCAGGGCAGGCCTCTGCCACCTGGAGAAGTGCGACTCTTCTGTGAACCACACATAGGCCCTGGGTGGAGGCCAGCCATCTGGCTTCTTCTCCTCCAACTCGGGTTCTCTATGGATGACCCCTTGAGATCCCTCAGAGGGCCCGTCTGTGAGAAAGGCACCCACATGCAGAGACTTGAGCCAGCTCACCAGCCGGGCACACAGAGATCATCTGTGCCTCTGTGGTGTTTGTTTCTTACTCGCCTACTAAGAATACCAACCCCAAAAGGGGCCTCCATGGGAGAGTGCAGAAGGGGCTCCCAGGGCGGGGTGCATGGCGGGTTTTAGGTTGTCTATCTCTCCAGCAGTCACCTCCCTGGAAAGCACGTCTTGGGAATCATTAATTCATTCATCAGAGTCTTTGCCAGCTTCTCCTTAACAAGCTGAGTGTCACGGCAATGACACACATCACCCCTGCTCGCTGCACATGGACCGTCGGCCGATGGGCCTGGCAGCTCCAAGGGCTGTGAGGAAAATTAACCAGGGAGCAATGGCCAGGCGCAGAGCGGAAGCCACAGGCACAACGACCTCCTTGTCCTCTGGGTTGATATCCTCGGATTCAATAGCCCTAGATTGAAAGCCCAGATACGAAGGACCCACCACGTCACAGCATTTTATATCAGGGACTTGAGCATCCGAGGCTTTGGGTATCCGAGGGAGGTCTTGGGGCCAATCCCGGGTGAATACAGAGGCCACCTGTATAACCTCAGGGCTTCAGGGCAGGAGGCCCCACCCCACAGAAGTCTTTCTCCTTCCAGCCTCTCCCTCCACCAAAGGGTCCACACTCACCTTTCCTCCCAGGATACTCGTGCCAGAAACCCCATGCAGACCCCAGTGAAGCTGCTCCGAGGAAGTGCCCAGGATGGATCCACCTGGCATGAAACTCAAAATAAGCCCAAGACCAAGATGAGAATTGGGAAGGTTGAAGAAAGCAGCCCAGGGGGACGCAGCTTGTGGGTGGAAGGAGATGGAGAGCCAGGCACTCTGGGGCCATGGGGCATCCAGACATGCTCTGCCTACACGTCCCACCGAGCTGGGGAGTGTCATGAGCTTGGCGGGACCAGGTGGGATCTGGGGAGGGGCCACAGGGCCCGCTGTTCCCGGTGTGGCCATCTGCTCCATGACACGGAGAGGACACTGACCTGAAGCTGCGTCGCCAGAAGGCCCTTCAGGTGTGTCCAGCTGAGCCGCAGCCACTGCCTCTGTTGGGGCAGCCCTCCTGCCAGCTCTGCTGAGCAAACTGCAGTCATGGTCTCACAGACCCACCCCATGAGCTGAAGCCTCGGCAGGGGCCATCCCAACAGTGCCCTGGGTTTCTACAAATTGCAGTACAGGCCCCCGGGGCCAGGCCTCCTGACTCTCCCCAGGCCCAGCACTCACTTGGTGGCTCTTTGGACCCTTTCGAGACAGCACGGGCAGGGGTCTCCTCCTCCACGCTGGCCCCAGGACTCCGCCTGTGCTGTCCTCATGCCAATGGCAGCCAGGGGCAGAGGGAGGCTGCAGGGGGCTGGCCGCCGGCCTGACGAGGCTACCGCACCCTCTGTTTTCATGGCCAGCCACCAAAACCAAACCGTGTGGACAGCCAGGAGTGCCCAGCATGGGAGCCCCCTGAGAGCCGGCCCTTGGTGGGAATTTGTGACTAAATATGGGCTATGGGCCGGGCGTGGTGGCTCACACGTGTAATCCTGCACTCTGGGAGGCTGAGGTGGGCGGATAACCTGAGGTCAGGAGTTCGAGACCAGCCAGGCCAACACAGTGAAACTCCGTCTCTACTAAAAATACAAAAATTAGCTAGGTGTGGTGGCAGTCACCTGTAATCCCAGCTGCTCGGGAGGCTGAGGTGGGAGAATCACTTGACCTAGGGAGGCGGAGGTTGCAGTGATCCAAGATCATGCCACTGCACTCCAGCCTGGGTGACAGAGCAAGACTCTGTCTCAAAACAAAACAAAGAATAAAATAAATATGGGGCTAGGGTCTACAGTGTGATGACAATGTCCAAGGCGCTCTTCGTCCAGCGGCAGCCTCAGGAACGTTTGCTGAGGCCTTCATGGGCCAACACATTTACACACACATTCAAGGAGGCATCAGATGCTGTGCACATCAGCAGAGGAGACAGAGCGCTGAGGATAAAACACACGTGTCTCCTACACTGAGAGAGGGGAGTGAGGTGGCCACAGCCAGGGATGGCAGACAGAACACAACCATGACAAAGACAGGAAACCCTCCCAACAGCGAGAGCCATCGGGGTGATGGGTTTTCTTGAATGCTATTGATTATATTCCCAAAAGGCCATAAATTACAGAGGGAATTGTTCTTAAGGTCCTTGCTGAGCCTGACCTGTCCTGATGACTTTCCTGCCACTGTCAGGTTCAGGGGACTCTTGTTCTTTGGCTGATATTAACAAGCATTCTCCTTCCTTGCAGTCACCTCACCGTCCTGAGTACGATGAAGTGGAGTCAGACGGTGTGGGGATAAAGCCAGATAAAGCCTGTGGCTGCCACTCGAGGAGAGAGGAGAGTGGATGTGCTCTTTCAGGGGACAGAGCAGGCCTCTTTCCTCGGGGATGGGGTCTCCCCATGGGGATCTGTGAGGTCCACCCTCTGCACAAGAGAAGTTGAGCGTGTGATGGACTCAGGAGCCTCTTCCACTGTCGTTTCACAGCAAATGCAGGTCCAGAAGGCCTCAGATGCCCCAGAAGCCCAGGTTTTTAAAGCAGCCCATGTTAAAAGCCACCCTCCCTGAATAAGGCCACTTTCAGGCAGGTCAGCAGCTGAAGAACAAATGCCAAGGAGGAAGTGGCGCTCAGCCACCCGGATCCCTTGGGCTATTTAAAACTAACAAATCGAGGTTGGGAGGAAGTGTGTAATAGAAGTGTTGCCTCACTACAAAAGTGCCACTTTCCACACGTGCACAGACCCTCAGGCATGTGGACAACGTCCCGGCGTGCCCCACAGGCGAATGGGGGAGTTGGTTCACTTTCTTTTAAGAGGCTTATTATGTTTCTCTCTGTGATCACCTGAAGTTGGATAAATGATACAGTGCAATTTATTATTTATACAGTATCCTTCATACAGAGCATCACAAAACGTTTTGCAGCAAGAACAAGACAGAGAAGCAGTAAACTCTGCCAAGAAGGCAAGACCTTTCCAGCCAACAGGGATGAGGGCAACAGGACAGCCGGAAGAGACAAAGCTTGGCCCTGCCAACCACATTTCCAACTGGACACACCCGGTTCAAACTGGCCCAAAGGACACCCCTGCTGGAGTCCCAGGGACACACACACAGATGCACAAGCCCTTCAGCCGCCTCTGGGACTCCACCAAGAATTGCTGTCCTGCAGTGAATCCCATTAAACCAATGTGGGGTCGCACAAACACAGAAGCATCACTTCAGAGTACAACAGCACCAGTCAACGCTGTGGGTCTTTCATTTTGTTGTTGTTGTGTTGCTTATTCTTAGAGGCAGATCAGATTAATTTTACTGCAGTTGAAAATCATGCAAATATAGTTTAGAAGGAGGCATTTAATTCTTTATGGCTCTTGCACACAACACAAATAGCACCTCCAGTACTAACACTGCTAAGTGTTTTTAGTGTTATTCCACTATACAGTACATCACGATGTTAATTTTCCACATTCCTTTATTCCTTCTCCAGACCATATTTTACAACAGAGAAAACAAACTGCTTGTAATTACACTGCATGCCAGGACAAATTAAGTAAACACGCATTTTTAATGCTTCAGGCTGTTAGGGTGAAAACAAAGGACTTCAGTTAAGGTCAATATTAGAGTTATGCAATTGCTCGGGGATGCAAAAGACAAACCCTTGATGGAATGTGGGTAAAATGGAAATGGCTCCACTCAATGCTGCGGAGCTGGATTCTCAAAAATAATGCACTGCCAATGAGGCCAGGACATTTTTCCTATTGCATATTCATTATCTTGGAGAGTAATGCTAATGCCAATAATAAAAAACGATAACAAATCAACAGAAAAATCCACTGTGTCACTAACAGGGATGTGAGTCGCTGTCCTGTGCATCTGCTTCAGACTCACATCCAAACAGTAACGGGAGCTCAGTAGAACCCACAGATATTCATAGTTATGTACTTTTCTGTCTTATTCCTTAGCTATAAAATAGTTGACAACCACACCAGACATCAAACCTTGAGGAAATGCAGAATCGAGAAGGAGCCAGGCAGGCTCAGTTTTTTAACTGAGTCAATGCAACGGAAAACAACGTTGGTAAATGTCTGGGAGACCCGCTTAGATCAGAAATAAGTATTTCTCCCTGAATGGGTCACATGGCAACCCCAATGCAGAGGCTGGAAGTGGCTTTGCAAAGATGGGGAAAGAAGAGAACTGCAATGTTCAGAAGCAAAATCCTCAATGTTGCCAACTCTCAGAATGTGAGATGCCTTTTATACCATGTGAGCTTACTTCCCACTGGCCTTTGCCAAGATATGCACTTAGTGTTTCCCTTACATACAGAAATAATATCTGACCTCACCTACCTTTCAGGAACTTCCTACATATAATCAGATATGGTCAGTTCTCATTATCTGCGGATTCTTTATTTGCAAATGTGCCCACTCTCTAAAATTTATCTGTAACCCCAAAATCAATACTTGTGGCCCTTTTGCAGTCAGTGGAGGACATGCACAGAGCAGCAGAAAATGAGTCACCAATGCTCTCGCTCCCAGCTGAGGCCATGCAGGGTGACACACAGCCTTCTCTCAGCTGTCAGACTCCAAACAAGTGTCCTTTCCCCATCTGTTTAGTGCTGTTGCAGACTTCACTGTTTAAAACATCCCCAAGTGCGGTGCTGGAGCACTGCCTGGTGTAGAGAAAACACGCATGTAGAGAAGCTTCGTTCAGCACAAGCTACAGTGCTGCTGGCCCTGAGTTCAATGCTAATGAATCAACAGTAGATACTAAATAAAGCATCTTCAAACAAAAACACACACTAAACAAAATTATATATTGACTGGCTGATGAAACTGTTGTGACTGGAGGCTCTCAGGAACCTGAACTTGTATTTCCCCTAGGAGCAATGGCTCCAGATTCACTATTTCAGTGTTGGCTACAACTTCATAGAGCAGAATTACCCCCATAACAATTGTTGGTAGTGCGCATTTTACATAGATGCATAAAGACATGTGTTTGTGTTATGCAAACGTGTGGCCTTCGTTACATGGAAGGCCTGTGGCTCAGAGCATGGATGAATTCCTCTGTAGAGATAAGGAAGGAAAGCATGGGTTGAGCTGGGGGCTGAATGGCCGGCCCTGAGCCTCCACCAGGGCCCCTTCCTAACAAGTCACTAAAAAAAGAACAGGAAAAATGCCCTGCAAAGCTTTTAGAACAGTCCTAACTGTCCTCATAAGGATCCTTACACACACACACACACACACACAGCACCTGCAGCTCACTCTAATTCCTTAGACCACTTAGAGATTTCACATACGTGCAAAAGAATATTTGTCCTTTGCCTCAATTTTATTATAGTCCTTAAATTCACTAAAACACCCAAGGTAAGTGTTTCCTTCACTAAAACACCCGAGGTAGGTGTTTCTCAGTGAACTTCCCGGCGCCAGGGTTTTCAGGTGTCTGTGATCCCATAATTGGCAATTAAGTTTGCTTTTGGTAACCAGTACCCGGCCGTGCTGCTTCAGTCCCCAGCAGTTGCACAGATGGATGGATAGATGGATGGATGGCCTCTTCTTAATTTGACCAACCACTTGATTCTTTGGCTTCTCACAGCAAAAATTAAGGTGTCTTCTCTTCAGTAATGAGGACAAAGCTGGGCTTAACAATGATGAAACAGCATTCATGCTGTGCTTATTCTTTAACCATTTAAATGAGATTATTCCTCTTGCTTGAACAAGGACCTGCATTTTAATCCCATCTTCCACAGAGAGCCATCTGATAGCTATTTGGTGCAATGAAGATTTGAACTAAAAAATAAAAATAAATTCTCCATTGTCTATCACTCAAATCTGCAAACTCCAATGGAAAGGCTATTTGGAGAATAGAGTCTTTGGAATTATCCACCCAAAAGGGCTCACTACCAACAGGATTTGTAGTGGTTAGTCTTACTTTGCTTCAGGTTTCCTCAGCTGTTCCCAGTATGAGAATGTGGGCATGAAGAAGTGGTCATTACGGAGAGACAAACTCCCCGAGAGTAACTACGGCAGACAGCAATCCTGATGGCCATCACTGTCACATCAGCAGAAACTCGCTTTTAAGGATCTCACACCACTTCACAAACAGGAGCTGAGACAGCCCACAGAGGACCCCACTCAGAGGACCCCACACTGCACCTAAGATCCTGAGCCTTACCCAATCTCCCAGGACTCGGAATATCACACAAATCACAACGATGCATAGCATACCCCCTTCTTGTGATGGCAGTGGGGCTATTTATAAGGTACCTCAATATTCATCAGCTTGTCAGTGTGACTTCCTGTAAAGCTCTTACTTCTGAGATGAAATTATTTTCTCAATAACTAACAACACAAAGGTAGATAATATGCAGCTAAATCAACCCAACCCAGTAGCGCACATGCACACACCACACACATGCACACACCACACACATGCACGCACACACATGCACACACCACATGCATGCACACAAACATGCACACACCACACGTATGCACTCACCACACACATGCACACACACATGCACACACCACACGTATGCACACACCACACGCATGCACACACACATGCACACACCACACGCATGCACACACATGCACACATACGTGCACATTCACACCACATGCATGCACACACACATGCACACACCACATGCATGCACACACATGCACACACCACACGCAAACACACATGCACACACCACACGCATGCACGCACACACACATGCACGCACACACGCACACACCACATGCATGCACGCACACACACCACACGCATGCACACACACATGCACACACCACACACATGCACACACATGCACACACCACACGCATGCACACACACATGCACACATACGTGCACATTCACACACACCACATGCATGCACACACACAGGTGCACACATATGTGCACATTCACACATACACAGGCCCAGACACTACATGCACACACACACATGTGCATGCATATTCACACACTTATTGGCCAGAGTTGAGTCAGATGCTTTCAAAAATTGTCCTGGCCAGATGTGGTGGCTCCTACCTGCAATCCCAGCACTTTGGGAGGCCAAGGCGGGAGGATCATTTGAGCCCAAGAGTTCAAGACCAGCCTGGGCAACATAGCAAGACTCCGCCTCTACAAAAAATACAAAAATTAGCCAGGCCTGGTGGTGCAGGCCTGTAGTCTCAACTGCTTGGGAGGCTGAGGTGGGAGGATGGCTTGTGCCCAGGAGGTCATGGCTGCAGTGAGCTGTGACTGTGCCACTGCACTCCAGCCTGGATGACAGAGCAAGACCCTATCTCAAGAAAAAGAAAAAATTGTCCTGAGAAATGGGACTTCTAGTAAGAAACGTTTTATGTATAATCTTAACTTTAAAGGGCACATGAGTGGATCAAGACGGCGCCACCTCAAAATTGCCTGTACCGCTTTTTCCATCACTTTTTGTCACTGCCTAGAACTGCTTCTGAAACAACGCCCTGTACCTGGACAGCACCTTGGAGTCCAGAACACAGCAGCGCGTGTTACGGGAAGCCTGAGAAAATGCAGCCATCCAGGAGCAGAATCGCCGAGCCCCCGGCGGCTTGGTGACCGTGATCCAGTCCCGGGCAGCGTCCTGACATAGTCGTACTTCACTAACGGTTTGAGCCACCAGGTACTGTGACACACGCCATCTCTCGGGGAAAGGGAAAGAGCCCACAGTAGTTATCTGGGAGCTTAAGCCAGCTTTAAGCTTTACTTATGAAGTGTTATCCTGACAGGTACACAAATTCTTCAACCTGAGAATTGTTCCAGAATTTCATTCATAAAAACAGTGGTCCCCAACCTTTTTGGCACCAGGGACCAGTTTCATGGAGACTGGGTTTCCATGGATGGGGAGCAGTGCGGGTGGTTTCAGGATGATTCAAGCTCATTACATTTATTGTGTACTTTCTATTATTATTATTACACTGTAACATATAATTAAAATAATTCTACAACTCACCATAACATAGAATCAGTGAGGGCCCTGAGCTTGTTTTCCTGCACCTAGACGGTCCCATCTAGGGGTGATGGGAGACAGTGACAGGTCATCAGGCATTAGATTCTCATGAGGAGTGCACAGCCTGGATCCCTCACATGCGCAGTTCACGACAGAGTTCGCGCTCCTATGAGATTCTAATGCCACCGCTGATCTGACAGGAGGTGGAGCTCAGGTGGTAATGTGAGTGACAGGTGGCGGCTATAAATATAGAGGAAGCTTTGCTCACTCACCCGCCGCTCATCTCCTGCTGGGCCACTGGGTTCCTAGCAGGCCATGGACCAGTATGCATCCATGGCCCAGGGGGTGGGGGACCCCGGAATAAAAGAATTTGCCAAAGATTTGCATTCAAGGAAACATACCAAAGCCCGCTATGATCCTAGACCCTTACAGCTGGATGCAACTCTTGGGGACCACCTGCCCAGCCACCTCAGAGGAAGAGGACAAGGCTGGAGCCACGCCAGCAGGTGCACCTGAGCCCTGCACCCCTTACCACTGTGGGGCTCTTCGGGGAGGATAAGGTCGGAGTTCCTGGGCACAGAGCGGCAGTTGGCTCAGAAGCCATTCATGCAGCAGGGTGGGATTCTAGGCTGAAGGCAGTGCAGCTCCTCTAATCAAAGCCCACTATCAGCAGAAAGAGAAGGTTCACAGACACAGCAACCTGTGAACCATGCACCACCCCCATGCAAATAAGCAGAAAGCTATCCGACTGTCGAAAGGAAAATTATAAACAAGGTCATTTTAAAGTAGTGTTTAGTCATGTGTTTCAGTGAGCTGCTCAGAATATTGGGCCACTTTCAGGAGGAAGAGAGGAATCTCCCTGCACAGAGGCCCCACACGCCAAGGGAGCCGGGTCCTGCGTGTAGAGCAGGGCGGGCTGTGGGCTCCTGGTGCCTGTGGGCACAGCCCGCTCCCTCCCGGCCCCCCTTCTCCCACCTCCTCCCTGCAGGCACAGTGTCTGCACAGCTGCTGAGACCCACGCTCTTGCTTTCGGTCCTGAAACCCACCAGCATGTGCCACTCAGGACCAGGCAGAACATCTCCCTGTCTGGACACCCCCACACCCCAGGAAAGGGTCACTCCATCCTTTCGCTCCACCAAACCAAGTATCTTTATTGTCACACGTGCCCACTTTACCAACACTTTCCACTTCTCCCTCTCTTTTAGACCATCAGCCCCTTGAGAACAGGGACTGGATCCCACTTGTTCCTGTGTTTCCAAGGGCAGGGCTGTGCCTGACACATAGTGGGCACTCAGCAAATGTTTATGGAAGGCATTAGGGCACGGATTAACCAGGTAATTTGGTTGATCTGTGGGGGCACACGACCAGCTGGCTGGAAAACAAGGAGCCCTGTTTATGACCCAGGTTAGTCATTAATTCAACAGTATGACATTTCTACATGGATAGTTAAAGGACTGCTCTAGATACTTAAAGGATTAACGTCAGAATAAGATTTAAAAAGAAAAGAAGTGAAAAAGAAAGGAAGGAAGGATAGAAAGAAGGAAGAAAGGGAGGGAGGGAGACAGGTTACATTATTCGAAACCTTAAAATCTAACAGCAATAAGTAATTACCTTATGAACTATGTGGATCCTGAACTTAAGATATTTACCGTATACCTCCTTCTGAAATATGCCTCAGATATGAGAAGGGGAAAGAAAACGCTGCTGCATGGAAAGCCTACGTAAGAAAACGATAAACCAGGAATAACCATGCGCACTGCAAAGGGATTCTATTCCCCAAAACAGTATTTATCTCTAAGTTCTTTTAAAAGTATGTCTAAGCTTCCTGAGTAAATAGGGAATTCAAAGCACCTCTTGTTTAAATGTGATTTTTGCACGCAGCTCCCCGGGAGCAGGTCCAGTGCCCTGGGCACCACACAAGCTCTGGGGCCCTGACCCGACCTGCCGGGCCTGCGACCCCTCTGCTGCAGAGGAGTGGGAGAGGAAGCCCCAGGGGATGGAGAAGGCCTGGCTGGCTGTGGCTCTGCGCCCGCCTCCCTTTCCTCCCGACCCCTGGGCCAGCGTGGCCATGGCTCTGCGCCCGCCTTCCTTCCATCCGGCGCTGACTCCTTCTGGAACCATGCCGGTCGCTGCCCTGTTCTCTCGCACACACGCAGATCTCTTTGCGATTCCACTTGCCTGGTGGTGTTTCTTTACTCAAAGGCCTGGCTCCTATTGCCTGCAAGGGAGATAAATACCAACTCTGAGGGCGCAGTTTGAAAATCGGCCTCATTTCATCTGCCATTGGGAAGCTAATGATGTTTCAAAGGTGTGTCGTGGCTCGAGTTTTAGCAACCAGATACAGTTGCAGAAAACAATCCTCCGGACTCAACTCAACAACTTCCTGAAGACGTGGCTTTTCTCTGATTTGTGCAGCCTGCTGTTGGCTTCTGTCATACACCGCGTTTCAGTAACGTAAATTACTGGATTCCACATGCCAGTCAGATATTTTAACAGGATGGATCAGCCTCTCCTTGCGAGGAAAAAGTGCTAAATTTGGAAATCCAGAGCTGTTTGGTCTTCAGATGATATCCATGACATAGAATAAAGTACTTAAAGCCTCGTACTTTACAGCATTGCTAATTTTCAGAATGGAAAAATTCTGTTTTAAAAAAAAAAAATCCAAGATTCACAGAGGCCTTGTGGAAGCTGAGAGCTCACCACCCACTGATCCCACATTTGATCAGCTGGTTGTTGTCCCCACGCTCACCCCCACCCCTGTCAATTACTGCACTGGTGCAGTAAGGAGCCTCCCTTCCATAGGAGCAGCGGTTCACTCAAATCACTTTCGACGAAGTCACAGGTTCACAGAGGTTGTCCATTGGAAGAGGAGTCCCGTCTAGGGCTCACCATGGCCATCACTGCCCAGGACCTCTAGGAGACAAAGAATTGCATTTTTAAAAATCTAGTTAACATATCAAAGAGCAGTGAATGTGCAAATTGCTGTCATAAGGATTCCTTTATTGCTTTCCTTTCCCCAGGCCCCCCACCCTCCCATCCGCTCCAACAAAGTGACTCATTGGAAAGAAGAGCCGCTTTTACGTTCTTTAGATGTTTACCTTCAGTAAAAGACACTTCAAAGGGCGCTCACGGGACTCTCCCCTTGCCCGGCAAACACTTAAGCCCCATTGCTGCGAATGATGGTGCCTCTCTCCAGATCATTCACGTAAGCAGCAGCCGGATTCTTTGGAGGCAGCTGTTTTCCTAATGGGCTCGCAGCTCACGGGTGGCCTGGCTGGGCACGGCTTGAGAATGAGACGAGGCTTCGGTGAGCACTCGGGGCCACCTTGTTACTCCTTCCCCCGCATCCTGAGGCTTGGCCCGTCGGAGGGTTTGTTAGTGTTTTCCGCCTAAGCATGCCACAATCTTGACTTCATCTTTCTGCAGAGCATGATTCCCATAAAGATTACTCTGTCCTTCTTTTAATATCAAGTTGCCCAAATGGGTTTGATGAACATCCTTGATTAGGAATAGAATGTAAATACATTTAAATGTTACCTCCCAAACAGCAGGAACTGGAGGGCCCGGAGCCACTCGCTCCCAGGAGAACAGTCACGGCCACTCCCTCCTCCCGCCCTAGCCAGCAGCAAAGATTTGAATGTCCAGCCTTTCTGTGCTTCCGGCTGCTAGAGAGGGCTTAGAAATGAACGCCGCGCAGGGAAATTGTATGTGGGCATCCGTGGCATCACAATAATAACAATCACACCACTGCCCGTGACCCACAGACACCGGGTGCCCTCTAGGACGTTTGCTTAATGTTCAACATCGGGATATATTTGCCCTCTTTTTTATAGATAAGGAAACCCGAGCTCAGAGGATCACTTGGCAGACTGGTATTTTACCCTATTTCAGAACTGGAAAATATGTGCTCTTTTTCACTCAAAATTCTTGCCTTTCTCAATATAGAGAATTTAAAAGAGCCACTACCTCCCGTCAGGCTATAGCCTGGAAATGTTATTTTTCAACGCTAAATCTGGTAAGTCTTGCAGGCAAGGTTTATTTCTTACTTGTGTTTTCTCTAAAAAGGACAGAGATCACCCACATTGCTTGGAAACAGAGTTGCACATTGCCGCAGTGTATGTAAAAAAAAAAAAGAATTTTGAATGGAGTCTATCACTGTAAACGTTCTATTAGTTTCCTGGACTGACAGTTAACACACAGTGCAGCTCTGGCAGTGGGATATTGCGGGGAAAGATGGTTTTCTGCTTTGTGACAGCTGCCTAGTGTTTCAGAATATGTTTCTGTTCTAGCTGAACAGAGAGGAAGGAAGAGGCTGAAAGCCCCATGAATCTAGAAGGTTCTGCCAACAGGAGGACAAGAACAAGGAAGGGAAGAGAGCAGGGCAGGGGCCCCAGGAGCCATCCCAGGCAGCCCTCTGATGCTCGGACACTTATGGACAGCAGGAAAAATTAATTCCGTAAAAATAATGCCTTGAGGTGCTTCTAAACACCAGTTCCAAGTGACTTCGAAACTAAACTACAAGTGAGGAAGAAGTAACCCTGGATCTCCTGAGGGAACCAGAAGGAATTTGACAGTTTTCCTCCAACACTGATAAAGAGTTCTGACTACTCAGATTTCCCCTTGGTCATCTCACCCAGCCTCACCCCAAAATTTGGGAAGACCCCCAGACTCTTTTCAGAGACCAATTCATGTCCAAGATGAAATTCCCAAGCTTTTATTCAAAGGTTTTTTCAATCATTTTAAGTATTTGGAGACGTGTGTATGAAGCAGATTCAGACACAGAAATGACTCCAAGCTGACGTGTTCCTGAAACCCACATTCCCCCTTTAAAGGGGTAAAAGAAGACTCAGCTCCTCATCCACATCGCGACTCAGCTCCTCGTCCACATCGGGACTCAGCTCCTCGTCCACATCGCGACTCAGCTCCTCGTCCACATCGCGACTCAGCTCCTCGTCCACATCGTGACTCAGCTCCTCATCCACATCATGACCACGAGCAGCTGCAATGGACACAACTTCAGAACCAGACAGCAGCAGGCGGTGACCCCTCGCCCACTGGGTCTCAGCCCAGGTTCTTTCTGGGTGTCCTCTCACTCTGTCCTCACAGCTGCCCCACACAGCAGGTACAGCTGTTCTGACTTTACACAGGGAGAAACTGAGGCATGTACCAGCCAGTGGCTTTCACAGGGGTCATGTGTCTAGTGGCAGAGCCAGCGTTTGAACCCAGCGTTTGAACCCAGAGGCTGCTGTCAAAATACATTCAATAAACTGCTCTGCTCATAAGGGAATAGCTGCCCTACTTCTGTCTCCAAAATCTCCCATTTACAAGCCAAGGGAGGGAGGGAGTAGTCCCAGACCATCAGCGTCTACAGGAACAGGGGACGCTCCCTGGGAGAAGGAGCTTACCAATCTGCCCTGTCCTTCCAGAACCCACACTGCTGATCGTTTATCTCAGGAAGGAAGCCACAGGGCGTGGCCCTTCTGCCCACCAGGCTGACAGTATCTCCCGTAGTTCACAGCTTCGACGTTGGCCTCTTTCTTTCATACGTTCCTGTCTCTCTGATTGGATGCTGACTTTGTGTCTTGACCTCACATTTTATGCCCCTGATCTCAGACTACATCCATCCTCACACTGCATCCCTGAAAGACCCCTGGTCTGTGGGTGCTCCGGGCTCCCCGCTGCGGGACCCCCGGTCTGTGGGTGCTCCGGGCTCCCCGCTGTGGGACCCCCGGTCTGTGGGTGCTCTGGGCTCCCCGCTGCGGGACCCCCGGTCTGTGGGTGCTCCGGGCTCCCCGCTGCGGGACCCCCGGTCTGTGGGTGCTCCGGGCTTCCTGCTGCGGGACCCCTGATGCTGCTGTGGTTGATCTTCTGAAGAGTTTCACACATTCACCCAGGCGCATTCACTGGGCGCCTACTGTGTGCAGGAGCTGAGCCTCCTCCAGGTGACAGGCGTTCATTTCTCGCCCCCCCCACCCCGGTTTTGCCTGACCATTCTCCATCTGTTGTGCTGGAATGTTGTCCTATTGGTGAAGTGGAAACAGAAACCAGGGATCGCTTCTCTGAGCCTACGTGCAGGTTATTAACTCAATTTTTTAAATGAGTTCTGCCAACTAATGATACATTGTATTTGACTGACATAGTCCTAACAGACATAGGTTTAAATTTCATATGCAGGAATAAAATTGAAGTTCTATAACAATAACAATTTTTAGAGTTATTGTAACAATTAACTACATAGTTACCCCTATTATCACTCAATAAATCGTAGTTGTTTTTCTTTAGGGAGAAAGCTTTAGGGGAAAAGCATATGATGAATTCAGTCGTATAAATGCCCCTTAAATAGACATCAAGACCGTAGAATAAACCAAATCCTGAAGATGTATCACAAGAGAAAAATAAAAATTGCTAAGCTCAATAGAAGTTTATACAAACACTGACATATACAGAAATATGTGTGTGTGTGTACTCCATAACTAATTCTGCAACCCTAAAATATAAGCACAGGATTAATACATAAACTGTAACTTACCATGATTTAAGTTTATTGAAAGAGACAGAATTTTCTATGGTCCAAAGGCAGTCAAAGGAAAAACAAAAATACCTGGCAGGAGGTGGGCGTGTCCACATCAGTGTGATCTGTGCGGTGCATTTCCATGTATGTCTGAAGATAGCAGAAGTTGTAGTATAATCGTTTATTCAACAAAGTATCTGTCAAAAAGGTCAGCTTTTAATTGAAACCCAAACTTGATCAAAAAGAAGAATGCCTTTCGTGCTCTTCATGAAATGAGGGTGCTCTGTGCATTCAGCTTGAGGAGGAGGTGCCAGCATTGGAGTCCCTGGGATCTGGGGCCTCAGAGTCCCTGGGATCTGGGGCCTCGGAGTCCCTGGGATCTGGGGCCTCGGAGTCCCTGGGATCTGGGCCCTCGGAGTCCCTGGGAGCTGGGGGCCTTGGAGTCCCTGGGAGCTGGGGCCTTGGAGTCCCTGGGAGCTGGGGCCTTGGAGTCCCTGGGAGCTGGGGGCCTTGGAGTCCCTGGGAGCTGGGGCCATCCATTTCCAGAGCCACACTGTCTGTGAGTTCTAGATTTTACAATTAAAGGAAGGAATTCCTCCACTAATGGTGGTCTGGCCAGTCTGACAGTTTGTGTCCTTCAGGTCAAAAGTCAAGTGGAATAGGACTGAGATGATTTACAGCCAAAATGTGAAGGTGTATGGACTTTTCTGAGGGGTCTGGTGGGACCCCTATTGTCTGAAACAGTCCACTCTGGAGTGAGCGGAGAGGGCGTCTACCTACAGCAGGACAGGCTGGGCCACCACATATGTCCCCTCCCCTTTGCAGACCCCAAAACTTGCCTCCATTTCCAAACCATCTCCCAAGAAGCTGCCCACCAAGGGCCAAAATGACCCCCATTCAGAGACGAGGGGCGGCTTGAGGGGCTCAGGCCAGTGTTCTCACAGGAGGGCTGCTGGCTCCAGATCCACCTCCTGAAACTCAAGCAGAACGTTGTCTAGAAAATTTGGGGTTAGGTGAGATGAGCCCTCAGGTCTCTTCCACCTGTGAAGATTAAGCCAGGGCCTCTTGCCACAAGCAGCCTGACTCCCTGTGGAGAGGAGAGAACAGTCAGGACCCCAGAGGCTGATAACCTTGTGCAGAAACACCAGGACCCCAAGGATGGAGACTGGCCAGGGAGATGCAGGCCAGGAGCTGGTGCAAGGGGCCCTAGGGGTCCTGGTCACCCAGTCCTTTAAGAAAGGTGCAGGAACACCCCCAATGTGCTGGTCAACATCAGCTTGCCCCAGACAGAATTCGTCCCCATCAACTTCCACAAAGATGAGCCCCTGGGGGGTGGGGGGCAGGTCCAGTACAGGAAGGGAGCCCCTGGAGGGTGGGGGAGCCGGTCCAGTACAGGGGGGATGAGCCCCTGGGGGATGGGGGGGCAGGTCCAGTACAGGGAGGATGAGCCCCTGGAGGGTGGGGGGGCAGGTCCAGTACAGGGGGGATGAGCCCCTGGGGGGTGGGGGGGCAGGTCCAGTACAGGGGGATGCAGAATCTGATGACCGTGGGAGGCTGGCAGTCACTTCAGCAGTCCAGCTTGGATGGGGAGGAGGGGACCCTCTGCAGGACGTGGAGGAGGGGACCCTCTGCAGGACGGGGAGGAGGGGACCCTCTGCAGGACGGGGAGGAGGGGACCCTCTGCAGGACGGGGAGGAGGGGACCCTCTGCAGGACGGGGAGGAGGGGGACCCTCTGTAGGACGCGGAGGAGGGGACCCTCTGCAGGACGGGGAAGAGGGGGACCCTCTGTAGGACGTGGAGGAGGGGACCCTCTGCAGGACGGGGAGGAGGGGACCCTCTGCAGGACGGGGAGGAGGGGACCCTCTGCAGGACGGGGAGGAGGGGACCCTCTGCAGGACGGGGAAGAGGGGGACCCTCTGTAGGATGCGGAGGAGGAGACCCTCTGCAGGACGGGGAAGAGGGGGACCCTCTGTAGGACGTGGAGGAGGGGACCCTCTGCAGGACGGGGAAGAGGGGGACCCTCTGTAGGACGTGGAGGAGGGGACCCTCTGCAGGACGTGGAGGAGGGGACCCTCTGCAGGACGGGGAGGAGGGGACCCTCTGCAGGAGGGGGAGGAGGGGACCCTCTGCAGGAAGTGCAGGTGTTTGTACAGCAAGGGGGGCTCGCCCAGCTGCCCGCTCTGGACACCCTAACAAACAAAGCACCCGCGTCATAAATTTCACAAGAATTCAGTGGGATGTTTTAAAAGAGCCTCACAAAATGCCGAGCTCGAGGAAGATGCCCAATAAATGGAGAAACAGGGGGAGAGAGGCTCCTGGGCTACAATTACCGTTGGCTGATTCAGTTCCAGAAACCCAGGAAAACCCATTCAGGCCACGGCACAGCAGCCTCAGGATCGGGTTCCCTTCCAGCTCACTGAGGGTCAATTGCCTCCAATCCTAAGTCAGGGCACTGGGACCACTTACATGTGGGTCCTTCACAGAGAAGCCTCAACATGCCCACAAAGGACAGATGTCCTGGCGCCCACAGCGATGGCCTCTGCAAGGGAAAAAACATGCAACGTCCCGGCACCCACAGCGATGAGCGAAGAGCTCTGCAAGGGAAAAAAGAATGCAAACTTTTTTTTTTTACCGACTTATTAGTCAGAGCAGTAGTTACAATGGTCCAAATCTGAGATGTGCAATTTTTTTTTAACTTTGGAAAATGCCAGTTTGTTCTCACCTGCACCAGATCTGCAAAAGCCCTGTGCAGTGCAGATTACGGCGGCCCCTGACACTGGTTATAATCTGTTCAGCTACACGTGCATGGCTTTCCCTACCCTTTTTTTTTCTGCAATATTTAACCCAATTCTGATTTGGAAACACAATCACTTCTGCCCCGTCCCACCCACGGGCTTTGTGGGCAGACATTCTGTTTATGAGCAGAGACATTCTGACACCCTGTGCCCTGTGCTTCCTACTTTACTCCCCAGCTTTCTTAATCTTCTCTTTTTCATTGAAACATGATACAGTGCTTTTTAAAAGGCATCTAGAATCTAATTCCTTCCCTTTTGTGGCTTTTTCAGTAGGAATATAATGACCATCTATGACTGAAGAGCTGGGGATCATCAGATACCAGACAATCTTACGGGATTTTTTAATTTCTAAGAACGGGAGCTGTGTTTTGCTTTAGGTCTTCGTTCTGTTACAGACTCTACCCAGCACCCCCTGTACACAGGCACCTCCCCAAGGCCTGGAAGTGGGGACGGGTGTTAAGTTGGATCCCAGCAAGCTGCAGAAGTTCAGCAGCCTGCAAGTCCTTACGGAGGAGCCCTTATATTTGTCCTTGGATGAGGAAATTCACAGTGGAAGACTGTCCCTGCGTCCATGAAGTCTATATAAATTTCGCTTACTGCAAGGACCTGCTGCGCTCAGCAGGAACCCTGAGAAACTGCGATGAAATTGTAGAATTTAGAGCCAGCGGGCCAGCAAAGCTCGGTGTGAGCACTGCATCGGCAAAGCAACACGAACAACAAAACAGGGCTATGAGCAACCCTTTTACTTGCGGGGAAAGACGCTGTCTGGGTGCCCCACTGCGACAGAAGCAGACCTAACTCTCTGGTTCTTCCACAACCCGTTCAGGAAGCTGCACCCCCAGAAGGCTTGGAGGAGACCTGCCTGTCTACACTGCATTCACTCAGAACCTCCCATCAGCCAAGCCCATTTTTAACTGGGCTGTGATTGTGGGGTGTGAGGCTCTTGGCAACATCTGTGGCTATATGTGCTTGTGAGCAGGTAAACCCCACTTTTATCAGGGTGCATGAACTTAGAGGTGCTTTTCGCGTCTCCACCCAAATCTCTCGGAGGAAACACGTGTCTGAAGTCACCAGTGCCGAGGCAGGAAACTCCCCAGCACTCTCCCTCCTTGGCAGCCCCCCTCGGAGGCTGAATGACAGGCTGTGCTGGAAACCCCGTCTTAGGTTTAGGAAAGTGGCTTTTAGTTCTTGGTGCCCATCAAGACATACTCAGCATGACACGCAGAGGTCTGTGGGTTCGTTTGCAATCACAGGGTCCTGATAACCAGGATGTTCTGCCCGAGCTCAGCGTTGGGTCTGTTGCCTTTTCATGCATGTGGGAAAATTGTCCTGTCCCTGAAAACAGCAAGTTGGACCTGTCGCTTCAGAAAGTCGGATGAAGAGCAGGGTGTGTGCACACAGACACAAAATGCACACCTCCAGGGGGCAAAATGAATTCTACTCTACTTCCAGAAGGCCACTTCTCACTAATAAAACTATTGTCATTAAGCATAAAAATGCAAGAAATGTGAACCTCAAGTCCGACTGGGGCTACAGGATAGTCACTCGTTTTCTGATTCTAGCCGTTCTCACCCATGATCCTGTGGCCGGGTCACGATGTTTTGAGTCTGTCATTGGCAGCAGCGAGTCTCCCTCACGGGAAGCACGATCTACTGGGCTGCCTCTCTTTCCTGGGCACTTGGCCACAGATGAGCCCGCACACCTCACTGCCAGCTGCGAAAAAGTCACGAAAAGGCAGTTAGCGTAGGGGGAAGGCAACAAGGTTCCCCACTCTGCAAGTTTGCACACCTGGGAGTGAGCCGCAGAGAACACACACAGATTACGCCTTTCGCAGCACACATTTCATTTGGACACTGTAGGATTTTGCTTCCTGCCTTTAAACAGTGTTGGTTCCCACTTGGCTCCGAGGTCCTTCTTCGTGTCAAGCGTTATGTGCACAAAGGGTTCCCAGTTTTCTGATGTGGAAACGGCCCTCTGCAGAAATCCTAGTGGCTTCCCAGGGCTGGTGTCTCTGTCCTGCTGTCCTGTGGGAGACACGCTGGTGAGCTCATCAGAGGGGGTGCAGAGGCCACCCAGGCGGGGCCTCCTTCCAACCCCCACCCACCCCCCTCGTCTCCTGCACCCTGTCCTCGGCAGCTGATGACAATTAAATCTATGGGGGGAAGGAATCCACCTCGCACCACCCCACTGTAATTATAACTCTGCTGCCGGCTCCCAGCTCGGACAGGCTCCATCTTGTCTGCGCCCTGATGCCTGGCGTTTATTTACAAGCTCAAGAACGTCTCCAAGACAGCAATCACTCTGAAGCTGGGAGGCAGTGATGGATACACGGCGCGGTGGTCATAGGGGGCAAATATTGAAAGGCAGAGGCTGGAATAATGGACAGTTATGTAAATGTCTCAGGAAACCGTGCAGGCAGGCTCCACAGCTGGAACGACTGTCTGAGGTTGAGGCCGAGTCAGACTCAGGAGACAACACAGAAGAACCTTTGGGGCCACCGCGCCATCCTGAGAGCCACGGAGCCATGCCACGGTGGCCGGCAAACTTGTATCACTTCCACAGGAGGCCACTAGCTCGCTCCACACCAGCAATTTCTCAGCAAGGCACTTACCACAGATGCGTGACCACCACGTCCGGGAAAAATGAAAGCAGAAACCAAACCCCAAAGCCTCCTTCCCGGGCTCTGAGTCACTTTCGCATCCCTGTCTGATTCTTTTCTCTCCTTTTTCTCAAAAGCTCTTTTTCATCAGCTCCTCTGCATGATCATGGCAGCACTGACCTATGATATTTCACACTTACTCTACCTCCCAAAGTGATTCATACAACTCTGCCATGTGGTGAAATGTTGAAAGACACTATTGAATTATGAAGAAATCACCCCCAAAAAAAGTCATCGGCACGTGGCAGGACCCATAGGTGACGATGAGAATAAAAGCAACAGGAACTGCTTCCCGTCCCTCCCCCTCAAAGATGGGAACCAGAGCTAAGCATGTGGCCAAGACCTGCCCTTCAGTGGGGTCGGAGAGGACCACGCTCCTGAAAGTCTGCAGTGGGTGTGAGGATTAGGCTAGATATTTGAAAGCTAAGTCACCAAACAACAACCAAATTTGCATTCACATGTAAGATCATATTTTAAATAATTTGTTATTTCAGCTTTGAAAAGCACACTTTTTATATAATTTGATATATATCGATTACACTTCATATAATTTATTGCACACATTACTGTTATGCTTCCTGCCACAATGTGTGTGTATTTGGAATGAGAGACAGGGGACAAAGCCCTTTGGAGAAATGTATTTCTATTCATAGGAATCTGTGGGTTAGTTTGTCCATCTATGAAATGGGTCCAATTGTCCCAAGCTCAATAATTACAGTGGCCTCTGCCATGAGAGGTATAAAGTTGCTGAGCTTTTCAGAGAAGGGTTGTCCATAAACCAGCAGCAATGTCATCATTTGTAAAGTGTCATTGCATTTTTTATTTACTTTATTGCAGCCTCAACTTGGAAACGGAGGAGTCTATGTGGTTTAAACAGAAAAGAGTCTGGGAGCTCCCCAAGTGCGTACAAAGCCATTTCTATTATCTGGAGCATGGTCCCTCACCATATAACCATTAAAAACCATGCTACAGAGGGATACTCAGTGATGGGAGGTGCTTCTGCGCTTAAGAGGGTTACACAGGTACCTACGGTCCCGATGTTACAAAAGCGTGAGGAATGCAGACATATGCACATAAACAGGCTTCAAGGCAATGCACCAGGTTCTCAAGGGTTCATATCCCTGGATGGTCACTTCCTTCTTGGTAGTTTTCTACATTCCTACACTTTTTTTTTCCAACAGAGATGCGTTGCACTGGTAGTCAGCACGAAGCGAAATAAACGTTCTTGTTGGATTTGTGTTGTGAAAGGCGTCTCTCTCCTCACAGTCCAGTGACTTCTCTTTTTCTCTTGTCTCTGCTTTAGTAAAAACCCGAGGATTTCTGGATTGCTAGTGCTCGGTTGCTAAAAAATAGAGACAGAATTCTCCTCTCTGCCCTTCGGAGTGAGCAGAGCACAGCCCCAGCAGCAACAGTCATCAAAGGTGCTTTAAGGGTGCGGGGAGGGGAGGGGAAAGGATGAGAAGTGGAAACTGAGAACAGAAGCAATTGGGGAAGTTTCAGGTGGTGATTAGAAGGGAACAGAGCAGAAAGGAAATGGGGTGTTATGTTGCTGGGGGAGCCTGGCACAGACAGGTTGCTCTGAGGCTCCACCCGGCACAGAGCAGGACAGGGCACTCAGGTGGTCCTGATAAACCACCTGCCAGCTGGTCCCAGGCTTGGCTTCTAGCTCCAAGTACAAAAGGATTAGCAGTTGAACAGAAAGCAAACGGAGAAACCGAAAGTAGTGCCTCCTTCAAACAGGCAGCATTCCCAAACAAATCTCCAGCCCTGTTTGCCAGAATAAGGGACGCCCGGACCCCCCATTCCCAAACAGATCTCCAGCCCTGTTTGCCAGGATGAGGGACGCCCGGACCCCCCATTCCCAAACAAATCTCCAGCCCTGTTTGCCAGGATGAGGGACGCTCGGACCCCAGGTAAGGGGCCCAGAGGTGCTGGGAGTGGGGGCAGGTCTGGTCCTACGACTGCAATCTGTGCAAATTCTGATCAGATTTAGAAATTGATTAATGATGAAATATACCTAGACTGCTTCCTTTTAAAGCAGTCGAGATTTTCTGATGACGCAGTGACATTCTTAGGGGAAATGAGTGTTAATTGCTGTCTAGACATTTTATTACTACAGTGGGGCACTGGTCATCGACCATCTCTTCTTTTACACATTAAACTCTAGGTCAGCCTAAATTGTTTGTTTCTGAGGAAGAAACTATACAGGCTCAGAGTGGACTGTGTCTGAGCACAGAGACATCCCCTGCAACCAGGGCAGGAGGTGGGGAGCAGGGAGGATGGTGGAGGCACAGGACCACGTCCATCTCAGAGCACACACTTCCCTGATCCACAGTGCAGGGTGCAGCTCTGTGATTCTGAACAGATTCCGCCATTCCATCATGCACGTGACTTCTTTTCAGTTTATGAGCTTTTATCTCTTCATCCTTCTTGTAAGCATTTTTAAAAATCACCCTGCAACTCATTTCCAGGGACAGTTCTGCCTTCTTCTAGCCTGAGAGACAGCAGTTAAAATCAATGAAAGAGGCATCTTCCCAGGACACAGTGAGCTCCTCTTAGGCCCCACAATACAGGACAGACCAGCCCTCAGCAAGCAGGGCCTCAGACGCCCAAACACTGTGTGGTCAATAAATAACATGAAAGTAAAAGGAGCAATGAGGAAAAGAAGAAAACTGCAGAAGTTCAGAAAGAAGGCCCCTCCCTGCACTTTTCTTCCCTCAGAAGAGGTGGGAAGGGCAGAGAAAGAAAACAGGAAGGGCTGGGAGGTGGGATTTCCCACAGAAAGCACAGGTGAGACTCGCCAGAGCTTCTGGACCCAGGACCTTCTCTTCTCCATTCCACCCCCTCTCAAAGGTGAGCAGCCAGCAAATGATGAGCACACAAATGATGCAAGGAGAGTGTGAGATGCCCATAACCAACCGGAAGTTTCCTCCATGCTCACCCTGGTTCAGCCGTGGCTTGGCAGCCATTCTGAACCTCAGGACAGACATCAGCCTCAGACGGGTTCTGCAGAGACAGCTGGAGAACTGCGTGCCCCTTCCAGCTTCTCTTCTGCACCTAAGCCCCTCGAAAAGAAACCCACAGCCCTGGTGTATGGAGTCCACAAGGCAGAGCAAAGGACAGAGACCGGGATTGTGCATCGGCTTTGGACCCTGTGGACAGCTGTGACTGCAAAGTCAAGATAATTTATGTTGGTTTTATATCCATGCTCTTAGGAACCCAGATTTTGTTGACAGATGCAAACCTCAGCATAAGCATCCATTAGCAAATGCACAGCTCGTGTTGGTTGTGAAGACAACACCAGAATCAAGAAGGACAAATGCAGAGCCATCCTTGAGCTCTGTTTACACAGTCATGTTGCAAAACCATCCCTCTATCGAGCATTCCTGAAGTCCTTTATGTCCCCAGAAGGGTGGAAGGAGGGAGAGGGCTCCAGGCCCTCCTGGTGACACCGTAGCTCCAATGCCTTTCTTCCCGGCTCTGCTCCTGATGCCACGACTCCAATGCATTTCTCCCCAGCTCTGCTCCTGATGGCATGACTCCAATGCATGTCTCCCCAGCTCTGCTCCTTATGCTGTGGCTCTAATGCATGTCTCCCCAGCTCTGCACCTGATGCCCCATTCCAGTGCATTTTTCTCCAGCTCTGCACCTGACACCTGGCTCCCACCTCATGGGAGTCAGCAGGGGGAGGCCCACTCTGTAACCTCAACTGAATCCACCCTCATTTTGCTCTTTCCAAAAACCAATTGCAGATTCTTTGTCCCAAGCACAAGAGTTCTGAGTCCCATTTTCAGTCTGCTGATTGAAGGATGTCACCCTCCACAATCTATATCTACATGTGGGCACCTGAGCCAGGTGGGGTGAGCTGTCCCCCTGGGAATGTTTGGAGAGGCCTCTCTCCTTCACCCAGAAGCCCATCAAAATGGCTGTGAACGTGTTTGGACAGGAAGGTGCCACAGAGCACAATATTCCTCAAATTATCAACAGAACGAGGAGCTCTTCCCGGGGTGAAGAAGGCCGGGAGGAATTCCCTCTTCCGGCCCCACGCAACAACCCCGCAGAGGTGCCCAGGCAGAGGCGCCACCTCCTCGCTTCCAAAGCACAGGCCTCAGAGCTCCATGCACACATGCAGCCTTGTGGCCCAGATAGCAGAGAACAGCACCCTTGACTTGCGTTGACTGTGTTCTTGTTTTAACAGCTTTATTGAAATAGAATTTACATACCATAGGTTCAGCCTAATGTGCACCATTCAGTGTTTTTAGTGTATTCTCAGTTATGCAGCCATCACCATATCCTGATTTTAGAATATTTTCATCACCCCAAAAACAGCTCATACCTATTAGCCTTCATATCCACCCCCATTCCACCTCCCCAGGGAACAGCCGATCCACATCCATCTCTACCCATTTGTTACTCTGGACACCATATGTAAATGAATCATATGGGTCTTCTGTGTCTGACTTATTTCCTCCGACAAAATGTTTTCGAGATTTATCCACCTCGTAGCCCGTCAGTGCTTTGCTGGTTTCTACAGCCAAACAATGCTCTGTTATGTGACTGCACCACACTTTGCTTCTCCAATCACTCACCATGGACATTCGGGAGTTCCCACCTTTGACTGCTACGAATACTGCTGCTGGGAACTTTCCTGTGCAAGTTTCCTGTGTACAAGTGTTTTCATTTCTATGGGTGGAAACCTAGGTGTGGAATCGCTGGGTCGCATGATAATTCCATGTTTAACATCTTGAAAACTTATGTTGACTTTTATACCTGTGGAACTTCAGAACTTCCGAGAACACTTTTCCTGTTGAGCGTGCTCTCTTTCTATCTGGGAGAGTAAAGCTACCACCTGCAACTTTTATCTAGTTTGCACATTTAAAAGCTACAGCAAGACACTCAAATACCCTGCACAAAGTTTCTAAATGTAAGGGAGCACAAGTCTCAATTAACCCAAGTTAACACGAGTGTGGTTACAATGGACCAGGACAATGGGCGTTGTTTTATTTCTTAACCCACAGAGAGTCCCAAGAATGGGCCCCCATTTGAAATGACCTAAGAGGCCCTTATCCCAGAGGCTAACTTAAGCATCTCAATGATGTGAAGGGCTTTTTATCTCAATGCTTTGTTCCTTCCTTTTATGCATAATCTGTTCCTAACAAGGTATCTGCTTTTGCTGATTCTTTTCTTCTGAGAAAAGCAATGGAAAGAATTGATGTTTTATAATTCGTGTTTGCAAGCCAAGGAAAAAATTATTTTTCAACAAGCAAAAGAAGAAAAGAACAAGGTAGCTCCAGCCTCACGTGACAATTTGTAAAAATAGTAGCTTAAGTCTAAGAATGCAGTGATTTCAAAAATATGTCTTTTCACTCACTGCTTTGCAAAAAAGCTCTCCCAATTTTTAGAGAGCAGGACGAGTTTTCAGAGGTCTCCACTCACTGAGTTCTTACAAAAGCCCACCACTGCACACAGGAATGCTGAGCAGTGGCCCCCAGGCAGGTGAGATGCCACTCAGCTACTGAATGCCCAGTTTGCTTAACCAAGTCAGGCACTGACTGCATAAAATTATTGTGCAAATAAGGGTCACTGGCATCGTGAAGTTTTATATCAGAGCCGACGAGGAAAGAGCCATCCACACCCTGACACCACACAGATAAATGCACTGAGGAACTGGAGGCCGCTCAAGACACCTTGTGTGGTTTTCTGAGAGCCAATTTGAGCCCCTGCGGGGGGCACGGCACTCTCAAAGGCAGGCGCCAAAGGAGGTGCACTGAGCTCTGGGACAGGCTGCGTCGGCAGGCGCCAAAGGAGGTGCACTGAGCTCTGGGACAGGCTGCGTCGGCAGGCGCCAAAGGAGGTGCACTGAGCTCTGGGACAGGCTGAGTCGTCTGCACACTCCCCGCCGTGGCCTTTGCTGGTCCCCTGCATTCCAGGGCGGTTCTGCATGGGGAGAACCAGCCTGCAACCCATGAGAGGCAAGAGGACCAGTGCTGCCCAGTCCTGTGTTGAGCAAGAAGACAGCTTGAGGCTCACGCTGTTCATTCACTCGGCAGTTACTTCCTGGGCACCCGCCCGTCACAGGCTAGGCTCCATGCCAGGCTCAGGATGCACCAAGAACAAAACGGCTTCCTGGTCTGTGGGGCTTGTACTTCAGCGGATCTCATTAGAGCCCCGTCTTCCATAGCCTAACTCAGTAATCCCATACACAGACAACAACAAAATCTGCGAGTATCCACTGAGCGTGAGCTATGTCCAGGGTTTGCAAACTTCATCCCGTCTATCTGGTTATTCCATCAACCGGTACTTACTGGGACCCTGTCATGCAGCAGCCATATTTGGTTGTTTCATTTATTTATTTTATTTTGAGACGAGGTCTCGCTCTGTCACCCAGACTGGGGTGCAGTGGTGCAATCACAGCTCACTGCAGCCTTGATCTCCCAGGCTCAAGCGAGATTCCCACTTCAGCCTCATGATTAGCTGGGACCAGAGGTGTGTGCCAACACGCCCGGCTAATTTTTGTATTTTTTGTAGAGAGGGGGTTTCACCATATTGCCCACTCTGGTCTCAAACTCCTGGGCTCAAGTGATCCTCCCACCTCAGCCTCCCAGGATGCTGGGATGACAGGCATGGGCCACCGCATCCGGCCCATGCACATTCTTGAAGTTAGGGATACAGAAAAGGACAGCAGAGGCCCAACTCTGAGCCCCACAGACCCACTCGTGAACAGACACACAGCAAACACTGAGGAGTAGCTGGTGAGAGGGAGGGCTGATCTAAGGAGCGGTCGAGGAAGCCACCGTAATCACCCTATTTAATAAATGTGAGAGGTTATGAGTTGTCTAAGGTCACCTCCTGGCATGAGTGCAGCTGAAAGCCAAGGGCAGATGGGCCTGAGTCTGCCATCTTGTCCTCCTGTTCTCCACAAATGATCCTGTTTCGATTTCAAACCCTTGATGTATCCTCTGGCCCCTTCTAGAACGCCCACCCAACAGGAAGCCTGGTCCGTCCAACCCTGCCCTTCGTTATGCTATCGCTCTGTGTTCTTGCTGGGTGTGTGTGTGTGAATGTATGAGTGTGATTGAGTGTGAGTGTGTCGCAGGTGTGCAAGCCTTGTGCCCTCAACAGATTATAAAGGACTAGTCTCTTTTCAAATTTACATAAACACCTTGCGTGTGGCTGCACATGCACTCAATACCAAACTAATCACAATTTGACAAAGGATAAAGCTGCGCCGAAAAGTGGAATATCTCTATGAATCAATAGCCAAGTTACTGTGGCGGAAGATACCTAAAGAAGTGGCCCTGAGGTTCTCACACAACCAGCAAGGCCAAGGCCGCCCATGCACCTCAGTGCCCACCGTGCCACAGGTGCAATCGGAGAGGTGGATGGTGTGAAATGTTTGTTATGTGAGAATGAGAGGAACGCATCTGACAGGTTCCTGTCCCCAAATAGAGCACACACCCTTCACTCTGGACCTGCACAGGGAATCCTTCTCATCCTTCTTTCTCTCAAACTGTCCTATGGATAATCTGAAAATTTAGTGAGTTTAGAAATTTAACTCACTTCTCTTTTTTTCCCTTCAGTACCAGGCTGAGAAAGAACCCAGAGGAATTGGAGAGACCAGGAACGGCTGCAGGCGAAAGAGGTGAATATTCTGCCAAGCTCCCTGGCTGCTGACCTCCAGTGGGCTGATCCAGTTGAGAAACCTGCCTGAGGAGACATCTCGCTGCCCTGCGTGTGGAGGTCGGGCGAACAGACTGGCTGCCCGTCATGGGCTGCCCACCATGACCTCTCTGCCCCATCCTCCCCACTCCTAGCCCAAGGAGTATGAAACCTAACGTGAGCTCAGCCGCTGGAGCCTTGCCATCATTTCCCTAAGGGCTCTGCACAGCCCCGTGGCCGAGAAGTCCCACCTGGGAAGAAGGTTTGGTGGCCTCCAGGAGAGTCTGTGGGTGTCCCTGCCAGGGCCCAGGCCCACCCACCTTCACTCACACTTTCTTTCTGTTTATTGTTTTACAGTTTCCATTTTACCTTTCTTACAAGTTACACTATTACTATTTTCTATTAATTTAAATTGACATAAATTTAGCTTTACACTTACATCTACCTTGGATCTTTCCCAGCTGTTGAAATTATTCTATTTCTTCTTTTTATCACTATTCTGAGCTTATTTTATCTTTTTGCTTTGTACCTTCTAAGTTTTTTGTTCCATTATATCTTATTTGCTCTTAACTCTTATTTTGCCTTTTATCTATTTTTATGTTTTCTTTTAGTATTTTTTTCTCAGAATTTCTTTTCACCGTTATTTATTTCATCCTTATCCTCAGTTTGCCATCCAAGGAATGGCCACAGCCTGTCAATTCTGTTTCTTGAATGCCTCCTGACGTCCTTCCCTGTCCACCCCAGCTTCTGGTGCCTGCACACACACACACTCACACACACTTCTGTCCTCCATACACTCACACTCATACACGTGTATTCTTACACACCACCCACAGGCACCCTCAGGTCCTTACACTCACACTCTCTACCCCTCATGTTTTCTGTCCCCCCCCCACACACACACACCTACACTCACCTACACACACATTTTCTCCCCTCACACTCACACTCTCCACCCCCATGCCCTCCTCGGCTGGAGCTCCCTCCTTCTCTTCTCAGCCTTTGAACTGGCCTCCTGCCTGGGGCTCCCTCCTTCCCTTCTCAGCCACTGAACTGGCCTGCTGCCTGGGGCTCCCTCCTTCCCTTCTCAGCCTCTGAACTGGCCTCCTGCCTGGGGCTCCCTCCTTCTCTTCTCAGCCTCTGAACTGGCCTCCTGCCTGGGGCTCCCTCCTTCTCTTCTCAGCCTCTGAACTGGCCTCCTGCCTGGGGCTCCCACCCTCCTTCCCTCCTCAGCCTTTGAACTGGCCTCCTGCCTGGGGCTCCCTCCTTCCCTTCTCAGCCTCTGAACTGGCCTCCTGCCTGGTGCTCCCTCATTCCCTTCTCAGCCTCTGAACTGGCCTCCTGCCTGGGGCTCCCACCCTCCTTCCCTCCTCAGCCTTTGAACTGGCCTCCTGCCTGGGGCTCCCTCCTTCTCTTCTCAGCCTCTGAACTGGCCTCCTGCCTGGTGCTCCCTCCTTCCCTTCTCAGCCTCTGAACTGGCCTCCTGCCTGGGGCTCCCTCCTTCTCTTCTCAGCCTCTGAACTGGCCTCCTGCCTGGTGCTCCCTCCTTCCCTTCTCAGCCTTTGAACTGGCCTCCTGCCTGGGGCTCCCTCCTTCCCTTCTCAGCCTCTGAACTGGCCTCCTGCCTGGGGCTCCCTCCTTCTCTTCTCAGCCTCTGAACTGGCCTCCTGCCTGGTGCTCCCTCCTTCTCTTCTCAGCCTCTGAACTGGCCTCCTGCCTGGTGCTCCCTCCTTCTCTTCTCAGCCTCTGAACTGGCCTCCTGCCTGGTGCTCCCTCCTTCTCTTCTCAGCCTCTGAACTGGCCTCCTGCCTGGAGCTCCCCCCTTCCCTTCTCAGCCTCTGAACTGGCCTCCTGCCTGGGGCTCCCTCCTTCCCTTCTCAGCCTCTGAACTGGCCTCCTGCCTGGGGCTCCCTCCTTCCCTTCTCAGCCTTTGAACTGGCCTCCTGCCTGGGGCTCCCTCCCTCCTTCCCTTCTCAGCCTCTGAACTGGCCTCCTGCCTGGGGTTCCCTTCTTCTCTTCTCAGCCTTTGAACTGGCCTCCTGCCTGGGGCTCCCTTCTTCTCTTCTCAGCCTCTGAACTGGCCTCCTGCCCCTGCTTTGCTGACTTGCTCGACCTTTCCTGGGTCAGGGTCCTCAGAGCTCTGCGTCTCCCACTCCTGGTCCCAGCTCACGGACACTGTTTAGGGCCCAGGAATCCTGTACTTCCAGTCATCCATTCTCATTGTGTAAGGCGTCACACTCAGCTTCAAACGCTGCACGTGGAAGGTTGTGTTGGGTCAGGGGAGTGTGGATGTCAGGAGAGGAGTCCAGTGCTACCTGGCCAGAGGGAAGTGGGTTAGGAACAGATTCTAGGAGTTCGAGGCTTTAGCTAAGCCAGGAAGGTGAGAGGGACGGCACCCCTGCAGTGCTGTGCTGGGTCCTGGGCATCAGGTCCCAATGTTAAAGGCAATTAGAAAACTAAGACAAGCACACACCTTTATAATTGAGACCTGTTTAGAAATTAGTACAACTGTAATGAAGGGAAAGATTGGGGTGCTGTCAATTCGACTTCCATTAAACGTTGATTTGAATTCTCTGTGATATCATTATATCAATTTTACAGACAGAAACAGACTCACAGAGAAGTGCCCTGCTCCGAGCCCTACAGCAGGGGCCACAGCAGTGCTCAGAGCCAACCCGGCACCCTCTCCCCAGCCGGAGCCCCCACGACACAAGCACTTTTCCTCGCTGCCGTTTCAGACTGGTGTAACCTTCATTTGATTCATCTTAAATCTACAACCGTTTTTAAAATTTCATCTTATCTCATTTATCCATGATTAATTATTTAAAAACATATTTAAAGACATAGGTAAGGTGCCAGAAAGAAAGAATAAGGCAGCTTTGTCGTTTAAAAAACTTGTCTTACAATTTCTCTGCTTTGTAAGGGTTATCGTGATGGTGAATTTTATGTGTCAACTTGGCTAGGCCGTGGTACCTCAGTATTCCCTCAAACTTCGTTCTAGATGTTGCTCTGAAGGCATTTTTTGGATGGGATTGGCGTTTAAACCAATAGACTTTGAGCAACGTCGATCACGCCTCAGAATGTGGTGGGCCTCATCCAATCAGTTGAAGGACTTAAAAAGAGCAAAGACTGAGGTCCTCCAGGAAGAGGGTGCTCTGCCAGCAAACAGCCTGCAGACTCGAGCTGCAATGCCAGTGCTTCCTCGGGTGTCCAGCCTGCCCACCAGCACTGCAGGTTTCAGAACTGCCCGTCCCCACAATCGTGTAAGTCAACCCCTTAAAATTATTTCTCTCTCTCTCTCTCTCTCCTCTCCATACATACACATCCTATTGGTTCAGCTTCTCTGGACAGCCTTAGCTAACACAGTTATAGCTTTAAGGTTCTTGTAAAACAGTCATGCTTCTAGCATTTGAACCAAACTAAACCAAATCAAAAGTACAAAACAATAAATTTGAGATCAAAATGTAAAAACATTATACCTGTTACATTGTCTCAGCATTCCTTCTTTTACATTTTTAAAGAAGAAAGTAAAATATAGACACAATATTTGATTGTGCCAATCATACATCATTTGTGAGATTATAACTTTTGGACTAGAAACTTCTAAGTTTCCATTCAAAGTTAACATTCTAAGTTCTGTGACTTATCGGGTTTAGGTATTAAGCAGTGTGGATCAGTAGAATTTTTTGAAAAGAGTGATTTCTTTGGCAGATTTTTCCCCTTCTAGACATGAATTCAGAAGCTCATTAAGAGTAATAATAAATAAAATGATAAAAACATTAAACAGCTTGACGACTGCAAATCCCGTAGCGTGTATGTATTTACTTATGCATCATTCTGCCTCCCCCTCTGAAAAAAAGATTTAAGGCAACTAGCAAAGATGCATGCAGCACGCTAATATGAAATAAAACGCAAAAGGCTGTGGGAAAAGGGGCAGAGGTGGCATCACATAGCGCAGCATGCAGCGAGGAGTGAAGCTGGGAAAGGCGACGCGGTTGTGTGTGATTCGGGTCCATCCACAGCCACCCCCGGAGGTGAGTGGGGCTGCTGACATGCAGGCGGCCCATGACAGAGGAAGCACGTGCAAAGCGCATCTGCAAGGAGCTGCCCATTCATACACGAAGCTAGACGTAGTTAGAGAATAATCCAGAGTAATCCAGAGCTGCGCATTCATACACGACGCTAGACATAGCTAGAGAATAATCCAGAGTAATCCAGAGCTGCGCGTTCATACACGACGCTAGACATAGCTAGAGAATAATCCAGAGTAATCCAGAGCTGCACGTTCATACACGATGCTAGACGTAGCTAGAGAATAATCCAGAGTAATCCAGAGCTGCGCATTCATACACGACGCTAGACATAGCTAGAGAATAATCCAGAGTAATCCAGAGCTGCACGTTCATACACGATGCTAGACGTAGCTAGAGAATAATCCAGAGTAATCCAGAGCTGCACATTCATACACGACGCTAGACATAGCTAGAGAATAATCCAGAGTAATCCAGAGCTGCGCGTTCATACACGACGCTAGACATAGCTAGAGAATAATCCAGAGTAATCCAGAGCTGCGCATTCATACACGAAGCTAGACGTAGCTAGAGAATAATCCAGAGTAATCCAGAGCTGCGCGTTCATACACGACGCTAGACGTAGCTAGAGAATAATCCAGAGTAATCCAGAGCTGCGCGTTCATACACGATGCTAGACATAGCTAGAGAATAATCCAGAGTAATCCAGAGCTGCGCGTTCATACACGATGCTAGACATAGCTAGAGAATAATCCAGAGTAATCCAGAGCTGCGCATTCATACACGAAGCTAGACGTAGCTAGAGAATAATCCAGGGTAATCCAGAGCTGCGCGTTCATACACGACGCTAGACGTAGCTAGAGAATAATCCAGAGTAATCCAGAGCTGCGCGTTCATACACGACGCTAGACGTAGCTAGAGAATAATCCAGAGTAATCCAGAGCTGCGCGTTCATACACGATGCTAGACATAGCTAGAGAATAATCCAGAGTAATGCAGGATCTCATGGTCATCACCACAACCCAGATGATAAATGAACATTCAGGCATCTGAGAAATGCCCAGGGCCACACAACTGACAATGCAGGGCCAGGACTGAAGAAAAGGAGAGGAAATATGGGGGAGGGGGCAACCCCCAAATATAAAAACAAGAAGGGCCTTTTATGAGGTTCAGAAATCAGCTAAATTCCCGGACACAGTCCCCAGCTGGTTAGCGACAGGCACCCGAGTACAAAGGTGCCCGTAGGACTGGGAGCTCTGGCTCTCCAAACCAGTGTGGCCTGTGTCTGATTTGTTACAAGGACCAGCACCTACATTCTGAGCAACAATGACATGAAGCCCTCCTTCCCATGGGGCTGTAGCCTCTCCCTCACACCGCACCCCGTGTCCCGTGCCCCCGGGCAAATCTCTTTCCTAAAATCTCCAAAGGACTCCCCTCCACTCAGTGCTAAGCAGACCCCTTCTGTCCCCAGGCACAGCTGTCACTCATCAGACTCTTTTGGAAGCTTTGTCCTTGAAGATGATCATCGCTGATCGATCAGCATGAGCTCTGATATTGAATGATTTCCAGATAATATTGTAAGTCACACGGACAGTTTGTTGGAAGCCTGAAGGGAATCCTCTTTCCATGACAAAGACTAAAAAACATTTCCCTTCAGATGTTTCGCATTTGCTTTAAAAAAAAAAAAAGCTATTAAAAAACCCGTAAAATCATCTGAGAGAGGCAGCAGCCAGGGTAGTTTGATAAAAGCAGGTGTTCACATCCAGAAATCCGATCCCTGACCTTCACCTGCCCCTGAAAACTTGAACTTCGTGTCCTGAATTTCTGTAAGCCTCAGTTTCTTCAGCCATGAAATGGAAATGCTAACTGGAAATTCTGTGGTGTGGATTAAAAATGTTATACATAAAGGTACACACATATATGTATACACACGTATACATGTACACACATGTATATATGCACTCATGTGTAGACAGGTAGACATATACGTGCACATGTGCACATATGTATGCACACAGTACATGTGTGTGCACATGTGTGCTTATGTATGCATATATGTGTACTCTTGCTTACACAAATATATGCACATGTGTGTACACTCACATATGTACGCCACATGCATGGACACACATGTGTACACAGGCACACACCTATGCACACGCGTACTTGCACATATGTGTGCACGTGTACACAGACACACATGTGTACACATATATGTATGTGCACACAGACACATATATGCATATATGTACACAGACATTATTATCTGTGTGCACGCGTGTGTACATGTATGTACACATATGTATACGTGCATGCATAAAACACATATAGACACGTAGCTTCTATTTTTATTATGTGCATATAAAGCAAAGCTCTAACTTGTGAGAATCAACTGCATGCGTTTAAGATGCTCTTTGCATATTAATTGGGGTAATTTCATAATTGGCCATATTTACATATTTACAGTCATGAACAGTAGAAGTGCATCATTGCCTCATTTAACATTAGCAGTTAAGAGTGGTTAAAAACTTCATGTATTCACAAATATTTTGCAAAGTTTGTATCTATAGGCCTGCGACAGCACATCAAAACATACTTCAAAGTTCTATGCCAAAGAAATTGCCTTTACCTATACTGAGAATGGTGCAGTGTGTGATTCACATGCTTTTGCCACGTGTATTTTCTAAGTTCGTCACTTCATAGCCTGTGGCATGTTTAGAAGCATCACAGAATAGAGTTTCCTGGCATTAGAATTTATGAAAGATTATAGATTTTAAAGGATGATGTAGGTCTACTCAGAAATGTCCACTCACATCGCTAAGAAAAACCAAATGTTTATTAAAAGTGTGAACTGTTACAAGCAGAACATTGCAGAAAAGAAATCTTGTACTTATCTCTAGTGGGGACCAGCTGACACCTTCTGTAAAGGACCAGACTGGAAATCGCTTTGTCTGGGAGAGCCAACCCCGGCGCTGGAACTACGCAAGTCTGCCTTTGCACAAAGCCGCAGAGACGCGCGAGTCAGGAGTGTGGCTCTGCCCCCATAAAACCTCGTTCATGGACGCTGGAATTCCAGCTTTGCGGAATTTTCACACGTCAAGGAGTGTGATGCTTCTTTTGATTGTATTCATTTATTTTAAAATGTGGAACCATTCTTAGCTCACGGAAAATACAAAACCCACACAAAATCAGCTGGGTTGGACCAAAGGCCTATGTTCACCAGCCATTGTTCTAGAGGATTATATAACATGGTCAGATTCTACATAATATTCCTTTTTCACATTTTCATGAGAAAAAATATCAATTTATAAATAAATCATTTTAGGTGGTGCGGGCCCATGGCACCCCATAGTCTGGCACTCACGTCACCGGTCACCATCAGCGCCCCCTCCCAGTGGGGCCCTGGTGGGATGGCCACCTGAAAGGCAGGCCTCCATCTCGGCTGGCAGCGCTCACCTCCAACTCCGAAAGCCTTTTGCATGGTCTCAGTTAATACTGGAAACTATTGAGAAAGCTTTGCTGAAATGTGTTGAGTTTCCAGAACAATTTAATAACTGGAGTATTAACTAGAAGTAGGAAGATCAAACATTAGACAGAAAATATAAAATGAATTAGATTAAAATTTAATTGTGTGGAGCAAAGTTCAATATTTTATGAAATGAACTGAAAATGCAATGAACAGTCAGGTCTTTTCAGACTATACGTTTGTGCTTGTGAGTTCTGTCTCTCTGTGAGTGTGAGTTCATGCCTATGCATGTGTGAGTTCATGTCTGTGCATGTGCATTCATGTCTGTGAGTGTGAGCTCATATCCATCTGAGTTCATATCTGTGAGTGTGCATTCATGCCTGTGTGAGCTCATGTCTGTGTGAGTTCATATCTATGAGTGTGCATTCATGCCTGTAGGAACGCATGTCTGTGTGTGTGAGTTCATGTCTATGTGTGAGTGTGCATTCATGTCTATGTGAGTGTGAGCTCATATCCATCTGTGTGAGTTCATATCTGTGAGTGTGCATTCATGCCTGTGTGAGCTCATGTCTGTGTGTGAGTTCATATCTGAGTGTGCATTCATGCCTGTAGGAACACGTCTGTGTGTGTGAGTTCATGTCTATGTGTGAGTGTGCATTCATGTCTATGTGAGTGTGAGTTCATATCCATCTGTGTGAGTTCATATCTGTGAGTGTGCATTCATGCCTGTAGGAACGCATGTCTGTGTGTGTGAGTTCATGTCTATGTGTGAGTGTGCATTCATGTCTATGTGAGTGTGAGTTCATATCCATCTGTGTGAGTTCGTATCTGTGAGTGTGCATTCATGCCTGTAGGAACACATGTCTGTGTGTGTGAGTTCATGTCTATGTGTGAGTGTGCATTCATGTCTATGTGAGTGTGAGTTCATATCCATCTGTGTGAGTTCATATCTGTGAGTGTGCATTCATGCCTGTGTGAGCTCATGTCTGTGTGTGAGTTCATATCTGTGAGTGTGCATTCATGCCTGTGTGAACGCATGTCTGTGTGTGAGTTCATGTCTATGAGTGTGCATTCATGTCTATGTGAGTGTGAGTTCATATCCATCTGTGTGAGTTCATATCTGTGAGTGTGCATTCATGCCTGTGTGAGCTCATGTCCATCTGTGAGTGTGAGTTCATATCTGTGAGTGTGCATTCATGCCTGTGTGAGCTCATGTCTGTGTGAGTTCATATCTATGAGTGTGCATTCATGCCTGTAGGAACGCATGTCTGTGTGTGTGAGTTCATGTCTATGTGAGTGTGCATTCATGTCTATGTGAGTGTGAGTTCATATCCATCTGTGTGAGTTCATATCTGTGAGTGTGCATTCATGCCTGTGTGAACGCATGTCTGTGTGTGAGTTCATGTCTATGTGTGCATTCATGTCTATGTGAGTGTGAGCTCATGTCCATCTGTGTGAGTTCATATCTGTGAGTGTGCATTCATGCCTGTGTGAATGCATGTCTGTGTGTGTGAGTTCATGTCTATGTGTGAGTGTGCATTCATGTCTATGTGAGTGTGAGCTCATGTCCATCTGTGTGAGTTCATATCTGTGAGTGTGCACTCATGCTTGTGTGAACGCATGTCTGTGTGTGTGAGTTCATGTCTATGTGTGTGTGCATTCATGTCTATGTGAGTGTGAGCTCATATCCATCTGTGAGTTCATATCTGTGAGTGTGCATTCATGCCTGTGTGAGCTCATGTTTGTGTGTGAGTTCATATCTATGAGTGTGCATTCATGCCTGTAGGAACGCATGTCTGTGTGTGTGAGTTCATGTCTATGTGTGAGTGTGCATTCATGTCTATGTGAGTGTGAGCTCATATCCATCTGTGTGAGTTCATATCTGTGAGTGTGCATTCATGCCTGTGTGAGCTCATGTCTGTGTGAGTTCATATCTATGAGTGTGCATTCATGCCTGTAGGAACGCATGTCTGTGTGTGTGAGTTCATGTCTATGTGTGAGTGTGCATTCATGTCTATGTGAGTGTGAGCTCATATCCATCTGTGTGAGTTCATATCTGTGAGTGTGCATTCATGCCTGTGTGAGCTCATGTCTGTGTGTGAGTTCATATCTATGAGTGTGCATTCATGCCTGTAGGAACGCATGTCTGTGTGTGTGGGTTCATGTCTATGTGAGTGTGAGTTCATATCCATCTGTGTGAGTTCATATCTGTGAGTGTGCATTCATGCCTGTGTGAGCTCATGTCTGTGTGTGTGAGTTCATGTCTATGTGTGAGTGTGCATTCATGTCTGTGAGTGTGAGCTCATATCCATCTGTGTGAGTTCATATCTGTGAGTGTGCATTCATGCCTGTGTGAGCTCATGTCTGTGTGTGAGTTCATATCTGTGTGTGCATTCATGCCTGTGTGAACGCATGTCTGTGTGTGTGAGTTCATGTCTATGTGTGAGTGTGCATTCATGTCTATGTGAGTGTGAGCTCATATCCATCTGTGTGAGTTCATATCTGTGACTGTGCATTCATGCCTTATGAACGCATGTCTGTGTTCATGTCTATGTGTGAGTGCGCATTCATGTCTATGTGAGTGTGAGTTCATATCTGTGTGAGTTCATATCTGTGAGTGTGCATTCATGCCTGTGTGAGCTCATGTCTGTGTGTGAGTTCATATCTGTGAGTGTGCATTCATGCCTGTGTGAGCTCATGTCTGTGTGTGAGTTCATATCTGTGAGTGTGCATTCATGCCTGTGTGAGCTCATGTCTGTGTGTGAGTTCATATCTGTGAGTGTGCATTCATGCCTGTGTGAACGCATGTCTGTGTGTGTGTGAGTTCAGTTCTGTGCATGTGCATTCATGTCTATGTGAGTGTGAGCTCATGTCCATCTGTACGTTTCAATTCGTGTGTCTGTCCATACGTGTGGCTTTTTCCAGGTTATATCTCATCAACTTGTTCCATGGTTGAAAGTGTGATTTGAAAGCAGAACAAATGTGTCATGCAATTTTTTTTTCTAAATAAACAGGAAAATGCATAAAAGAAAACAGAGGGCAGGCTGGCACCAGCAACTAGGTGACGTGGAGGGACACCTTGTCCTTACGAGGAAAATCAAAGCCGGCTCCAGCCGGGTGTCCTGCTCTCTGCTGGGGCTGAGCTGTGCAGCTCCCTGGCTCCGTGGTGCTTCCTGGGGTGGGTTGGAGCTGCTGGCCTCTCTGTTTCTACCGTCTCACCCTCTCAGAGCTTCCGGGCTCTTTTCTTTGAAATAATATGGGTAATTATCAGAAATAATTCTCACAGGCTGCACTCCTCAACACATTGTTCACATGGCAGCGTTCCACGGGCACCCAGCACCACCGCGTTGGTCATTGTAACGGGATGGGCTGCACCCCGCGTTGGTCAACGGCACGGGATGGGCTGCACCCCGCGTTGGTCAACGGCACGGGATGGGCTGCACCCCGCGTTGGTCAACGGCACGGGATGGGCTGCACCACCGCGTTGGTCATTGTAATGGGATGGGCTGCACCCCGCGTTGGTCGTCGGCAATTTTTGGATGCACTGTAAATGAAATTATTTTCTTAATTTTCTTTTCAAATTGTTCATTGTTAGTGTATAGAAATACAACTAATGTTTGTGCATTGACTTTATATCATGCTACTACACTGAATTCATTAGTTCTAACATTTTTGTGAAATGTTTAAGGTTTTCTACATATAAGATCATATCATCCATGATTTTTCTTTTTCCTAATTTGGATGCTTTTTTTTCCCTAATTGGTCTTTGTAGGATTCCAGTACTTTTTGAATAGAAGTGGTAAAAACAGGTATCCTTGCCTTTTTCCTAATCTTAGAGGACGAAGTTTCAGTCTTTCATCATTAAGTATGCTGTTTGCTGTGGGTTTTCATACATGACTTTCATTATGCTGAGGGAATTTCCTTCTATTCCTAGTTTGTTAAATATTTTTATTATGAAAGGGTGTTGGATTTTGTCTAATGGTTTTTCTGCATCAGTTGAGATGATCATGTAAGGTATTTTTTTCATTCTGTTAATGTGGTATATTGCATTGATCAGTTTTCATGTTGAATCATCCTTACATTCCAGCAATAAATTCCACTTCATCATGTTGCATAATCCTTATAATAATCCTGAATTTGGTTTGTTCATATGTTGTTGAGAATTTTTCATAGATATTCACAAGAAATATTGGTCTGTAGTTTTCTTTTCTTGGAGTCTCTTTCTTGCTTTTGTGTCAGGACAGTGCTAGCCTCATGCAATGAGTCAGGCAGAGTCCCCTCCTCTTCAATTTTTTGAAAACGTTTGAGAAGAAGTGATGTTAGTTTTTTAAGTGTTTGGTAGAACTCACCAGTAAAGCCATCAGGTCCAAGGCTTTTCTTTGTCTGAAGTCAATCTTCTTGCTAGTTTTAGATCTATTCAAATGTTCTATTTCTTCATGAGTCAGTCTTGGCAGATTTTGCATTTCTAGGAATTTGTTGATTTCATCTATCTTCAATTTATTGTCATACAATTGTTCATAGTACTCACTTATAACCTTTTTATATTTCTGTGGAATTGGCAGTAAAAATGTCCCCACTTATATTCTGACTTTTGAGTCATCTCTTTTTTTTTTTTGTCAATCTAGCTAAAAATTTGTCTATTTTGTTGAACTTTTTGAAGAACCAATAATTGGTTTCAGTGATTTTCTCAATCGTTTTTCTATTCTCTATTTCATTGATCTCTGCTCCAGTCTTCATTATGTTACTCCTTCTGCTAGCTTTATTCCTTCTGCTAGCTAGTTTGTTATTCTTCTTCTAGTTCCTTAAGTTGCAACGTTAAAGTTGTTGATTTGAGATGTTTCCTTTTTACTGTAAGAATTTATAGCTACAAATTTCCCCTTTATCACTGCTTTGGCTGCAGTCCATAAGTTTTGCTATGTTGTGTTTTTCATTGTCATTCATCTCTAAGTATTTTCTAATTTTCTTTGAGATCTTATCTTTGATGCATTGGATGTTTAAGAGTATGTTGTTTGATTTTCACAAATTTTTTAATTTTTCAGTTTTTCTTTGGTAATTGATTTCCAACTCCACTGTGTTGTGATCAAAGAAGATACTCTGTATGATATCCATCTTTTTAAACCTATTGAGACTTAATTTGTGGCCTAACATGTGGTCTATTCTGGAAAATGTTCCACCTGCACTTGAGAAGAATGTGTATTCCAATGTTGTTAAGTAGACTGCTCTGTTTATGTCTCATAGGTCCATTTGGTTTATTGTGTTGGCCAAGTCCTCTATTTCTTTATTTATTTTCTGCCTGGCTCTTCTATGCATTACTGACAGTGGAGTAGCGAAGTTTCCAATACCCCACTAGTATAGTACAGCCATCTATTTCTTCTTTCAATTTTGTCCATTTTTGCTTCATGTATTAGGATAATCCATTATTAGGTCCATAAATGTTTGTAATTGTTATACATTCCTGTTGTATTTTCATTTTCAACCCTTTCAGTTATTGATGTCACAAAATACATATTTATACAATGTGTGCCAAAAAATGTAAACTAAGAATTATTTTTATAATACATAATATCTCTTACATTATGTAGAAAATAAAATGTAGAGTGATAAGCCAAAGTTGCAATAATACTAGCTTTTAGGCAAGAACTTTTAATGTATTAATTGTTTAAATTATATATAAAACAAAAATGGAATTACAAACCATTTTTACAATGATACTAGTTTTTATAATTACCCATGTATTTATCTTTATTGAGATCTCCATTTGTTTATATGACTTCAAGTTACTCTCCAGTGTTCTCTTCTTTCAACTTCCATGACTCCCATTAGCGTTTTTTGTAGGACAGTTCTAGTGGTAAGGAACTCCCTCAGCTTTACCTGGGAATGTTGTATTTCTCCCTCACTTTTGAAGGACAGTTTTACCGACATAAGATTCTTGGTTGATACGTTTTTGGTGTTTTTTTAAATTTTTCTTTTAGCACTTAATCAGTCCACTACCTTCTGGCCTCCAAAGTTATAAGAAGAAATCTGCTGATAATCTAATTAAAAATTTTTTGTATGTGATGAATTGCTTCTCTCTTGCTGCTTTTAAAATTCTCTCTTTGGTTTTTAAAAGCTTGAATATATTGTGTCTTTTCGGGTCTGTTTATGTCCATCCTAATTAGAGCTCATTGAGTTTCTTGAATGTTTATGTTTGTGTCTTTCATCAAACATGGGATATTTTCAGCTATTATTTCTTCAAATAATCTCTCTTTCCCTTTCTCTCTCTCTTCTCTTTCTGAACTCCCACAAAGCTTATGGTGGTTCACTTGATAACATGCTACACATTCCTTAGGCTCTATTCACTTTTCTTTGGTATCTTTTCTTTCTTTACCTCAAACTCAATAATTTCAATTGTCCTATCTTCATTTCGATTGACCTTCACTGACTCTTTCTTCTACCTGCTCAAATTTGCTTTTGAATCTCTCTCTCTCTCTCTGGTGAACTTTTTATTTCAGTTGTTGTACTTTTCACCTCCAGAATTTCTTTTTTTCTTAGGTTTCCTAACTCTATTGATATTTCCATTTTATTTACTCATTTTGTTCTTGACTTTCTCTATATCTTCCTTTAGTTCTTTGAGCATCTTTAAGACAGCTATTTTAAAGTCCTTATCTAGTAGGTCCACCATCCGGTCTTTCTCTTGAACAGTTGGTTTATTTTTTGCCTTTGAATGGGTTATACTTTCCTGTTTCTTTGTATGTCATAATTTTTTTGTTAAAAGCTGGGCATTTGAATTTAATGATGTGGTAACTGGAAATCAGATTATCCCCTTTCCCCAGGGTTTGCTGTTGTTGGTACTGTTTTTGTTTTTTATTGTTTTAGGTTGCTTCCACACCAACGATCAGCCTGAAGTCTCAACTTAAGGTCTTCTCAGCTCTTTTCTGAGCCTGTGCCTTTCCCTGGGCACTCACACTTTCTAATTTTCTTCATATACACAGTTACTTTTGAATGTCTTAGTTTTTAATGTCTGAGTTCCAAAAGGAGAAAACGAGAAAAATAAAGGTGAGGGGAAAGATGCCAGCTCTTTAAATCCCCTGGAAGTCAGTATTTTGAAGCAGAAGTGACTTCCAAGGGATTTAAAGGAGGGGGAGGGGCTTGCGTCAATTGGGGCAGGTGCAACAATGGCCCCTGCCTCTTTGTCTGTCTCTATAATTAGAAGCAGCAATCTTCAATCCAGGCACAGATCCCAGATATTTGGAGGCCAGGGTCCCTTTGCCCACCTGGCTGCTGTAAGCTGTGTGCAGGCTGCTTCAGAAACATGTTCACGACTGCTGGCCATGGGGCTGGAGATAAGGGATATGTAGTGTCTATTGTGCCAAGAGCTGAAATGGACTGAAATTGACCTCAATTTACCATCCTACCATCCTTCCCCTGGAAGTTACATGCCTTCAATAGACTTTAGAGTCCCAAATAGTTACATCAGCCAGATCTTGCCAGTGCAACCGCAGTCTAAAGGGAGATGGACTCCTATTGCTTCCTACTCTGTCATCTCCCCAGAATCCTCCTTCTATGTTATTAATATTTGTTTCATTTGGCAACTTCTTTTTCAAAAATTATTTTAGCCATTTGTGTTAGTTTAGAAAAATATTTTCAACTCTTCTTCGGACCTAATTTTTTGTTGTTCTACTCATTTTTATCTTCATTACAAGTATTGTTACACTGGAAATTTTTCATATTTCATTTTGCCACAGAATAATGTTTGTGAAAAGGTTCATAGCCAGCACACTTCAGCAGCACTCATTGATATGGCTTGGTTGTGTCCCCACCCAAATCTCATCTTGATTTGTATTTCCCATAATCTCAACATGTCGTGGGAGGAACCTGGTGGGAGGTAATTGAATCACGGGGGCAGTTTCCCTCATACTATTCTGGTGACAGTGTGTAAACGCTCAGGAGATCTGATGGTCTTGTAAGAGGCTTCCCCGTTCACTCAGTTCTCATCCTTCTCCTTCCTGCCACCATGTGAAGAATAATGTGTTTACTTCCCCTTCCACCATGATTGTAAGTTTCCTGAAGCCTCCCCAGTCCTGTGGCACTGTGAGTCAATTAAACCTTTTTCCTTTATCAGTTACCAAGTCGTGGGTATTTCCTTATTAGCAGTGTGAGAATGGACTATACATTCAACAATTATGTTGAATTCATTCAAAACTGTTAGGCTAGTTATAGAGCTCTTGAGAACAGTGCTCTATAGATGCCCCCACTGCTTGCTTTACTCTTTTTCTCAATATTTTATAGAGATTGCTCCATTCTTTCCCTAGACATGTGGAGAAGTCCAAGACAGGTGTGCTATTTTTTCCTTTGTAGCTTTCCTGTTTTTTTCTGCCTGGAGGTTTTTGGATTCTACCTTTATAATCAAATTTTTTCACATGACCAGATCTGGCCATTGGCTTCACCTTGTTGTATAAAATGAGCTGATTCAATCTGAAGGTGAGTATTGTATTCAGAAAACTAAAATTAAATTATGTCTTCCATTATAGCTTTTCTTTCCAATGAGCAAGGATAAAAATTTATTTTATTTGTATGAAGTTTATTTTTTCTAGAAGAAACTATTAGATTGTCCCACTCATCTCTAACTTGATTTTCTGTAGAATGTAACCTTTTTTATTGCTTCTAAGATTGTCTTAAATTTTGCAATTATCACTTTGTTTAATTAATATTTTAATGGATTCCCATACCTACTCTTTTAAAGCTTCCTCCAAGATATCTCCATTCTCTTTTCTCCTTATCCCATCTTGACTCTCTGAATTTAGAGTCCTGAGTATTGAGAATATGAAGAGAATACTTCATAAATCTTTTCATTTCCTACAGTAAAGTCCTTATTAACATATAATAGTAAAACCAACAGCAACCATGAGGAAGGCTGATAGTGTGTGTCTGTTAAGCCCACCAACTCCACGTGGAGCATGGTTTGAGCCACTCCTCCCACATTAACCATTTATTCCCCATACAGCCCCATGTGAAGTCAGGGGCATCCTCGTTACCAAGGTCGCACGCATAGCAAAGCCAGAGCCTGCCCCGTCCCACTCCTTTGCATCTCGTGTGCACGTTCTCCATCCTTTCAGTTACGGAATCTTCCCAGAGGCCCCATATTTATTCCTGTTTACCCTGCTTGAAAAAGAAGAGGTTTAAGTATGAACAGAGTAGTGGACTCTCCCGGGCTCCACTTTGACATCTACGGGATCCTTGCTAGAACCTTCTCCTCAGACCATGGCCACAGTGGCGAGGGCAGTCTGCAGTTTTTATCTTACCAGAAACGCTGGACAAAATCGCAGCACAAGTTCCCACAGCTTTGAAATGCTGATTTCACAGGCAAGAAGGATGGCAGGCCAGGTTCAGGACTGATGCAGAGGCCACAGGACCAAAGGATCGGAGAAGAGAAATGGATTAATGAGGACTTGAAAGGACTGGTAAAATGTAGAGAGACTGTGAGAAGAAGTGACTAAGAGTGGGAAAAATGCTTTCTGGCTCATAAAGAAATCTGACCTGGGGAAAATTTGGAGATCAGTTTTAGACATGCTGGGTGAAGTGAGACAGACCTCTGATATCTTACAAGGAAGGGTCAGGTTGTCATCCAGGTCAGTGTGGCCGAGACTGGCCAGGTAGTGGTGAAATCCTCACAGCTACCCTGAGCAAAAAAGGCTGGGTTACAACACTTAAGTGGAAAAGGCCCGAATCAAAGAATGCCACTGAATTTTGAACATAATGGCAGGACATCACTTTTTTATGCTACATGTTATAGATTAAAATTAAGCTATTGGCCTAGTGAATTTTAAAAATAATTTCTAAAAAACATGGCACAGATCTAGGAATCAGGAAAATTGATTTTGATTCCTGGAAGAGCTGAAATTGTTTTATATTTCACTTGTACTGCTTTACATTCACCCTGGGCAAAATATTCATAAGTGATTTCCCTTTGCTGTAAAAACATTGGATAATGGTAGCCTCTTTGGACAGAAATGGAGGGAATTTCTCTCTAGGCTTCACTTCAAAAAACTAATTTTCACTTAATACAAAGATGGAACTACTCTTTTCTTCTCTAACCTCTCCATGCTGCACACCAGCAGATGACCCACCTAACACAGCTCTGAGCACACGGCTCCCAGCACCTCCAACAAAAAGCCCCACCGAGATTCACACCCAAAGCACCAGGCCCTGACAAGGTTACTCGCTGTAACCTCCGGCTCCCACATCATCCCACCAGCTGGAGAAAAACTGCCATCAACATCTTTGTATCCGTAGTAACTAGACCAAGGCCTCAAGCTGCTGGGCTTCAAATAGATGCTCAGTGGGGATCAACTGCTCTTACAGAACATCCACTGATTTCTAAGGGCAGTTCTACAAACAGATTTTACCTAAATTAGTAACTATGGTTTTGATATAAAATACTCATTCTCATGTCTCAGTTAATCACCTACAATGAGCATAACCGTCATTTCAATAATCAAGAGTGTAGAATAATTATTTTTCATCAAAATCTCAGTAAAATATTGACCTACAATGAGGTATAAATTTAAATTCATATTGAAATGTCTAGATACAGAAGCAGCTCAACTCTGGAGCCAGTGCCTCAACTTCTAGTGCAGAACATCAGTTCCTTGACACTAACACAGCTGGTGAGGAGCCACGCGCCTTCCTAAACACTCCTCTTCCTCCCTAACACCCCATGTGTTGGCCCCTTTCCTAGAGTCCAGCCCCCTCAACCCCGACTGCCAGGTGAACTCCTACTCAAGCTTCAAGGCCCAGTTCAAGCCTGCCCTCCGTACTGTGATTTTTCTCTATTGTAATAATTACCCTGTCCTATTAGGAGCATTTGCTTCTGTGTCTCCCAGATGAGCCATATGCCCTAGCAGGGAAGAGCTTCAGCTTACCTTTCCCAGTTCCTCAGCTCAGACCCAGGCACCTAACAGATCATCAGTAAACATTTGCAGCCGAAAGAAAGGACAAGAGGAAGGAAGGCAGGAAGGTGGGAAGGCTAGAACATGGGAAGGAAGGAAGGCAGGAAAGAAGGAAGGCAATAAGGCAGGAAAGGAGGAAGACAGGAAGGCAGGAAGGAAGGAAGGGAGGAAGGAAGGAAGGAAAAAGGCTACTTTTGTAACATAAAGACACCACCTGGATCCCAGGGATAACATGGATTTCCAGTCATCTCCACAGCTGACTGTCCACTGGGGGCCCTGCTGGCCACACGTGGCTGCTGAGCATGGACACGTGGCTGCTCCACACTGAGGCCTGTCCTTAGGCATTCATTGCACCTCAGAGTTCAAAGAATCAGCAGAAAGAAGTTGCAAACTATCTCACTAATAGCTTCTATATTGATCATATGGTACAGCAACCATATTTTGGGTTAAATAAAATACTCTATTAAAATTATTTTTTACCTGCCTTTTTTTACTTTCTTCTCATTGCTACTAGAAATTTTTAAATGACAGCTGTGGCTGTGTGTGTGGCTGCCATTGTGTTTCTGGTGCACAGAGCTGTCCGGAAGCCTCTGTGTGATGAGCTACAGCCCCAGGAGCCTTGGGGGCAGGAAGGGTTTGTATTTGCTGCTCCTTCTCCCCTTTTTCTTCTTTAAAGTTGTGTTTTTTATTTCCATTTCCCTGAGGATTAGCATCTTTTCAGGTACCCGTTGGCCAATTGTATGTCTTCTTTGAAGAAACAACTATCCTCAAGTCTTTCTGCCATTTTTAATCAGATTGCTTGGGTTTGTTTTTGTTGTTGTTGTTGCTATTGTTGAGTTGTAGGAGTTCCTTGTGTATTTGGAATATTAACCCCTGGTCAGATGTATAGTGTATTAGTCCATTTTCATGCTGCTGATAAAGACATACTCGAGACAGGGCATTTACAAAAGAAAGAGGTTTATTGGACTTACAGTTCCACATGGCTGGGGAGGCCTCACAATCATGGTGGAAGGTGAAAGGCACATCTCACATGGCAGCAGACAAGAGAAGAGAGCTTGTGCAGGGAAACTCCCATTTTTATAAAACCATCAGATCTCATGAGACTCATTCACTATCACAAGAATAGCACAGAAAGACCCACCCCCATGATTCAATTACCTCCCAACAGATCCCTCCCACAACAGGTGGGAATTCAAGATGAGATTTGGGTGGGGACACAGCCAAACCATATCACATGGTTTGCAGACACTTTCTCCAAGTCCATAGGTCACCTTTTCACTCTGCTCGTTGCCTCCTTTGCTGCACAGAGGCTTTTGGGTTTGATGCAATCCTGCTTGTCTCTTTTTGCTTTCACTGCCTGTGCTTTTAGGACTTATCCAAGAAGTCACTACCAAGACCAATGCAACAGAGTTTTTCTCCTGTTTTCTTCTAGAAGTTTTATACTTTCAGGTCTTATGCTACGCCTTTAATCCATTTTGAGTTTATTTTTGTGTATGGTGTAAGATAAGCCTCACACCTACTAAGATGGCCATTATCAAGAAACAGAAGGTAGCAAGTGTTGGTGAGGAGGAGGAGATATTGAAGCCACTGTGCACTGTTGGCAGGAACGTAAAATGGTGCACCCGCTATGGAATGTAAAATGGTGCACCTGCTGTGGAATGTAAAATGGTTCACCCATTATGGAATGTAAAATGGTTCACCCGCTATGGAATGTAAAATTGTTCACCCGCTATGGAATGTAAAATTGTTCACCCGCTATGAAATGTAAAATGGTTCACCCATTATGGAATGTAAAATGGTTCACTCACTATGCAATATAAAATGGTGCACCCGCTATGGAATATAAAATGGTTCACCTGCTATGGAATGTAAAATGGTTCACCCGCTATGGAATGTAAAATGGTTCACCCGCTATGGAATGTAAAATAGTTCACCCGCTATGAAATGTAAAATGGTTCACCCATTATGGAATGTAAAATGGTTCACCCGCTATGGAATGTAAAATGGTTCACCCGCTATGGAATGTAAAATGGTTCACCCGCTATGGAATGTAAAATGGTTCACCCACTATGGAATGTAAAATGGTTCACCCGCTATGGAATGTAAAATGGTTCACCCGCTATGGAATGTAAAATTGTTCACCCGCTATGGAATGTAAAATGGTTCACTTGCTATGGAATGTAAAATGGTGCACCCACTATGGAATGTAAAATGGTTCACCCGCTATAGAATGTAAAATTGTTCACCCGCTATGGAATGTAAAATGGTTCACCCACTATGGAATGTAAAATGGTTCACCCACTATGGAATGTAAAATGGTTCACCCACTATGGAATGTAAAATTGTTCACCCGCTATGGAATGTAAAATGGTTCACTTGCTATGGAATGTAAAATGGTGCACCCACTATGAAATGTAAAATGGTTCACCCACTATGGAATGTAAAATTGTTCACCTGCTATGGAATGTAAAATGGTGCACCCACTATGCAATATAAAATGGTGCACCTGCTGTGGAATGTAAAATGGTTCACCCACTATGGAAAACAGCATGGAGGTTCCTCAAAGCCTTAAAAACAGAACTGCCATATGCTCCAGCAATCCCACTTCTAAGTATTCATCAGAAAAAAAAATGAAAACAGGATCTCCAAGAAGTATCTACACTGTGTTCATTGCAGCATTATATGCAATGGCCAAGAGGTGGAGGCAATCTAAATGGCCACTGGGAAGTGAATGGATAAAGAAAGTGTATACACAAATAATGGAATATCATTCCACCTTTTAAAAGGGGCACCCTGTCACATGCTACAATACAGATTAACCTTGAGGACATTATACTAAGTGAAATAAGCCAGTCACAAAATGACAAATACTGTATGAGTCTACCTATATGAGGTCTCTAAAACAGTCAAACTTATAGACACAGAGACTAGAATAGTGGTTGCCAGGGGTTGGGGGAGGAACGTGGAGAGTTTCAGCCACGTGAGATGGAAGAGCCCTGGAGGCGTGCTGTACAGCCCCATGTATGTAATTAGCAATACTATGCCATGTTGCAAACATCTAGTATGAGGGCAACTTCATGTTATGTGTTTCTCTTACCACAATAAAAATTAAAAATTTAAAAATTTAAAATTAGTGGTTAATGAAGATGACAGAGAGAAAGGGTTATTAGAAATCTTTCATAAGGGGATATTTTAGGAAGATCCTTCTAAGTGCTCAGCTCACCTTACAAAAAAAAGAGCAGGTTCCAGAAGAGTGTTTGGTGGAACCACATTTTCTGCTCTCTCAGAGGCCTTGGTGGCTGCCAATGCCCCCACCCAGTGGCCATCATAAAGGCCTCCTCTCTCCAGTATTTTTGCACCCTTTTACATTTTTGGTGTCTCCTTCCTCTTAGAATCAGCCCTTTCTCTGGCTCCTGTGACAGTCCCCAGTCCTGTTCGCTGCTGTCTTCTATTCCCCATCCTTTCCTCCTTGGACTTCCTCAATGCACTGTCTTGGAAATTCCTGTTTCAGAGGGTCTTCTTTTTCTACTGATGGCTTGTATTCACGTTTTTCACCGTGTAAAGGGCACTGGACTATGCAATGGAAGAATACAAATGAGAATTATACATCCTTCCCCTCCAGTGTCCATACACTAGAAGGAATGACTAACTCACAATGCAAGTCCAGGTAGCACAAAGCTGGGAGAGAGACAAAGGACAAAGCAAAACGCACTTAGTTCTGAGGCATCTCAGAGGAGGCGTGGCTTGAAGAGGGCCTGGCTTCCTCTGATCTCAGCAACTTCCTCTAGCCTAGTCTTTCTGTCTCAAAAATCTCCACCTGTTATGTGCCAAGGCGAGTCAAGTGTTAAGTCAAAGGCATGAATCGGACAATAAATTCAAATACTCCCAGCCTGTGCCTATAGCCCTGGTTGGTCTCTCACACACTGGCCACATTCCTCCAGCCCCTTCCTGGATGACGCAGAGCCTGTCCTCAGCCAGTATTCCCAAAGGTGAATGCCTTCTCTTGATAAAGGTCTTTCTCTTGAAAGCATTGTTCCTTCCAACTTCAAGACCACTTAGAAACGACATCCCCCTCTCCCTCCAGGGAACTCCCTCTCCACACATCCTCTCTTTTCACTTCAGGCCCCACTGCCTCCCCCTGGCTGAGCCCTTTCTTGCCTCTCAGCAGAAGTACTCATCCCTTCCTTGCCAGGAGTCCACTCCAGGGTTGCCAGCTCTGCCTCCTCCCACATGCGCTTCCCATCCCACCACCACCAGGCAGACCCCTCCAGCTTTTCTCCTCTGCCCTGGAAAAGCATTTTGAGTCATGCCTCAAAATGGAAGGCATAAAAGCTTACACTATGTAAATTTCCCCTTTTTATTTGTTTCGTACAATGTTAGAATCTAAGAGTCCATAGAGACCACCAAGAACATCTTGTTTAAGATGCTTTTTCCTGGGGGCTGTTGAGCCAGGCCACACAATGTTTCCCCTGCACACTTGCCTACTGCATGTTTTCATTTCTGGGCCTTTATCATCACCAAACTCTGAGCTCCATGAGAACAGGATGGGATCTACCTGGATCACAGGTGCCTAGCACAGTGCCTGGCACACCAAGAGTCCTGAATCAACATTTATCAAAGGGAACAAGGAAGAAAGGAACAAAGAAGGAAGAAAGACAGGAAGGAAGGAAAAGAAGAACACAACCTGCCATTTCAAGCTGTGCCCATCCCATTCCAAGCAGTTGCTGTTCCCACACCCAGCAAGCACAGGGTGCAGCAAACATAACTTGAATCCCATTCCTCCAAGAAGGAAGAATCCTTTTCTAGCCCACTCTTCAAATCCGGAACAGCAGTTACTCTGCATGAGGAATTAATGGCCTGAAAATGTCTACTATCAAAGGAAAGCTATGTTGTGCTAAAGAATGGTGGAAATAACCATCATAGCTTTCCAAAGTGCCTCTAACCAGTGGGCTTCCTCCCCCATCATCACCCACTGGGGAAGAAGTGTTAAATAACCAATAGGCTTCCTCCCCCACCATCACCCACTGGTGAAGAAGTGCTAAATAACCAGTGGGCTTCCTCCCCCACCATCACCCACTGGTGAAGAAGTGTTAAATAACCAGTGGGCTTCCTCCCCCATCATCACCCACTGGGGAAGAAGTGTTAAATAACCAATAGGCTTCCTCCCCCACCATCACCCACTGGTGAAGAAGTGCTAAATAACCAGTGGGCTTCCTCCCCCACCATCACCCACTGGTGAAGAAGTGTTAAATAACCAGTGGGCTTCCTCCCCCATCATCACCCACTGAAGAGAAAGTGCTAACTAACCAGTCGGCTTTCTCTCCTATCATCACCCACAGTGGAAGAAGTGCTAACTAACCAGTGGGCTTATGCCATCCTCACCCATTGGAGAGGAAGTGCTAACTGACCAGACAGCTAACTCCATAATCATTACCAGCTAAGGAGAAAGTGCTAACTAACCGGTGAGCTTACTCTCCCATCATCACCCACTGAAGGGGAAGTGCTAACTAACTACTGGACTTACTCTTTCATCGTCACACACTGGGTAGAAAGTGCTAACTAACCAGTGAACTTACTCCTTCATGGTCATCCACTGGGGAAGAAGTGCTTACTAAGCAGTGTGCTTACTCCCACATCATCACCCACTGGGGAGAAAGTGCTAATGACTGGGCTTACTCCCTCATCCACATGCACTGGAGAGGAAGGGCTAACTAGCCAGTGGGCTAACTCCATAATCATCACCAACTAAGGAGAAAGTGCTAAATAACCAGTGGGCTTATTCAATCATCATCACCCACTAAAGAGGCAGTGCTAACTAACTGGTGGGCTAACTTCATCATCACCTACTGGAGAAGGAGGGCTAACTAGCCAGTGGGTTTACTCCATCATCACCCACTGAGGAGCAAGTGCTAACTAACCAGTTAAAATAATCCCCCATCATCACCCACTGGAAAGGAAGTGCTAACTAACCAGTGGGCTTACTCCATGACCACCATCCACTGGGGAGGAAGTGCTGAATAAACAGGGGGCTTTCTCGCCGGTCATCACCCGGTGAAGAGGAAGTGCTAACTAGTTATTGTGCTTACTCCCCATCGTCACCCACTGGAGGAAGTGCTCACTAGTTATTGGGCTTACTCCCCATCATCACCCACTGGGGGAAGTGCTCACTAGTTATTGGGCTTACTCCCCATCATCACCCACTGGGGGAAGTGCTAACTGGTTATTGGGCTTACTCCCCATCGTCACCCACTGGGGGAAGTGCTAACTGGTTATTGGGCTTACTCCCCATCATCACCCACTGGGGGAATTGCTAACTGGTTATTGGGCTTACTCCCCATCATCACCCACTGGAGGAAGTGCTAACTGGTTATTGGGCTTACTCCCCATCGTCACCCACTGGGGGAAGTGCTAACTGGTTATTGGGCTTACTCCCCATCGTCACCCACTGGAGGAAGTGCTCACTGGTTATTGGTCTTACTCCCCATCGTCACCCACTGGAGGAAGTGCTCACTGCTCACTGGAGGAAGTGCTCACTAGTTATTGGGCTTACTCCCCATCGTCACCCACTGGAGGAAGTGCTCACTAGTTATTGGGCTTACTCCCCATCGTCACCCACTGGAGGAAGTGCTCACTAGTTATTGGGCTTACTCCCCATCGTCACCCACTGGAGGAAGTGCTCACTGCTCACTGGAGGAAGTGCTCACTAGTTATTGGGCTTACTCCCCATCGTCACCCACTGGAGGAAGTGCTCACTAGTTATTGGGCTTACTCCCCATCGTCACCCACTGGAGGAAGTGCTAACTGGTTATTGGGCTTACTCCCCACAATCACCCACTGGAGGAAGTCCTGACACTAAGGGTCCCTTCCAGAGAGCATCAGTGTCATTGCAACAGGGGGACGAAAGCCCGTGAAATCCTGTTTTTGGTCAAGTCCTCATGATTTTATCTTTTAACCCAAAGCACAGTGTTTATTTCTGCTGGGGTTGTTCCCACAAGGAGCTGAAGAACTGAAGCTGAAACTGCCTTTCAGGCTTCCCTGACCACCTTCCTACCCTACCCCAGAGGAAGTTTTCGGGGACCCTCAAGGAGCCACCTGCAGCCCTTCATCATTCTTTCCACTAAGCCTCACGGGCAAGGTCACCCTTCCTGCCTCCCTCCCATGGGCTGACCTGGTGATCCTCCATGGAGAATGCGTAGGAGCCGGATATTGGCACTGCCAGGTGGAAAAGTCCCCTGTCAGGGTGAAAAGTCAGACGGCGTCTGCCTCTCGCTCTTGGAGTGCTCCTGGCCTAACGCAGCAGTTTCGCAGATAAACGTTACAGAAGGTAGAGCGCTCTACAGATATGAAGGAGTGGCCCGTGGTTTCACGTAGAACAAATTACTTCCGGCAGAAAGATCAGGAAAGTTTCGAAATCGCGGAGTTCTCAAGGGATGGGCAGAACGGGCGGGTGAGCAGGGCCAAGCGCCTCCTGGACAGTGACCATCCCGGAGCCTGGGGACGCGCTGGGGGGCAGGAGCTGTCCCACTCGTTCAGGCGAGGGTCTGGGAAGGGACCCCAAGCGGGAGGCCGACGCTGCCTGGGTCCTCCCTTGGGGCGGCCGCCTCCCCATTCACCCCGAGCATCCCGAAACCTGGAAAGGAGCAAAGCTGAAGCGATGGCCACGTGCATGACGGCAGGCAGCCTGCAGATTCGTTGTTAAACTACACTCACGCCGGGTCTAACAGGCGCGCACCTGCCGGCACGCCGCCCGCTGCTGTGACCTGGGCAGCGTCGGGTCTCAGGCCCCCGCCTCTCGCGCTGTGACAGTGAGAAGCCGAGAAAGTCATGTCACGTCCGTCTGAGGAGGCAGCTCCTCAGTGTGGCAGAAAGAAATGCCCACTCTCCGAGCACCAGCCAGGACGTGTGCTTAAGCCAACCTGTTCATTCTTCCACCTGATCCCTTATGTAATGTAACATGCATGTTTCATCCACAAAAATGAGCAGCGAAATCCACCGACCCAGCAACATGTTCCGAGACACGCAGGAGCCTTTTCCACGGAGCCAGCTCCCGGCCTTCCCCTCCAACATCCACCCCGCGCTCGCGTAGCCCGGGCTCCTGCCATTGCGCTGCCAGCTGGGCGGCACCTTTCAGGCGGGGAAAAGCGAATCTTCTGCCGGACTGATCAAGGCACAGCGCTTCTGTCCTGCCCTTTATTTTTGCCCAAATGCATCTTGGTATCACCGTCTGTAATTGTTCCTTCATCTCCCCCGTGGACATGAAGTCGCTACAGCTTTGCAGAAGCAGCATTAGCCTGAGAAGCAGCAAAGAAAAGCAGAGAGGCTTAGCGTCCCTCAGCCACAGATTAATGCCTCTTCAAAGACGCCATCCAGATGCGGCCGGCTCCGCGCCGGCTTCCCCGGCAACAGCTGGGGAGGCGCATGGTGCCCCGCCTTCTGTTCCCCACGTTATGAGCAGGAATAAAAGCCGCCTCCTTAATGGCCTGGGTTTGTGTTGGAGGCATAATTTTCTGTTGACATTACAAAAGGGCAAGCTTCATGTGTTTTCATCACTGACAGAGAGACGAAGGTGAGTTGCTCTCCTATCCACACCTCCTCCTCCTCTCCAGAGCCCACTGCACTCAAGAGCGGGACCCAGGCTCCTCGGGGCGTGTCCTCGGCGGTCCCTCGGCCTCACACAACAGTCAAAAGCAGCTGCTAACTTTCGACCTTACGTGAGGAGTGGCGAAAGCATCCCATTTGCTACCAGGGCAGATTATTTTTGGAGTTAAAATAAAAGAAACACCATTCTCAACTCACCGTTGCCCGTGGATTCCAGTGGGTAGGAATTAAAGCCTCTAAAAAGAGGCTGTGTGATTTCCCGGGTGAAGTGTCAGATTGTAAAGGGATTCAGAACTACTCATTCCAGTTCAGCAGATTAGTAAGAACCAGAATGCATGGCCTCGAACAACCTCCCGGTGCCAGGAGAGTCTCTTTGAAGAACTCTGAGTAACAAAGGCCACCCCACGTTGAACCCCAGTTATGAGCTACAGTCTTATTGCCAAATTAAGTTGAGAATCTGTGATCGTTTGGCTTCAGAAAGAGAAAGCAAAAAACTTTTTTCTCTGTGACCCAGGTGTGATCCTTGGGGAGTGAGTCCTTGGCTGCACTCATAAGGGAACCCTCGGAGGTACCTGTCCAGAGGCAGAAAGCTTCTCCCTGGACTGTCTGGAGTCTCTGGACTGTCTGGAGCGTGCCATGACTGTCTGGAGTGTGCCATGACTGTCTGGAGTGTGCCGTGACTGTCTGGAGTGTGCCATGACTGTCTGGAGGGTGCCGTGACTGTCTGGAGGGTGCCGTGCCCTCCTGAATGGGCACCTTGTTTTTATTTCACAGTTTTCCAGTGAATGACCAGACACAACCGTTACAGGGTCAGCACTTTCATGGAAGGTTACAGAAGCGGACATGTTCCACGCAAAATATTGGACAATATAAGAAACGTATCACTTGGCATTTGCAAAACGATTTCCTAGGACAGTTTGCCTTCCAGGTCATGTAAAGCTTGTGTTCAGAGGTTAGACATAGACATGCCATTGGTACCAGCAGTGGGAGGGAGGGAGGGAGGGAGGGTCAATCCAGTCACTTCCCAAAGGAACCTGGTCGGGGGATGAGTTTGGGCATCAACTTCATGAGGCAAAGAAGCCAGAGAGAGCTCCATGGCAAGGTCTGACAACAAGTCAACTCGTAAACCAGGCTCCAAGCCATTCTCCAAGGCACATCTGGGAAGTGTCACCTTCTCATCTTTACAAAAACCTTGGGAGGCCCCAGATTTCCCCATTACCAAAGACTGCATTTCCTGATGCAAGGAAATCTCGCCACTGATGGCGAGATTTGCCTGGACTCCTCACAAACACCTGCTGGGTGGCGCGGCTGCATTCCTCCTGCCTGTGACTCGGGCTGGCTGCAGGTGGACACGGAGACCACACCCACACCCATGGGAAGGCCCGTCCTGCAGATGAGGGTGGGGAAATAGCTGTGGACAAGGACTGGCTGGTTCTGTTCTTTGAAAAAAATTTAATTTCGTGCATAGCATCTGTTCCATAGAATGAGACCACTTCTCTTGTGAATTTTTTATAATGGTAAATATACGGGATTGAGTTTTAATCACAAACAGGATTATGATGCAGATGTAGTAGAAACTGGGGAGGGGCAAGGTCTTGCGTGAGGCTGTCTCATAACCACAGGGTTTCTGTGGACTTTCAGTGGTGTTTGCTGGGGCATTGGCCCTTATTAACCTTGGCAGTCAGAGCTCATATTCCAAACATTCACTAAAATATTCCACGTGGGCACAAGCGATTTCCAATCAACACTAAGACATGCCCTTGAAGAAGAGGGTTTGAGTGCGGTTCACCGGGCCAGGACAAGTGGACCTTCTTCAGTTAGGAGACACCTGCTGTGCCAGTGAGTGTCCTCAATTCATGGCTCAGACACAGCTCCAGCAGCCTGTCCAGCGGGGAAGAGAGCTGTGAGTGAAAAGAGCCACAGTGCACGGGTAGAAGCGACGTACCAGAGGGGTGGCTTCCTGGAGCCGATCTAGTTCCAAGACAGATGCCAATGGCGGAATCAGAGCTCCATAAGTCAACGTACCTTTGAGAATCTGTCAGGGGCTCTTGGAGATCGTTTGTGAGTATTTTAAAGGATGAGGGAAATACCTGCTATGCAGCATTCTTATTTGTTATTAGCTGGTCAGTTCGTTTTCCCTCATCTGCCTTAAGCTTCTGGTAGGTGATGGGAAGGAGAGCACCCGCGTCTCCCTCGTGTTTTCTCTCTCCATGGGGAGGACGGGAGAGGATGTGTCTGAGAGGGAGCTGCATGCCAGCCGTTCGCAGCAGACTCAAAGGCCCCCATGCTGTGCCCATGTGGGGTGCGAGTGTGAAGGCAGCAGGGGAGCAGTACCCACAGGGAGACGCAGCATCGGTTGTGCCTGGCCACAGGTGCTCCAGGTCACCTGGATGACAAACATCACGTTGGGCTGGGGCTGGTCCTGGTATCCGGGGAAAGATGTTCTCCCTGTCAAGGCAGCTGGGAAGCTGGTCCAGGGAGCCCCACCCTTAGCTGTACAACCTGCCTGCTCTCTGCTGGGGGAAGCAGCATTTCACAGAACATGCTAATGGCACGAGTCCCTCAAAGCCAGGCTGCCTCTTTCATTTAAAGACAATGGTGTGTGACAAAGTCATCCCAGAATATGCTGTCTGGTGCCCTAGTATGACAGTTATTTGAGGAAAGTCATCTTGACAAAAATGCTCCCTAAGAAAGAAACACTTCTCCTCCATCTGATGTGCAAATCGATTCATAGGAATCAATACAGTTTCAGCTCCAGATCAGAGAGGGGGCAATTGGAGAAGCTCAGTAAATGTGCTGTCAGAATCACTGGGGTAATTTGAGCACTGCCACGCCACCATGCTCTCTCTGACCACACCAGAGAGAGAGAAAGAGAGAGAGAGAGAAGGAAAGTCTAAATTAATCTTCAAAGGCAGAGGGAAGGAACCTACCCTGGCCCTCTCCCTTCATCCCATATGTGGTGTGGCTGGGTCCCAGGATGATGGACGGTGACACAGGCCACGGAGCGAGCCGCCACACCTGGAGACAAAGGGGTCACCACGGAGCGGGGGAGAGCCAGGTCTGCATTCTCCCGAACCCCTACTTCCCACCATTTTCTAACGGGTCTCTAAAAAATGTTTTTGAATACTAAAAGGCTATTAGTACAGAGGCAGAAAGCATTGAGGAAAGTGAGAACACAGAGAAACAAACCACGAGTGTAAATGTTAAAGTCATTTCTCGTCCACATTGTATATGAACAAGTTTTCTGTGATGTATTTTGTTCTCTTCAGGAGCCAAAATACATGCCAAGTGTGTCACCTTCTGCTCCAAGTACCCACAATGCAAAGTCGATGTGAGTTCTTTCCTCGATGTCGTCATACATTCCACTAAATTGCTTTCACGCGTAAATCTGGCACCGGAAGCTGGAGACTGAGATTAGAATGAGGAAACGCAGACGGCCTTTCTCTGCAACTAGTGCATTTCATGTGGTCTTCTGAAAATTACTTATCCTTTCTCATCTTGACATATCTACTATTTCGTCACTGAAATTTTTAAAAAAGGAAAAAATCTTCTATGTCTTTCCTCCATGTGACGTTTAAGGACAGATGAGAGTCTGTGGAAACCAGAGCCCTGGGTTCTCACCCTAGATCTTAGGACAGTCCCTGAAGGTCCCTGGGTCTGTTCCCTGTCTGTAAAATGGAATGACCTTGCCTACCTCCTGATAATAAGATGAGAAGATGTGGAACAATGCCTGGAAAACAGCCCGACGCTATAAGAAGTTCACCTAGTGTGCCTGAAAGGAAATATCACCTGCAGAAGACAGGAAGGGGCCATGTCCCAGGAATATCACCTGCAGAAGACACAAAGGGGCCATGTCCCAGGCGAGCTCTCCTCCCTGCTGGGAAGGCTGCGCTCCTGTGAATGTGGGCACTCATGCAGCAGCAGAGACGGGCGGGAGCTGGGGGAGAGTGGCAGAGCTGTGTGCCAATGGCTCTGAGGTAGCAGAACAGTGGGAAGACGACAGTCTGAGAGTCAAGTGTGAATGCCTCCAACCAAAGGAGGTTCACCTGCTTACAGCAAGGAGGACAGAGAAGTGCAGGCCAATGACACGAGCCTCAGGAAAGCAGAAGGTTCTTTCTTCCTGAGGATGAGAAAGGAAATGGCTTGGACATGGCAATGAACAGCAGATAAACTTTTGAGCCCAATTCCCATTTGTGCACCCCAAGTGCAGGAAAAGAAGTCCTTCCCTTGAGAAGCCACAGAAGAGGCTGCAGGGTGAGGGCCAGACCTAGCAAGGTGCCAGGGGGCCGTGCTCACTGGCAGTCACGGTGTAGACACGCCCAATTCTGTGACTTCAGCGGCACAGGGAGAGCCAGGGAGAGGCGGCAAAGGGAGAGGCGGCACAGGGAGAGCCAGGGAGAGGTGGCAAAGGGAGAGGCGGCAAAGGGAGAGGCGGCACAGGGAGAGGCGACACAGGGAGAGGCGGCACAGGGAGAGCCAGGGAGAGGTGGCAAAGGGAGAGGCGGCACAGGGAGAGGCAGCACAGGATTCTGGATGCAGCCCCGAAGAGGATGGAAAATCTTAGGTGGGTGCTCAGGGGAAGAGATAGAGGCTGCCAGGGAAGTGAGTCGGCTGCTTGCTCGGTCACCAGATCTTGGATTTGTGGTTGCTGGTCTGAGTTGCTACTGAAATGCAGTAGACTTGGCCTTGGGGTCACCAAGCCATATGCATGCAATGATATGAGAGCAACAAATTAGCCAAAGTGGTCTGTGCCCACAGAGGCCAGCGTCACCTCCTGGAACCACCCCTGCTAATGTCACGTGAGCCCAGAGCCACCAACCGGGCTGGTTTCTCAGCATATGGGTGGAGAGAGGCCTCTGATCGAGGAGCCACATTCTGCAGCAAAATAATCCTTCCCACTGTGCACGGAGATCCTGAGATCACCTGGAGGGTGGGGGATGGTGGTGACAAGACAAGGAGGGTGCAAAGACACAAGTTGCCAAAGATCAGGGCGGGGGCGTTTCTCTTAAATGGCGCCTCCCAGCTGGTGCCCCCTTTCCTGTTAGAAAACTTGAATGAGAAGCAACCTTCCTGAACGGTCACAGGAAGGCAGTGTTGGTATCTTGAGTAGGCGTGAACCACTCCCCTGCTCCGGGGGGACTAGAGAAGCGTAGCCCGTGTCCTTCCCCATCTGAACAGAGCAGCGCCATGGGCTAGGGAGCACTAACAGAGGCTCTGACCCCCTCCCTGCCCCTGCCCAATTTCTGCCCCTAGATTAGAGATTCAGAGCTTGGGATAACCAGAAACACAAGTGGGCACCCGGGCATGTTTCCTTCCCTCCCTCCTGGCTCCTTGCCGTCCACAGCCACCATATAACACAAGCCCAGGATCCAGCTCAGTCAGGGTAGAAGGAGACACTCGCTGGGTTGAGGTTAGAAGATCCTGGGTTGAGGGCATGAATGAATCACATTTCACGTGCTGTGGACGGACGGAGACACAATACTGCAGATCACCATCAAACCCCTCCCCAGAGAGGGCCAGAGGAGCCCACCCAAGACAGTGTCCACCAGACCTGAGAGCCTGGACCGGACAGGGCACCCCAGTGCACCCCATCTCAGTGTCAGAGAGCAGGCAGGGCGGAGGCCGTGAGAAGTCCCTCACCCTGCAAGGAGTGAACACTGTTTTCTTATAGAGAGAATTTCCTTATCCAACAATGTGCAAGCAGAAAACAGAAAGAAAGGTCTGTGGGGAAATAATCCACAGCATTAAAGAAGGGAAATAATCCAGTTTCTATTTGACCCAAAAACTATTTATAGAAGAGTGTTTTTAATGCTCCAAAGGATAGGGGGGTAGTGTTTATTTAATGTTTGTTTTGTTGGCTGCACTTACTGCAATTTGGGCTTTCTGTCATTCACTGATGTATTCTTCATGACCCAATATAGAATCAGTTTTTATATTTGTTATGAGTACATATGAAAGAAGGTCTGCTCTTTGTAAGGCACAAAGTTGGGGATTATATATGTAATTTCATGTGTATACTATTGAGAAAACAAGAATGTTACATATCAAAATTTAGGAAAGAAAGGCCAAAGCTGCACTAAAAGATAAATTCATGGCAGTAAAAACAAATCATTAAAAGAAAAATGATAGAAGGAAGGAAGGACAGGAGGAGGGAAAGAAATTCCTCTTCACTGGCATTTTATAAATTTTATTTATTTTTGAGAGAATAGATAATTTTCATGCCATCTTAATTATCTCTGAGTGTAGAAAAAGACAGAAAGATATTTAATTCATTTTGTGAAGCGACCATGATTCTGATCATCATATTGAAATCTCACAAATATCAAAAAAAAGAAAAAAGTAAAACCATGCATTCCTCTCACTTTGAATATAGACTGGAAAATTCCAAGTAAAATATTAGCAAATTCAGCAGAATAGTAGGAGAATCATCCACCAAGAACAAGTAGTTGTCACCCCAGTAATTCAAGGATGGCTCCATTTTAATCCAAAAGACAATAGTTGTAAAATAATCTCAGGAGATGGTGAAAATATTTTCATTACACGCAGTGGCCTTTCCTGATTTTTAAAAGCTCTTTGAAAGCAGAAATAGACAAATGTCACCTCAGCACTGTAAAAATATCTAAAACTAAAACCAGTGTCTTACTGGATAGAAAAAAACTGTAATATCTCCTTGTTATCAACATTAATGCAGTTCTCAATTATTAGAGTAAAACATGAAATAGACATTAGAAGAAGAACCATTGGAGAAAAGTTTGCAAGCAAATCATAACTTGCAAGAGATATGCCGGTACACATTTTAGAAAAAGAAACAACAGTAAAATGAACACAGAATTGTTAGACTTGATTAGTTGAAGGAATTTTCTGTACATCAAGATTGTGCAGCACTTCCAACTTCCAGCTGTGGCAGAGTAGCTTCTATCGTTCTGACCTTTTTGCCTAAAAGAATGATAAACTCTGAAGAAAATGTGTAAAATACTGATTTGAAGGCATGAGCTTTGAATGTGTATTTGCTGTTTGTTCCGCCATCTGGCAAGGCCAAAGTGTTCCCTGGATCCTGCTGGCCCCAGAGTGAGACTGTGGGGCAGGCCCAGCTGGGCTCACCAGCAGCAGGGACAGAGCTGCCTCGACCTCCCCATCCCCGTGAGAAATAAAGGTTGATGGTGAAAGCTATGGGAATGTGGGATTGTTTCTTATGCAGAATTCTCATAGCAAAAACCCTGCCTCAAATGGAAACTGCCAGCAGATGGGAGTGCTGCTGTAAAACACCTGAAGGGAGGGGTCCTGGCCACAGACCAGGCCACAGATAGGTGGGAAACTGGTTCGGGCTAGAAAAATTAAGACCTGTTATGTAACAGTAGAAAAAGCAGCTGCCCACGACAAGCCACTTAGCAGAAAATGCAACTCAAGTTGCCAGATTCGCTTATGATGACTAACTGCCCTTGATAAGGCACCACTAGGGAGAGGAACCCAGAAAAGAGCTGGCTGCTCATGTACAGAATGCAGAGGGTGTGCTGGGAGATAGAAACTCTAGAACTTGCAGGAACTGTAAAGTGGAACTGCTTCTCATCTCCAGCCAGTAAAAGGTAAAATTAAGAATGGTCTGAGACCATCCTGGCTAACACAGTGAAACCCCATCTCTACTAAAAATACAAAAAATTATCCGGGCACGGTGGCTGGTGCCTCTAGTCCCAGCTACTTGGGAGGCTGAGGCAGGAGAATGGCAAGAACCCGGGAGGCGGAGCTTGCAGTGAGCCGAGATCGCGCCACTGCACTCCAGCCTGGGTGACAGAGCAAGACTCCGTCTCAAAAAAAAAGAATGGTCTGAGTTTGCTCCCCAAGATTCAGCCTCAAGGCAGAGACCAAGTCCAGGGTGAAGGCCATTAGGACCCAGCATGGGAGCAGAGACCAAGACCAGTAGAAGGCCACTGGGACCCGGCATGGGGGCAGAGGCTGATTCCAAGGTGAAGGCCATTAGGACCCAGCGTGGAGGCAGAGGCCGGGTCCAGGGTGAAGGCCATTAGGACCTGGAGTGGGGGCAGAGGCCGAGTCCAGGGTGAAAGCCACCGGGACCCAGTGTGGGGACTGGGGCCGAGTCCAGGGTGAAACAACTAGGACCTGGAAAGAGGCCGAGTCCAGGGTGAAGCCACTGGGACCTGGCGTCGGGGCAGAGCCTGCCTCCGGGCTGTGTGACCACACCCTATAGGCCCCTGGTCAGTCCTTTCAGCCTCTAGAAAGTGGTCTCAAGGCTGGTCCTGAAGAAGCCAACCACAGATAAGACAGTCACCCATAAAGGACAGCCGCGGCTGAACATGCCAAGCTGGCTAGAGGGAGGGTGACAGCCGCAGCCGAACCTCAGAGCTGGCTAGAGGGAGGGTGACAGCCGCGGACAAACCTGCAGACCTGGCTAGAGGGAGGGTGACAGCCGCGGCCGAACCTGCAGTGCTGGCTAGAGGGAGGGTGACAGCCGCAGCCGAACCTCAGAGCTGGCTAGAGGGAGGGTGACAGCCGCAGTTGAACCTGCAGTGCTGGCTAGAGGGAGGGTGACAGCCGCGGCCGAACCTGCAGTGCTGGCTAGAGGGAGGGTGACAGCCGCGGCCGAACCTGCAGTGCTGGCTAGAGGGAGGGTGACAGCCGCGGACAAACCTGCAGACCTGGCTAGAGGGAGGGTGACAGCCGCGGCCGAACCTGCAGTGCTGGCTAGAGGGAGGGTGACAGCCGCGGCCGAACCTGCAGTGCTGGCTAGAGGGAGGGTGACAGCCTCGGCCGAACCTGCAGTGCTGGCTAGAAGGAGGGTGACAGCCGCGGCCGAACCTCAGAGCTGGCTAGAGGGAGGGTGACAGCTGCGGTAGAACCTGCAGTGCTGGCTAGACGGGTCAGTAAAGAGGCCTGTGGCATTCCTCAGGGTTTTTAGGTCAAAGTTCTCCCAGCTGGGAGTAACGATATCAAAAGACCCCTGCACTTCCCAAATTTCTACAAGCGGAAAGCAGGCAGAGAAAGCCGCTCACCCCCAGGAAGGCGGCTCTTCAACGTTCTTTTAAATGCAGCTGGCGGGGATGGAGAGGAAGAGCTCCCGCAGGCAGCCAGCAGCAGTGGACAGTGAAGCCCAGCTCCAGGGAGGGCCTGACAGGGTGCTCGGCCCCCACACCTGCCCCCAGGACTTCGGGACTTAGGCACGGGACGGGCACTGTCTTCTTCTGTGGTTCCACCCAGCTCCACCACTGGGCGTGGGGCCTGGTGCGGGCGGCAGATCGTCCTCACTCATCAGGGCTACAGACCAAGAGGAGCTGCACCTGGTCCTGGCTCAGCTCATGAGACTGTGAGACCCAGGACTCCCGAGAGACGCCGCCCTGCGTGAATGCACCAGAGGAGGCTGGAGGTGTGTGGCGGGGACGAGGACTCAGCACAGACTCCAGCGCCCGTGAGGAGCCCAGGCAGGAGCAGGCCACCACCACGGGGCCTGACCGTGCATCCCTGCCAGTCTGACTGCCTGCCAGTCAGACCACGCTTCCAGCAGGGTCGCTGAGTTCTTCTGAGTCAAAGTTTAAGAACAGAAAACGCAGATTGCTTCAAAGAGGATTTGACTTTTTAAGCCAGACTGGAGTGCAGCTTTTCAGGACCAGCGTTTCTCGCCTCGCGGTGAGACCGCCGAGGAGCCACAGTGGGTTTGCCCGGCCTTTCCGAAGAGTGGGGCTGCAACGGCGGGCACGGGGAGGAAAGCTTCACCAGGCCCAGCCATGAGGAATGCAGTGTGGACTCCTGGATCTCTCGGGGTAACCGGGTTAATAAGTGACCACAGAGCAGAGCATCTCTGTGATATAAAATATCACAACCCAGGCTGGCAGGGAGGCACATGTAATACCTGATGCTGTCTTAGGTCCACATCTGAAAGACTTCCAGAGATAATTAGGGAAAATGAAGACAGAATGACAAGTTAAGAAAAGCAACTTGGAGGGATGGACAGATGCAATTATTCTAAGGAGATGTCTCTTTGAGGGTTCTCTTCCTCATCAGGCCCAAATCTGACTATTAATTAAGTAATTCCACTAAAAAGGAGAAAAGAAATCACCCATAACTTTCTTCAAGCACCACTTTGTAAGCATTAGCCCCTTCATTTCTACTTGCGGCTACGAGGGTATAAACCTGTAATTAACAACTTTGTGATTGCCTCTGCAATAGTAATTGCCGTGTAAGGCCTCGAGGTACTAGGAATGAAAACTTGTTTCTCTCCCGGCTCTCCCCTGGTCTCCACCCCACTTCCAACTAGGTCCACTGGCTGCTACTTGGATCTCGCCAAGACTTCACCTTTCACAAAAACTTTGTGTGAACAGGGCAGTTCCCGCACTGTGACCTCTTCCGGAGGCAATCAGTGCAGATGCTGTGGTAATTCCCTCCTCACGGAGCAGCCGGGAAAGGGGAAAAAAGCATATACAGGCTGGGCTGAGATTACATTATCAATTATCATGAAACTGTCTGCAACTTCAAAGGGCTTCGAAGCTGGGGAAAGCACGGTTTATCATGGCTGTAAGAGTCCTGCAATTATCTCCTGTGTCACCCAGATGGAGAACAGTGTGCGGGCGGCCAGCTCCAGTCTGGTGGGGAGAGCCTGCACGACGGGAAAATAGAAAAGAAACATTTTCTTTGGAACATGAATCATTGGTTTTGGATCAGATATTGACAATAAGCAGAATCTTGGCTGCATTAACCACAAGCACCTCCATCCAATAGAGTCAAGCATCTACACAGGGCAAACATTTCATCAGCAAGTAGACGTGCCATGCTTTCCTTCTCTCCCTGAAACTGTAATTTTTAGGTAGGTCAACAGATGTTTAATAGTGTGTCAAAGAGTGATACATCAATAGTTTGTAAAGCTACAAGATGTTTGCGCTCAGCCATTCCCAGAAGGGCTCACGCCTGTGAATGCAAAAAAACAGCGGCAAGGAAAACACACGTTTGGAAGCAAAACTTCAGCAACTGACATCACTTCCTGATGAGACTTTAGGGGACTCTTTTTTTTTATTATTTGCTTATTTTGGGATGTTTCCAATGGGATTAATAAGACTTCAATATGACCCACAGGATCTTAGAACTAACGACAACAATGGAAAATTAATGTAATGTTTACTGATACAGAGGAAAGTTCTCTGGCTTAAAAGATACCACATAAAAAACAATTAAATTCTCATGCAGTCACAAGATGAGTTCCTGGGCAGCCCACAGGCTGTGTGCCATGCACCCGGGCAAAATTCCTCTGCGGCTGTGTGCTCAGCCTTCCCTGTACTGGTTCCATGAGGTCCCCACTTCTCCAAATCCGCCTAACCCTGGAAGCAAACCATCCACCACACTGCTGTCCCCCTCTCTCTCCCTCCCTGACCCACAAGGGTCAGTCAGGTGCCACCATTTCCAGCACGATGGGAGGCACCACTAAAGGCAGGCCCAGGCTCCGGGCATCTTTGGCCGTTGACATCTCTCTTCTCAGCTTTCTCTCATGAGAGAACAACAGGATTTCTCTTGCACTGGCTCTCCATTTTAACTTTAATTAACCTAAATTCCCAAATATATATATATATATATATAGCCTAAATTCCCAAATATATATATATATTAAAAAACCTAAATTCCCAAATATATATATATATATATATTCGGAGTTCAGTGATGCAGTCTCGGCTCACTGCAAGCTCTGCCTCCCAGGTTCACGCCCAGATATTTTTCAATAGCACAGACAAGGGCAAAGTCGCCTACACATTTTTGTTTCATTGCATAGACCCAACTTTTAAATTCACAATATTATGTCAATGTAATTGATTAAATGAAATATATAGAATGAATTTCCTTTTCTTATTTTCTTTTTGGAGTTCAAGTATCTCTTCACTTGTTGTAAAAGTAACAGATGACTATTGCTAAAAAATGAGAAAGGATAAATCAGCATTCTTTTTAAGACCACCCATAATTCCAACATCCAGAGGCAATCAATGTTAATATGTTGTCTATTTCTTTCTAATCTTCTGTGTATTTTTATATTTTGACATCATATGGTTCTTACAGTTTTAATTCTCCTTTTTTCATAAAATTTTCTTAATGGATAGTTTTTTCATGTCCTTGTAAACTCTTACAGATAATCTTAAAGGGTCTGCAATAGTCCTTCTTGCAGACAATACTAGTTATAGCTATGATACTGATGTATAGCAATGGTTACCACGCTGAGCTGGCCACTCTGCTGAGCACTGTAGATGAGCTACTTTGTCTTCACAAGAACCTGATGAGTTCGGTATTCTGATCTCCATTTTATAGATGAAAGAACTGGAGCAAAGAAATTAAGTCTCTCTTCCAAGATCTCTAGAAGAAGAAGGTTCAGCAGAACCCAGACCCCCATGCAAGTGTTTCAGCTCCAAAGCCACCTGACCCTCCATTGCTACCTGATCATTCACTCCCCTCTTTCACTATCATTTAACTGTGCAATTGTTTCCAGTTTTTCACTGTACAGATCTGTTTTAATGTATCCAATTTCTTTTAGCCACTCAAAATGTATCCGGAGCAATTGAGATGTAGCAAAATTAGTTTACAGTATTTTGTTTCTTTCTTATTTCCTATTGCAACTGTTAATGGCAGTTCAGGGGTCTGAGGGTGGGCATAGGGGAGAGAGAAACAGAAGCCAAGAACCCAGGTGTTCCATAAAACAAAAGAGAGAACAACAACAACAACAACAACAAAACAGTCCTGTTAAGAGGTTGATTGTGTGACCTGGGAGTCAAGGAGAGACCACGTTGGCCTTCTGCAAGTCTTAATTAACTGCTACTCCTATCACAGGACAACGGCCCAGAAATTGACAAGATCATCTGCAGCACAGTGAAAGGCCTGCCCTGGCTGGGAGAGCCGAGGGACCCAGCTCACAGTGAAAGGCCCGCCCCGGTTGGGAGAGCCGAGGGACCCAGCTCAGATGTAACTCTGCCTCCCGTGGGGGCTTTGGAGGCTTCATTAAAATGAGCAAGCTGGCAGAGATCATTTCAAATGATGCTGTCTTGCTTTAAAACATCTATAATTCCAATTTACAAAGGGCCAACCAACCCACAGAAAAAATAAATAATAGACGTTTACTCTGGGAAACTAACCCAGTGACCCATATGTCACGAGGCCGCCATCTACAGAAAGTCCTTCATGGGCGGGTGTCCACATCATTAAAACCACAGTTTAATGGCTGCTCATTGGCATCCTTGTTAGCATTTTTAGAAGAAATATTCAAATGAATGGATTTCCCTTTCCACGTTGAAAATCAGAACAACCTCTCATGGAGACTCCACTTTTGTTTCTAAACAGACACCATGAGTGTCTTCTCCAGCCTGGCGGCCATCTGACATCTTCATGCTCCAAACCACTTACACATTCTTTGAAAATTAAAGCCTAATTCTCTCTTTTGCAATGATGTTTTTTGCTACCTATTAATGAGTGAAATTGCTAGTCCAGACATGCTAGAAAAGGAATAAGCGCCAAGCTGAAAAATGTTTGGCTTTCATGTATGTGCTTCTCTGAGATAAAATAAAACGATATGTAATCTTGAATTATGTCATGAGGCATAATGCTGTGATTTCCTGGAAAATGTGGAGCTAATCAGTTATTCATTTAGGAATTAACTAGAGCATCAATTGTCAGATTAAACTCCTTTAAAATTCTCAATGTCCTTTTCTTGGTGTTAACACTCCAAGTATACTGAGTCCTTTGTGTATATTTGAGCAGGAAAGAGGAGAAGGCTTTCTCATGTGCCAAACGGAAAAAAAAAAACAAAAGTATCCTTTGCTTCAGTTGTTAGGCAAGCACTTGGTGATTTGCCGCACTGGCTCAGACACTCAAAGCAGCAGAAACAAACTCTGCCACATGTGTGTCCAACAGGCAGAGCAGTAACTACTCCGAACTTCCAAATACAGGCTGATGTCACTGGGGGATGATATCCTCTGGCTTCTGACCACAGAAGCCAGAGGATATCTTCTCTAGTCACATCCACAAATCCCATAAATCATGGCACCTACCTCTCCAGCCCCCACCTTTCTCTGCAGACACAAACTCAAGCTCTAAAGACAATTCCTTCATGTGCTTCACTGGCTGAAAAGCAGCAAACTGTAGCCCAATATATTCTCACAATAGATAATCTGCAAAAGATGAAAGATCACACTACTTGATTTTGACAAAGGTTTTATAATTCCCTACATAACACACCCAGTATTTTTGTACGTACAGGTGTTTTATCTTGCACTCGTGGGCCTTCGCATCATTTGAGCACCGCACATATTTTCCTTCTGTCTATATTTGGTTTGACAATGTGTATTGAGAATCTCCTACATGCCAGATGATGAGGTCAAAGCAGGGAAAGATACAACCCTCTGACTTCCAACCTCGGAGCCACCTGAGTGGAGGGGGAAGATGGGCATATATTTTGTATAAACTCAAAAATGATGAATAACATTTTCAACTTTTTAAAAAAAAGTTTAAAGCAGCTGGAAATGTTTCAGATATTGCTTTACTTTTACTTTTCTCCCTACATCTTTAGTTTGGTATTTTAAAAAAGTTTTTATACCTATCCTGTTTTGTATACATGTTTTCAAAGAAAGAATTTCTTCCAAGGTTTGTGACCTTTTGATGGGAAACCTGGGGTGTGTATCTCTCCATTTGTGTGGGCAGTGCTGTAAAAGCTCCTATTTATTCAAATCTGCCTGGGAAAAATGTAAGGTCTGAAGCTACAGGCCACAGAGCAGCAACAGATGTGACATATGCCACAGGAGTCACCATTAGGAATGGGAGTTTTCTCAAAGACTTTTGCTGAAAGCAAAGGGTTGAAATAGCTATTACCTATGGCATGCAAGTGTAAGGACACAGGAATCACAGCTTAGTTCATAACGTGTTTTGGAAACGTCTAACACGTAGAACAAGATATGTACAAGGTTTATCCATCTGAGTTTATAATAAACAGGCAAATACATTTGCCAGGATATCTACTTCCATGACCAAATGGTGGTACTTCTTTCACCTAAACCATTTAGCTAAACAGTGTCACCGTCATCATTACAGACATTTGGCATATAAAAAGAAGGTCTAGACATAACAACATCATAAATTTTCTTTTTCTTTTTTTTTTTTTAATTTTTGAGACAGGGTCTCACTCTGTTGCCTAGGCTGGAGTGCAGTGGTATAATCAGGGCTCACTGCAGCCTCAACCTCCTGGGCTCAATCGATCCTCCCACCTCAGCCTTCTGAGTAGCTAGGACTGCAGACACATGCCACCACATCTGGCTAATTTTTTTATACATGTATATTTTTAGTAGAGATGGGGTTTTGCCATGTTGCCCAGGCTGATAAATTTTACTTCTTTCTTTCTTTTTTTTTTTTTTTTTTTTTTTTTTTAGTCTCCCTCTGTCACCCAGGCTGGAGAGCAATACCACAATTATAGCTCACTGCAGGCTGCAGCTTTGAACTCCTGAGATCAAGGGCTCCTCTTGCCTCAACCTCCTGAGTAGCTGGGACTACAGGCACATGCCACCATGCCCGGCTTGTTTGTTTGTTTTTTTGTTTTGTAGAGCTGGGGTTGTTGCCCAGGCTGGTCTTGATCTCCCATCCTCAAGCGATCGTCCCACTTCAGCCCCCCAAACTGCTGGGATTACAAGCATGAACCACCACTCCTGGCCAATTTCCTCTATGTGCATATTTTCCTTCCTAAGCTAAAAATTAACATCATTTTTATGTACTAAGCACTCCTAATAATGAAAGTTAAGAGGCCAGGAGTGGTGGCTTACATCTGTAATCCCAGCACTTTGTGGGGCTGAAGTGGGAGGATGGCTTGAGCCCACAAGTTTGAGGCTGCAGCGAGCTATGATGTAGCACTGCACTCCAGCCTGGGCAACAGAGCCAGACTCTGTCTCTAAAAAATAAAATAAGAAAGTCAAATAAGAAAACATTAGGTCAAGAACTAGAACATCAATAGACAGAAGCCAGTTTTCTAAACGGTCATGGACATGTTTCATGTCTGCAAAAGTTACCATATTGTATAAACATAGAAGAAATGATCATGAAATAACAAAGCTTAGACAAACGCACTCTGATTAACAGACACCATGAGCCCTGGCTGCTGAAGCGGTTGCTGTGGGCAGCCTCGTGGTTTTCCCCCTGGTTTTGCCTCACTCAAAGCATTTTTAGGGTTCCCCTTTTGTAATTGTCTTCAGAGTCAGTTAGGAAACCAGTTTAGAAAACCCAAGTCCCTTATTTTATGACTATACTTATATTTTTACCAAATTGGTTATGCAGCTCACATACTTACCCTACTCATCATACTCCATTCCAAAGAACTTGAGTCACTCACATTAAATCACTTCCATGCAGAGGCTCACACGTCTTGGCCATCAGCGAGATGCAGAAGGGTGAGCTGCAGGCCATGGAGGTGGCTCAAACACAAACTGTTCAGTATTTTCAAGCAATACCAGGTTCTTTTGACCAAATGAACAAGTAGGCTCTGGGAGTGACTTTCCTAAAGAAGGCATTATTCTGATTCATATACATTCTGTATGTGTTTCTAGTCAGACCTTCAATGCCTTCAGAAGGCCTACGTGCTAGGGAGACAAATATGCCATCCTAATTTCATTTCAAGATTTGAATTACTTTTGTTATAAATACAAAATTCTTATGATTTTATTGTTAATAATAAAAGTACTGACTGCTATGTAACAGCATTCACCAAATGCTCTGCACATATTACCTCACTTAATCCTCACAACAACCCTCTGAGACGGGGATCACTATCTTACGAAATTTTTCTTATGAAAACACTGAGAACAGAAAGATTAACAATCTTTCCCTAGGTAGCACTGCTTGGAAATTTCAGTGCCAGCCACCAGTCCTAGTGTTTTGGGTGCAAGACCTACATTCTTAATTCTCAACCACTGTGCTTAGCTGGATGTGGATGTGGACGGTGTGCCAGGTATGAGATGGCGACCAGAAACAGTGAAGGTCTCACAATCGCGGACTGGCATTTCCGTGGAGGAAGAATAAAGCAATGACAAGGCTGGCAAGGGACTACAGGGTCCTCGGTGAGTGAGGACAGCAGTGTGGGGATGTGGAGCCTGTTGGGGAGGAAGGAGAGCTGGGGCCCACCTTGACTCTGCACCAGTACGGGTGGAAAGGGACAAATCGGCTCCACAGGCCCCCAAGGCCAGGCAGCAGCTGACATGCTTGTTGAAACCCTGCCCTGTGGAGCTGCATCCCCAGGGCACTGTGTGGTGTGGCAGCTGATTCTAGACCTGGAGAGCCTGACTGCAACACCACGGCAGTTCTCCAGCTGCAGGAGGTGTGGGAGGTGGCATCACTGAGCCTCTGTGACCTTGCAGGTACAAGGACCTTCAGAACACGGCCTCCCCTACTGGGTCTTGGGAGGGCTCAACACATGGCCTTCTCTGAACAAAACTCAGCAGAAATCATGCTGAATTCCGGACTATGTTACCGGGTAGTATGGTGCAACTCTTATTCATTCAACAAACAATTGTGAAACAGGAAGAGTGCATTTGGCCCAAAAATAACCCCTAGATCAGCGCTCTCCTAACAGAAAGCCGGATGCCCAGCCTCAGCAGAAACCAGTGGGGCTTCTCAAAAGAAACACTTCAATTCAGCTCCATGGAACTCAGTTAAATCCCTTTATAACAAATCTCAGGCAGAAGCACTCTATAGAAGGAAAGGACAATCTCTCTCCTCCCAGCAGAGGGCGTGCTGATGGCAGACGGTGCTTGGAGCAGCAAAGTTAAGGAGACTGAGGCCCTTGGAGTTTGGGGTTTGGTTTGGTTTGGTTTTTAAGCTTTTTTTTTTTTTTTTTTTTTTTTTCAGATCTTAACCTGTATAAGGCTTGGGAAAGCAATAGCCAAAAAAGACAAAACTAGAGCTTTGTGTGGTGACGGCATCATGTCCGCTGACAGCGTCCAACCTCCCTTCATGGGATGCTCAGTGAAGAATGTGTAAAGTTCAAAGCAGCCCGGGGGCAGCTGCCCGCCTGGAGCGCGTCTGGACCAAGTTTGGCATCCGTGTGGCTGGGCCGGAGTGCAGAATCTCAGGGTGGCTGTGGCTTGGCCCATCCCGTTCCCCAGGCTCCAAAAGACACCACAAGGAAGAACACCAAGGTGTGGCGGCCCTACCGGTGTTTAGCGCCTGGCCACAGCCACCAAGAGTTGTGGCGGCCCTACCTGTGTTTAGTGCCTAGCCACAGCCACCAAGAGTTGTGGCAGCCCTACCTGTGTTTAGCGCCTGGCCACAGCCACCAAGGACCCCCTGCTCGCTTGAGGAAGAAAGGATTCTAAGTTATGGTGAGAAAACCTGCATTCTCAGCCCTTCCACTGAGTTAGCTGTGCGTCCTCGGCAGGTCCTTGAGCAGCTAAGAGTTACCTCCTCTACAAAACAAAACCACTCACGTGAAGCATGGCGTCCAGGCAGGGCTGCTGCGCCCTGGTGAGGACAACTGGGGTGTGCACCCGTTTCTAAGCCTCCTGCCCCTTCTCGGAGTGCCACCTCCTTCCCTGCGCTCCGTCCTGGGTCCACTTCCCAGAGGCCCCCCTATCTGCTGGACACCATGTCCTTCTCGCTCCCTGCCCTGAGCTGAGTGCACTTGAGGGCTGCCTTGCAGTTTACACATTTTAACAGGAGGCTTTTTTTTTTAATTCTAAAAAGCCTGTAAGTTCAACATAAATTAATATCTGAAGAAATTGTTTCCAGAATATGGCAGGATATAAAGTAATATTTTGGGTTCAATTTAACAAATTTTAAAGAACACTCTACACAATGCTCTAAATATTTCAAGAGATGAATAGCTTAGGGTTCTCTACCCTCAGAGAGTTTTCAATTCGGTGGAAGGCAGTTGGGTGGGGGCAGGGGGACGAGATACCACACAAATATGGGAAGCAAAGCAAGATAGAGCCACAAAAGAAGAAAAAAAAATATTTCAGGAATTCAGAGGCCAATGATTCGCATCCAATGAGTTGGGAAAAGCAGGAAGTTTCCAAAGAGGCTGACCTTTGAAATTGGCCTGAGATTGGATAAGACTTCCTAAGTGAGCCGGGGCAGGAAAGGTGGTCGGGGACCCAGGCAGATCCCACGAGCAGGGACGTGCCTGCTCCTCAGACCTCACAGCGGGCCACAGCGACTCCACCCACCTCTCCCATGGCAGGTACAGCTAAGAGATACCACTTGCTACAGTGGTTTATACTGGAGAAGACTCGCTGCAATCACAATCTGATAGGAAAATGCAGTTGGTGGAAATAAAGCAAGAAACCTCAAAAATCACAGATGAATGAAAAGTACATGAAGCAAGGTTTTGCAACAAGCTGTCTACATTCCAAGGCCCCCAGAGCATTCATTTGGAAACAGACGGGCGTCCATACGACCGGTTTTCTCAGGGAGTTTCAAAGGAAGCCCTGCTTTTGTTCGGATGTCCTACTTAATTAATGCAAAAGGGAAGATGTGCTGTGTTACCTGCAGTGAAATGCTCAGTTCTGCATTTCACAGATACCACATATCCTCAACCACGGGCAGTACACGGGAAGTTACTCACTTTGCACCTATTAAGGCTAAGTAGTACGCAATTTGCACATTTCATGGAATTGTACAAATATTTGGCATCATTATGAGCAATCTTTAAAAGTGCTCCATTAAACTCAGCTTCTAATTATGATGATCGAGGAGGAAGGCTGTGGTTTGCAGCAGGAATTGCAGAGATTGTCATGAAGGGCATCTGGTTTAGAATTCAGCTTAAATTCGGAAGACACACACTACATTTAGTAACATAGCCCGCTGAGGAACACTGATGGAAAGCCTGGGAAACCATAAACGGTGCTCGCATTTCTAGAGTGGAAAATGTTCTAAAGTTTGTTCACTGCAATTCACATTGTATTTTGTAAGGTTTCTTGGTTCTCATTCAAGGCACCAAAAACACAGCAGAGAATTTTATATTAATTGGAACATTAATAATGCATTTCTAAAGCAAATGATGTCTTTCGGATTTCAAAGGAAATTTCAGAAATGTGTGGCCAAAGTGTTCTCTGCAGCTCAGCGGGCTGAGCCCATCATCAGGGATTCATGCGAATGGATTTCTTCTGGAGATCCATTGGCACTAAATAAATTGGTGGATAAAGTAAATGCATTCACGTAAACCGGTTTGATTAGCACCTCTCGCCCTTCTAAATGAAGGAATAATATCCTGTGATTCTCTAACAGACGCTATTTCAATGGTGTCTGTTCAACATGCACAGAATCCCTTAAAGATTACAATTGTATTAAAAGCCCCAAACATTAATTATATCCGCCAGAACATTTCACAAATGGGAAGAAATCTTTAGGGCTTTCTGTTCCTCAAGTGCCATGAAACACTGGAAGTGTATTCACAACAACAGCAAAACACCAACACCGTCCCATTCCAGGCTGGTCTTGTCACCTGAGCGCGCACACCGGCCCTCAAGGCGCCAGCCTGGTCCTGCCTTCTCTGCCCCCTCACTGATGTTGGGGGGCCTCACACCATCACGACTTCTCTGAGAACACTGACCATGTTTTCTCAAATGCCCTTGCACTCACCCAAGCACAAAGAGGTGCCCAGGTCATGACCGCGGGTTAGCGCGACGGTGGCTGAGCCAAGCTTCCCTCCTCACTTCAGACCACGCAGCCGGCTGGAGCCTGTTGTGCGTCCCAGCGGCCACTCCTCCCTTTTTCCTCAGCATCATCCCTGGTGTTTAGATGGGCATATACCTTTGGAAAGATCCTACTGCTTCACTACTTCAATTCAAACCAGTTTGCTATGTTTTTCTTGAAACTTTCAGGATTGTGTTTCTGCCTAACATCAGATGAAGAGGAAGACTGCGTATATAATGAAAAAGACTACAGGCCAAAGAACATCCTGATGGAAATAAATAGGAGCATAATAACTGCAAATCCTACAACAGACCCCGAGAAAAGGTTTGAGAATATCGCAGTGGATGCACTTGGAAAAGGCAGTAAACCACATGGGAAGGCCCTGGGAAGACAAAGACTCAGCAGGAGAACAATGGGTGTCCCTGCTGCAGACGACCAACCAACGGAGCGGAAGATGACGTCCAAACATCATGTAAGAAAATGAAATGAAAAAATCTAAGGTTTTGTAGATGGAAAGAGGACATTCTGGCAAAATTAGACACACAGCAGGCAACACCAAAAATACAACTGTTATCCTTGTAACTGGGCATGACTCCACCTGTCTTCCAAAGCTGGGAACTGCAGCCCTAGAACTCCCTGCCTGCGCTGGTCCAGGCTGAGTGCGCCCATGTGCGGGACGAGGAAGGTGCAGGTGAGGCTGCCGTCCCCGAAGGGGCGTCACGCCGGCCTCATGTCGTCCTCGAAGGGGCGTCACGCTGGCCTCATGTTATCCCCGAAGGGGCATCACGCTGGCCTCATGTTATCCCCGAAGGGGCGTCACGCCGGCCTGATGTTATCCTCGAAGGGGCGTCACGCCGGCCTCATGTTATCCTCGAAGGGGCGTCACGCCGGCCTGATGTTATCCTCGAAGGGGCGTCACGCCGGCCTCATGTCATCCTCGAAGGGGCGTCACGCCGGCCTCATGTCGTCCTCGAAGGGGCGTCACGCTGGCCTCATGTTATCCTCGAAGGGGCGTCACGCTGGCCTCATGTTATCCTCGAAGGGGCGTCACGCTGGCCTCATGTTATCCTCGAAGGGGCGTCACGCTGGCCTGATGTTATCCTCGAAGGGGCGTCACGCTGGCGCAGTGCTGCAGACGTCTCCACGAGCTCCCACATCACAGTGTGGCAACCTGACCAGGGGCTCTTGGACTCTGCCAGACACTCAGGCTGAGTCAGGCAGATGCTTCCCAGCTCGGGCCACAGCTGTCTAGAGCCCTACTTCCCCCGAGCCCCTGGCTGCCCTGTAAACCCTACATCTTATTTTAAGCCCCCATCTCCCCATAATAAGCAACTGACATAACCCAGATGAATAAAGAAATTAACTTATTTAAAAGAATAATTCAGACCTACAAATTTTAAAAATCAAATCAGCTACAAGAAGAAAAACAATAGGGCTAGTCTCAGACTCTTCCACGGGCAGAAGATAGTAGAAAACATGCAGTGATGGCAAAGTTGTGAAGAAAAGAATGACACAGCCAAGGCGTCCTTCCAACGTTAGGGCAGGCAGCGCAGCTTCAAGCATCAAACTGCAGAGATTATAAAATTGCAGAGATTAGCCATGAGCCCTTCTTTTTAAAAATATCGCCTACTATCCTAAAAGCTAATCACACTGCAGAGGACAGACATGGAAAAGTCAGAGAAGAGGGCCAGTGCTTGCCACCGAGCACAGGTAAGCGTGGAAGAAACATGAAGCCCCATGAGGATTGTGCTGAATAAAGAATGTGAACACTGGAAACCCAGAGGATGCAAAAACAGTAACATGATCAATAAACAACTGAGGGCCGGGGCGGGGGGCGGGGGTGAGTGTGGAAATGCCCACCCCACAAAACACAGCGTTACCAGAGCTCTCCAAAAACAGTGCATGGAACCTTAAAAAATTACTCCAAAGTTCTCATTCATCATAATCGTATTTTTTTTAACCTCAGGGAATAATCTCTCTCTCTCTGCTTCTCTCTCTCTCTCTTTTTTTTTTTTTTCTTGAGACAGAGTTTCCCTCTGTCACCCAGGCTGGAGTGCGTTGTGATCTCGGCTCACTGCAGCCTCCACCTCCAGGGCTCAAGGGATTCTCCTGCCTCAGCCTCCCAAGTGTCTAGGACTACAGCTACTTGCCACCATGCCTGGCTAATTTTTGTATTTTTCGTAGAAACGGAGTTTTACCATGTTGGCCAAACTGGCGTCGAACTCCTGGGCTCAAGTGATCCACCTGCCTCAGCCTCCCAGAGTTCTGGGATTACAGGCCTAAGCCACCATGCCCAGCCAATACCTCTTATAATGAATAAAATTTATTTGATGCCAATACTTGCTTTAATTTTAATTTATTTTGCTTATTAGATTCAGGTAAAGTAGCATAATATCATTTTCAATAAATAGCATTTCTAGTATAATCCCAGTTCATAAAACTATATTTAGTTAGTCCTCTAATAATGTATATACGCTTCATCAAAAATGTGTAGCATGATGATCACCCAAGATTAATGATGACAGTTTTTGAGCAGCAGATTTGGGATTTTTTTCATTTTTATCTTTTTACTCTACAGCATTATTGGATTTACAATTTACAATACATAATGAATATAATTTCTAAATAGTAAGTACTTATAAATTATTATAAAATATGTGAGTTATAGTAAATACATCTCATTTTAGATAAATAGAAGGGATTTTCTTAAAAGCAAATAAATCATGTGCTATCATCTGGGTTATGTTCTCCTTTGTACTTCTCTATATTCAATATATCTTTTTTTTTTTGAGACGGCGTAGGCTGGAGTGCAATGGTGCGATCTCGGCTCACTGCAAGCTCCACCTCCTGGGTTCCCGCCATTCTCCTGCCTCAGCCTCCCGAGTAGCTGGGAGTACAGGCGCCCACCACCACGCCCGGCTAATTTTTTGTATTTTTAGTAGAGATGGGGTTTCACCGTATTAGCCAGGATGGTCTTGATCTCTTGACCTCGTGATCTGCCCGCCTCAGCCTCCCAAAGTGCTGGGATTACAGGCGTGAGCCACCACCCCCGGCCCACTTCAATATATCTTTTAAAAATTAAGTCCTTGTGTATTTCTTTTTCTGATAATAGAGTTTCAGATAATTCTTACCAATCCTCTTGCTAGCAGCTAAAATATCAGTCAAAAGTGGAGTTTGTGTAAAGGCTAACTAGAAAGTGCAAGGCAGTGGAGAATTGTATCCCCAAGATCTAGCAGGAGAAGAAAATACAGAAAAGGAAGCACAGGATTTGAACTACTGCCCCACCCCTACCAAGGGCATCTCGTCCTTCAAAGAGGCAGCTAGGAGAGTGAGAAGATGTGCAAGACTTCTTCTTCTTTTAAGATAAAATGTGCAAGATAAAATAAGTTTATCTTGGTTCAGTGAATTTAAAAAAAAAAAAGTGGAGTCCAGTTTTGGAAGAGGAGACTGGTAATTCCCCTACACTTTTTGGGACCCTGACAGGCTTAACCCTAGAACTGAAGGTGAGTTTCATAGACTTTAGATCCATGAAACTGGATTGAGGTGACCCAGGGCTACCAATGCCTTAGCTTCCCCCGAGAAGAAAATACAGCCTCTACAGAGAGATAACATCATCACATCCCTCAAAATATTTCTACAGTTTTTTTATATGCAGTTCCCATCACTCAATAATAACCAGACACATCAGAAAACTAGATAATATGACCAAAAGTAACAGAAAGAATGCACAGTATAACCACACCACATGGAGCCTGGGTACAGAATGAGACACATTTAAAATTACACTGTCAATATGTTTAAGGCAATTATTTTTAAATTATTAAGAATTTTAACAGAGAAATATGCAACAAATCACCCTAATACTTAGGGGGTTAAAACAGCAACAATTTTATTTAGTTCATCGTTCTCTTTAGCTCAGCAGTTTAGGCTGGCCTCAGATGGGCCATCCGTCTGGTCTGGCCCAGGTCCTGCTGTCTCTGGTGGGCCTCCCTTCATGCTGGGAGCGTCTCCCAGGAGCAGCAGCACAGCTGCAGAGCTGAAATGACCCGACGTTCCTCCTTGCAGTCTATCATCCTTCATCAGGCTGGCTGGAGTTTGTTCACACAGTAGCTAAAGGGTCCCTGTCCAAGGACAGAAGATGCAAAACTTCTCAGGTGCAGAGGCTCAGAATTCACCCAACGCTTCCACCAGGCTCTACTGGTCAAAGCCAGTCACTTGGCCGCCCAGCTTCCAATGACAGGGAAATCGTGATTTCTGCATGGGGATGGGGGCAGCCTAAGCTGCTAATCCAGGAGAGTGGGTGCTCCAGATGCCTGGAGTGGCAAAGAATCTCCGACCATTTTCACAATCTACAACAGCTAGAAACCAGGGAGGAAGAGGAAAAGGAGAACAACCATCAAATTAAAAATTGTAGAACTAGGGCCAGGCATGGTGGCTCACGCCTGTAATACCAGCAGTTTGGGAGGCCGAGGTGGGCAGATCACTTGGGGTCAGAAGTTTGAGACCAGCCTGGCCAACATGGTGAAACCCCATCTCTACTAAAAATACAAAAAATTAGCTGGGTATGGTGGCGGGTGCATGTAATCCCAGTTACTTGGGAGGCTGAGGCAGGAGAATGGCTTGAACCTGGGAAGTGGAAGTTGCAGTGAGCCAAGATTGTGCCACTGCACTCCAGCCTGGGCAACAGAGCAAGACTCCATCTCAAAAAAAAAAAAAAATTGTAGGACTAAAAACTAGAATAAAGGAAATTTAGGTGTTTCTTTTTTCCAAGATGGCAGATTAGAAGCTTTCAGTCTCAGCCACTTGGAAATAGCAAGATGATAGTGCATAAAAATGAACTCTGAACTTTAATTCAAAAAGGAAATCAGGGATCCACCCCAATCCATGAAGGACACCCTAGATCCCAGGGAGGAGAATGCCTGCAAACTGCCCTGTGACAGTCCCTGGTTGATAAAAGTGAGTGGAACCCCCATATGTGAAGGAGGCAGAGAGCCTCCCTCTGTGACTTCCCTTTCCCCTGGGATCTGAGCAACCCAGGCCAAGGGATAGCCTTTGCTTTGCTCAAGCCCAACAGCTAACTTGGAGAGAGGCTGGGAGACACTGTGAGGGACAGACACCGGGAAAAGCTGCAGACATTGTCCCAGACTTGGGACCGAGAGCAAGACACCATTTTTAATCTGGGCACATATAAAATAGGCCATTGATTGGTGACCCGGCAGCGTGGCCATGCAGGCATCTTAGTCTTGGGCCAGAGATTGGAGCACCTGCTCTGCAGCACAGTAGGGGCCTCCATGGCCAGAACTGTGGAAAGCATCTCGGCACTAGGGCTAAATGGTACCTCCCCACCAACCCCACTGCAGGCTTGGGGCAGGAGGAGAACTACTACAGCTGCAGTTTCTCCTGGACAGTGAGACTTTCAGCCATGGCCAGCTTAGTGACCTGAAACAGATTTGTGTGTGTCACTGCTGGGTGCCCCAGCCAGCTCCCCTGAGATCGTGGTACAGCAGGGCCTTCTCTGCTCTACCTCCATGCATAAATCCAGGCATTTGGAGCACCTGCTTGCCTGGATCTGCAGCCTAAGGCACCACACCCTTCCTGAGCATACATCATGGTGCAGTGAGCCTCTCTCCACTCCACATCAGGCAGATCTCCAGGCATTCAGAGCATCTGCTCACCTGGATCAGGGGGCTGGCCTGTCCCCTCTTCTGCTGTGAAGTGATCCTGGTGTGGGGAGACCCTCTCCACTCCACACCCAGGCAAATCTCCAGGCATCTGGAGCACCCACTCTCCTGGATTAGTAGCTTAGGCTGCCCCCAACACCATGCAGAGAACTTGGGGCCAAAGAGATTTCCTAGCTCCAAGCCTAGGCAAACCTCTGGGTGCTTGGTAGCTGCCCACTGGGTTCTTCCTCAGCATTGCTGCCTGTGCCCACCATCAGGGGTCCTGTAGGTGGGCCAGTCCAGTCTAGCCCTGCTCTTCATGGCTCCCACCCCCAATTCCTAAGGCCAAACAGGGAGTTCAGCATTCCACTGTATATTCCATGAATCAGCCCATTGCCTGAGGCAACAGAGAGCTTCTACCAGTAAACAAGGACAAGTATATACCCAGCCACATTGGCTGCAGTTGGCTCTTACCCATAAGCACCATCTATGGGCTTGTAGGATGAACTGCACGGCCCAATATAAAACCTGCCAAAAGAAGTGCATAAGGCTATAGAAAGATCCTACCCAGCATTCTCTACACTCACACCCCCTAGGGAGTGGGAGAAGGAAAGGGCAAGAAAAAATAGTATAAAATAATAATAACATTATTGGGAAAGAAATAAAAAGAAAAAATCCTACCTGCACAAAAATACTTATAAAAATTAGAAGTGCCAATATCTCCAGATGAGAAAGAAACAGCATGAAAATTCAGGCACCATGAAAAATCTGAATGTAATGACACCATCAAAGGATTGCACTAGCTCTTCAGCAATGGTCCCTAACCAAAATGGAAATTTAGAAATGACAGACAAAGAATTCAAAGCATAGATTGCAAGGAAGCTCAACAAGATCCAAGGCAAGGTTAAAAATCAATACAAAGAAACCTCTACAGCAATCCAGAAAATAAAGAAAGAGATAAACATCTTAAAAAGAAATCAGTCAGAGCCCCTGGAATTGAAAAACTCACTTAAGAGATTTCAAAATACAACTGAAAGCTTTAGCAATGGACTGGACCAAGCAGAAGAAAGAAGTTCAGAATTTGAAGACCAGTCTTTTAAACTAACTCGGTCTGACAAAAATAAATTTAAAAAGAATTTTTAAAAATGAGCTAAGTCTTTGAGAACTGTGGGATTATGTAAAGCAAGCAAACCTATGAATTATTGGCATTCCTGAGAGAGAAGAAGAAAAAGCAAACAGCCTGGAAAAAATATTTGAGGGAATAATTCAAGAAAATTCCCCTAATCTTACTAGTGAGGTAGACATCCAGATATAAGAAAACCAAAGAGCACCTGCAAGATACTACACAAAATGAATGTCACCAAGACATATAATTGCCGGACTGTCCAAGGTCAGCACTAAAAAAAAAGAAAAGAAAAAATCTTAAAGACAGCTAGAGAAAAGAGGCAGATCATGTACAAAGATAACCCCATCAGGCTAACAGCAGACTTACTAGCAGAAACTTTACATGCCAAGGGAGATTGGGGGCCTATTTCCAGCATGCTTATAGAAAAGAAATTCCAACCAAGAATTTTGTATCCTGCCCAACTAAGCTTCATAAGTAAAGAAGAAACAAAATATTTCCCAGATAATTAAATACAAAAGCAATTTATTACCACTAGACCAGTCTTATATTAATAAGAGATTCTTAAGGGAGTTTCAAACATGGAAACAAAAGAATGATACCAGCTACCATAAAAACACACTTACATACATAGTCTACAGACCCTATGAAGACACAATAGAAACTACAAAGCAACCAGCTGACAACTTCACAACAGAATCAAAACCTCACATATCAATATTAATCTTGAATGTAAATGATCTAAACAAGCCAATGAAAAGCCATAGAGTGGCAAGTTGAATTAAAAAAAAAATCCATTCATCTGCTGTCTTCAAGAGACCTATCTCATATGTAATGACACCAATAGGCTCAAAGTAGAGGGTGGGAGAAAGATCTACCATACAAATAGACAACAAAAAAGATAAGGGGTTACTATTCTTATATCAGGTAAAACAGACTTAAAACAAACAATAGTAATAAAGGACAAAGAAGGGCATTACATAATGATAAAGGGTTCAATTCAACAAGCAAATGTAACTTCTCTAAATATATAAGCTCCTAACATGGGAGCACCAAGTTTCATAACAACTACTTTTAGACCTATGAAAAGTCTTAGACAACTACAATAATAATGGGGAACTTCAACACTCCATTAACAGAATCAGACAGATTGTTGAGGCAGAAAACTAACAAAGTTCTGGACTTGACCAATTGGACCTAAAAAACATCACAGAATATTCTACCCATCAACCACAGAATAAACATTCTTCCCATCTGCACACAGAACATACTTCAAGATTGACCACATGCTCAGCCATAAAGCAAGTCACAATAAATTTTCTTAGAGTGGAAATCATACCAACCATACTCTCAGACCACAGTAGAATAAAAATAGAAATCAATACTAAGAAAATCTCTCAAAACCACGCAATCAGAAAGAAAGCAAACAACTTGCTCCTGGATGGCTTTTGAGTAAATGATGAAATCAAGGCAGAAATCAAAAAAATTCTCTGAAGTAAATGAAAACAGAGACATAACATCAACATCTCTGGGATACAGCAAAAGCAGTGTTAAGAGGAAAGTTTATAGCACTAAATGCCTACCTTAAAAGATAGAAAGATGTCAAATTAATGTTCTAACATCACACCCAGAGGAAATAGAAAAACAAGACCAAGTTAACTCCAAAGTTAGCAGAAGAGAAGAAATAACTAAAATCAGAGAGAAACTGATAAGGCCCAAAAATTCACATAAAGAATCAACAAAAACAAAAGTTGGTTATCTGAAGTATAAATAAGATCAATAGACCACTAGCTGGATTAACAAAGAAAAAAAGAGAGAAGATCCAAATAAGCACAATCAGAAATGACACATGTGACATTACAACCAGTCCCACAGAAATACAAAAATCCTCAAACACTATTATGAACACCTCTGCAAACACAAACTAGAAAATATAGAGGAAATGAATAAATTTCTGGAAACACACAATCTCCCAAGATTGAATCAGGAAGAAAATGAAACATAAAACAGACCAATATCAAGTTCCACAATTGAATCAGTAATAAAAAGCCTACCAACCAAAAAAAGCCCCCAGACCAGATGATTCACAGCTGAATTCAACCAGATGTACAAAGAAGAGCATGTACCAATTCCATTGAAACTATTCCAAAAAATCAAGGAAAAAGGATTCCTCCTCAACTCATTCTATGGAGCCAGCATCACCCTAATACCAAAACCTTGTAAAGACACGACAAAAAAGGAAACTACAGGCCAATATCCCTGATGAACATAGACACAAAAATCCTTAACAAAATACTAGCAAAGCAAATTCAACAATAAATCAAAAATTTAATTCACCATGATCAAGCAGTTGTATTTTAAAATTCCTTAAGTGAGTTTTTCAATTCCAGGAGCTCTGATTGATTTCTTTTTAAGATGTTTATCTCTTCCTTCATTTCCTGGATTGCTACAGAGGTTTATTTGTATTCATTCCTGAGATGCAAGGTTGGTTGAACATATGCAAATCAGTAAAAGTGATTGACCACATAAATAGATTAAAAACAAAAACCATATGATCATATCAATAGATGCAGAAAAGTCTTTTGATAAAATCCAACATCTCTTCATGATAAAAAAAAAAAAAAGAAAACTCAAGAAACTAGGCATTGAAGGCATATACCCCCAAATAAGAGCCATCTATGACAAACCCACAGCCAACATCATACTGCACAGGCAAAAACTGGAAGCATTTTCCTTGAGAACTGGAACAAGGAAAGGATGCCCACACCCATCACTCCTATTCATCATAGTACTGTTAGTGCTAGCCAGAGCAATCAGGCAAGACAAAGAAATAAAAGTCATCCAAATAGGAAAAGAAGTCAAACTATCTCTGTTCACAGATGATCTGATTCTATACATTGAAAATTCTAAAGACTCTACCAAGAGGCTCCTGGAATGGATAAATGACTTCAGCAAAGTTTCAGGATACAAAATCTATGTACAAAAATCAGTAGCATGTCTATACAGCAAAAATATTCAGTCCAAAACCAAATGAAGAATGCAATCCCGCTTGCAGTCACCACAAAAAAAATAAAATAAAATACTCAAGAATACATCTAACCAAGGAGGTGAAAGAACTCTACAAGAAGAACTACAAAACCATGCTTAAAGTAATCATCAGTGACACAAACAAATGGAAAAATATGCCATGCTCATGGATTGTAAGAATCAATATAATTAAAATGGCCATACTGCCCGAAGCAATCTACAGATTCAACATTATTCCTATGAAACTACAAATGTCATTTTTTACAGAATTGGAAAAAAAACTATTCTAAAATTCATATGAAACCAAAAAGGAGCCTGAACAGCCAAAGCAAACCTAAGCAAAAAGACCAAAATACCAAAGCTGGAGGCATCACATTACCTGACTTCAAAGTATACTATAAGGCTACAGTAACTAAAACAGCATGGTACTGGTACAAAAACAGACACAGAGACTAATGGAACAGAATAGAGAACCTAATAAAACCAAAACACACATGCATTTGCACGTTCATCACAGCACTATTCACAATAGCGAAGACATGGTATCAACCTAGATGCCCATCAACCATGGATTGGATTTTTTAAATGTGGTACATATACACCATGGAATACTATGCAGCCATAAAAAGAATGAAATATCATCCTTTGCAGCAACATGGATGCAGCTGGAGGCCATTATCCTAAGTGAATTAAAACAGAAAAAGAAAACCAAATACCTCATGTTCTCACTTATAAGTGGGAGCTAAACATTGGATACTCATGGACATAAAGATAACAACAATAGACACTGGGGACTACTTGAGGGGAAGGAGGGAGGGAGACAGGGAGAAAAGGTTTAAAAACTAACTGTTGGGTATTGTTCTCAGTACTTGGGTGATAGGATCATTCCTACCCCACACTTCAGCATCACACAATATACCCAGATAACAAACTTGCACGTGTACCTTCTGAATCTAAAATAAAAGTTGAAAAAGGAAAAAAAGAAAAATGTAAAACTCATGGATGAATTTAAGACACAGTTGAGGAGAGAATTAGTGAACTGGAAGATTCAGTCAGAAGAAAATAACAAGAATGAAGCATAGAGAGATAAAGAACAGAAAATAAAGAAAAATGCTTTAAAAATATAGGAAATGGAGTCAGGAGCTCTATCACATGTATATTTGGAGTCTGAGAAACAGATAAAAGTGAAGATGGCCCAGAGACTTTATTTAAGGAGATATATTTTAAAAGGGCTCAAAATGTTGAAAGACATTAAGCCACAGATTTAAGAAATCCTATAAATACCATTTAGAAAATAGCAAGAGAAACCACATATGGGCACATTATAGTAAAATTTCCCCAAAAATAATAAAGATAAAATCTTCAAAGTAGGTTCTTGAAAACATACATTACATTCAAAGGAAAAAACATTAGACTGACAGCTGGCTCCTCAAAAGACAACATAAAAGCCAGAAAACAATGAAATGATGCTTTTGACTCTTGCTGGCAGAAAATAATAGCTGACCTAAAAATCTGTATTTCATAAATACCTTCTAAGAATGATAGTATAAAAAAATTTTCTGATAATCAAAAACTGATAGAACAAAGAAGTAAATCACACAATTGTAATAGATTTAACTTCTTCTTCCTCAATAACTGAAAAGATAAATGGCTTTTTTTAGTTGGGGGAGTGTTTTAAAACATTAGAACAAGAAAGCTAACAAATTTGTCTTGTATCACAACTATAGAATACACTTTGTTTTTAGATACTCATGGAAAATTTACGAAAACTTAGCATATGCTGGGCCATAAAGCAACTCTCAGCAAATTGGAAAGGATTGAAATCATTCAGAGTTTTTCTCTGACCTGAGTGCAACTAAACTAGAAATCAACAATAAGAAGTTAAGTAGCAAACCCCCATATGCCTAGAAATCGAGGTATATACTTCTAAACAGAACATTAGTCAAAGAAAAAATTTTAATTAAAATTATATATACTTTGAACTGAATGATAATGTAATTGTTTTCTATGGCTGCATAACAGATTATTACAAAATTAGTGTCTTACGACAGCACCCATTTATCATCTCACATTTTCCATAGCTCAGGAGCCTGGGCAAGGCCCAACCGGGCCCTTTGCTCAGGGTCTTACAAGACTAGGAGCAAGGTGTTGGCCTCATCTGAGTTCCAGTCCTCCTCCAAGCTCCCCGGAAATTGGCAGAATTCATTTGCCCTTAGCTCCTTGAGGCCACCCACCACTTTCCACCACAAGGCCCTCTCCACAGCACAGTAGTTTGCTTCTTCAAGGCCAGTAGGAGAGCATCTCTCCTGCTTTGAATCACTCTGGTCTCTTAGCCTCTTTATAGAGGCTCTCCTGATTAGCTCAGGCCCAATGAGATAATCTCCTTTTTGATTATCTGAAAGTCAATTAAGAACAAGTGCAGAATTCCTTCGCTTTATCCTATAACATAACTGATTTCAGTCAAAGATCCATCAAGTTCATAAGTCCTACTCATCCTCCAGGGGAAAGAAATACAGGTGTGTAAGCCAGGTGTGAAAATCATGGCTCTCCTGCAGAAGTCTGCCTCCCACTTTCAGCAAAATGGAAAATGTCAAAACAAGTGAGATTCGGCCAAAGGCAAAAGAAAGTGTATAGGCTTAGATATACGTATCAGAAAAGGAGAAATACTGAAACATTAATGAACTATACATCCATCTAATTTTTTTAAAAAAGAACAACAAATTAACCCCAAATAAAGTGAACATACTCTAGAAGGGAATCAACACAGACAAGAATGCATTCCTTGAAAAAACTTTGACATTAATCTCAAAGAAAAAAGAGCTCAGAAATCTATAAATAAAAGATAGATGGGTCCCTAGAAACATTTTTACACTCAGGTCAACACAGGTCCAGGTGCTGCTGTTGTCTGCAGGCTCACCTTGTTGCCATAGCAACAGCTACATCTGCCTGCTGCCTCTCCTGCTTCATCCTCTGGGCCCACGGCCAGGTAGTTGTGAACCTGAGACACAGGGTCCCCACTACTCCCACAGGTTACCTGCATGTCACAGTCAGAGGCTCGCAGGTGGTAAGAGCCCAACTTGGATTCAAGTTCACCCTCATGCCTTCCAGATGTACATGCAGGTTCCTGTTTCTCTTCGTCCCCATGTCACATCTGTCTGTCCTGCCTGACTGCCTGCCTGGCCAACTTCAGGCTCTGAAATGGACACAGAAGCAACAGCCTGATGGACACCGTTTCACCAGCTCCACAACTGCCCCAGGCCAAGTCCCTATCAAATACCTCCATATGCTATTTCTCTCCTAGTGGTTCTAACTCTCTGCTGAACCCCAACATCTGCACTCATAAGACATGAAAACTGGGAGGGAACCAAATGTCCATCGGGTGGAAGAAGGGGTGAGTCCCTTATGCTCTGTCATGAAAAACTATTTAGCATTGAAAGTAAACGGACTACAGCAAATCAGAATCACACGGGCGAATCTTTGAATCACAATGTTGACTAAAAGAAGCCAGGCAAAAAAGAATGCATACTATATAAGCCACCTGTCTAGAAACACAAAAGTGAGGCAAAAAAGAATGCATGCTATATAAGCCACCTGTCTAGAAACACAAAAGTGAAATAGGCTGCCAGAAGTCAGGACCATGCTGTTCTCTGAGGAGAAGAAAGAAGATTTCAACCGAGCTGTGACAAGATTTCCCGAGATCCCCTCTCTGTAGTCACTAAGGGATCTCCACATTCGGACAATATGCTGAACTGTGACAAGATTTCCCACCATCCCCTCTCCGTAGTCGCTTAAGGTTGTCCATGTTTGGACAATTTGCTGAGCTGTGCTTTTATGTCGTGCTCGCTTTTCTCAAGCTTGTTATTCCTCAACAACAACAACAACAAGAAGGCCAAATACCGGGGAAAACCCTGCTAGATGGAAAGCCCCAGGGGATGGGAGCTCCACCCACCCCGCAGGTTCCGTGCAGCTGGCCTGGCGCACATGTGCAGTCATCCTGGGTGGAGGAAAGGAGTCGCCGTCAGCAGGGAGGGCATGCCTCCTGCGTGCCTAATCCGGCATGATTTGTAGCCTCCTCTCACACACTTCATCACGTTCTACAATCTTGTTTCTCAATTTTCTTTGCTATCTGATACACCCATGAATCTGTCAAAATATTCATCTTACTCTGTTCTTTATGCCATCAAAATAACAGCTTCAGTGGCATCAAATATACAAGCTGTGAGAGAAGACCAATATTTCTTATATCTAGAATGCCCTGGCCCATTAAATTTTCTGGTTGATTCCAGTGCACGACCTGACTTACCAATTCTCAGAGAATTAGAAAACCCATTCTGAAATTGACCTCAAATTTCTTGATCCCAAAACTCACTAGTTGACCCCAAAAGCTCACCCCCAAGGCGAAGGCCATTTGAGGCTCACCTGTGCTATCAGCCCACCTGACGCCGTAATCCCGGGCAGGGAGTGAAGGAGGAATCCATCTGACTCCATTTGTGACTTAATTCCACAGGTGGCTTTTGATAAAACCTCTGGCTTTCACCCAACTTCTCAGGGGCAATTTTGACCTGGGAATCTGGCCCTTCTCAAAAGTCATCATGACTTTATGGAAATGAGAAAGTGACAAGAAAGAAAAACAATGAGGACAGGAAGACCCCCGACCTGCTGGCAAAGACAGCTGGTAATCAAACCATTTCAGTAAGCCTCATTAACACAAAATAGTTAAGCCAAAGTCATACTGATCCATATTCACTTTATCTTAAAATTTCTTTAAAAAAATAGGATAAGAATCCAATTACAACATTATTCATAATAGTCAAAATGTGAAAACAACAGGAATGCCCATCAACTCATGAATGGATAAATAAAATGTGGTCCATCCATACAATGGAGCTAAGAAAAGGACAGAAGTACTGAGAAATACTACAAGACAGATGAATCTTGAAAGCAGTATGCTAAATGAAGAAGGCAGTCACAAAAGCCTACGCACCACATGACTCTATCTACGGGAAACACCCAGCAGCCAGTCACCGAAGGCTACACACCGCACAACTCCGTCTACGTGAAACGCCCAGCGCAGGCGTGCCGGCACATGGGGTGATGAGCGTGCTCTAAAGGTGATCGCGGTGACAGACTGCATAAATCTAGGATTCTGCCAATACCCTGAATTGTATACTTTCAGTGGGTGGGCCGTACGGTGTGCTAATTTCGTCTCAATAAAGCTGTTATAAAAAACAAGGAAGGCGCCCTGCTCCTTTTCATTCCAGCCTTGACGGTGTGCATGTTATCAATTTGATCTGGAATTAAAGTGGCCTGTCTGGAATGTTTGACAAGTAAACTTTCCTCATGCACGATACATCTGACCTAAAACAATAGCAGCAGGCAGCTGCGGAGGGCAGTTTACTCCATCACCTGAGGGCGAGAGCCCTGCACATTAACAGCAGGACGGTTCACTGAAGCAGGTAATGGATTGGTCGGTGGAAACAAGAAATCTTTGTGGGAATGGGTGTGATTATTCATATAGTCTGCTTGCTAATTGTGGCTCTGTGAACAGTATTTTCAGTGCCTTTGAGAGCCCTGAACGTCAGGGGTTCCACCAATGGCCTAGCAAACACAGAGGCGCGCTGACGGCTCAGCTCTGGGGCCATCTGACACGTGGCTGAACTTGCACAACTGTCTAATCCTGTGTTTCCACACCACTTGTGACAGTGAGCGTTGCTTGACAGGGGTTTATGCAAGGACAACGTGTGTGCGCCTACGCCGTGTGCACGTGTGTGTGCCTGTGCATATCTTGGCCAGTATGTCAGCACACACTCCACGCACTCCAGGTTGGCTCATGTCAGTGTGTTCTTTAAGCTCGAAAGAACCTAAAGGGGAAGACAATGCCTGATGAATTCCCTGCATATGGGGCCAAATAAACATAGTCTAGAGGGCTGAACGGTTTGTGGGTTCCTTTTTTACAATCCCATCCTCGAATGGCAAAAGTGCGTGTTCATCTTGCAGGATTTTCTTTATAGGATTGCCTTCTTGGAGAAGCCCCTCATGGGAGGTCCTGGCAGCAGCCCTTCCCTGTCTCATCAGGATGGGTTGACTGTCCTGGCTGGTGTTTCCTGAAGGGCTGGGCAGGGATCTCTGTACTCAAGAGACAGAGACCATGGGAAGCGCTTGCTGACCTGATGCCAGGCCAAGTATACCTGGGGAAGCCAGGAGAAGACCTGTTTTCCCGGGGTCTGAAACGGCTGCTGAAGGCAGGGAAGGGGCTGTCCTCCCAGGTAGCCCCGAGAGTCTCTTCTGCTTTTCTGCCACCACCCCGAGGGTCCACGTACCCTTGGACGGATGACCCCAGATTATCCCAACCCAGATGTTCTGTCTCCTCTTCCACAGGATTCCCAGGGCTCTGACCCGACCCTAGCTGAGCACCAAACTGAGAACTTTGAAAATAAACTGCACCTTTGAAAGCAAAAGGGACACGCGGCAGCAAGAGGCAAAACAAAGCTGATGCTGGAGGTGGCATCCTTGATTTCCAATTAAGAAAAAGCGGTCCTCCGATACTTTGCACTTATTAAAGGTATTCCTGCTTTACAAACAGCTTCCCAGTTTAGTGGGTTGTAAATGTTTTTAAAAATTAGGAGGTAAGACTGTCCTTGCAGTCAGAGGTCTGCTACTAAGCTGCAAACCAGCGAGATCAACCATGCCAAGCATTTTAAGAACTCACTTGATTTTATTTACATTTGGCCCTTGTAGAAGGAAAAAAATTAGTAAAGGGAGATTTTTAACTTAATCAAATCTGGGGGGAAAATAATAGATAATAGATTCAGTGTCACCTTGAAGACGTCAGCCTGCTACTATAATGTAAGTCAAACCTGCCTCGGCGGTGGCTTACTGAGCCTGGCGTCACGTGGGCAACCTCCCCTCCAGGCACACAGGTGCCTGCAGGTGTCCAGGTCCTGTGCCAGCCAGGATGCAATTTCTGGCTTCGCAGCTTTGCCCACGTGCACACAGCCTCCAAGGCTTTGGGGGTGCTGCCAGGCTGGAAGTGTGGCGTGTCCAGGAGTGCACCCAAGCCACACCACTAGGGCAGGGACGTCTGATCCATCAGACGCAAACCTAGATTCCAGCTCAGCCACGTGTTGCAGGTGTGATCTTGACTGTTCCTGAAATCCACGAGCCAGCACTTCTTTATCTGCAGTTAGGAATCATGATGCCAACTTTGCAGAGATGTCGAGAAGAACAAAAGGATAGCTTCATAAAGAGTCTGCCATGTAGGAAACACACAGAAATCGCTGCTATTGGTTTGCTTGGGAAGAACAGCTTCTGAGCCCAGCTTGAACAGCCGCTGCTTCTCCACACCAAGTTTACTGCAATGGTGAGTCAAGAAGCGAATGCTTTCCCCGGACCTCCACGAAGATGCCGGAAACTTTTCTGCTCAACTTTGCAAGGGGCCATCTAAGTGCCACTTAGAGACGGAAGCTCTGACCCAACCCCACAGGGATGTTTTTTCCTTTCATTCCTTTGCTCTGAACACTTGGCCGTATGCTGTGTGCAGCAGAGACAGGACTCAGGGAAGAGACAGGTGCCTGCCACCACTGTTGGTCTTCGTCTTCCGGCGTCTGAAAGTGGCGATCATGGGTATATCGGCCAGCACTTTGAAAAACAGGTCTCTCCAACAAAAGCAACTGAGACATAAAACATCTGTCCAGAAACCTGGGGGCATTGCTGGTGTCATGAGGTGGGGTCACCAGGCGTCTGGAGCCTTCGACCTCAGCCGCAGCAGCAGCAGCAAAAGAAGCCCCACAAAATCGTCGCCGTCCGAATCTGCGACCAGCAGCCCCTTCCTCCGATCCTGACTCATTGATCAGCTTACTGGCTCCGTGAGCCGCCACAACGCCCTAATGCAGAATGATGCCCTCCAGAGGGGCAGGGTGTTCACGAAGTCTTTGCTGACTGGTCATCCCGGGAGGGCCTGGGTCTAGACTGGCAGCAGGCGTTAACCCTTCTCAGGCATAGACTCAGTAGGTCCCTTTCCCCTGACCCCCGGATGACCTCGTGTTTTCATCTGAAGGCATGAGTGCTTGCGGAACGCGTCATCACTGGGGTCATTGTCCATCCACCCAGGCCACATACATTGGTTATCAAGCCATCACAGCTCTGGTTCTGAAGATCCCCTATCACAGTCAGCCGATTTCAAGATGTTAAATGTTTCAACACAATTTTTCCCTCATTCCTCTGTACTCTAACATATTAGCAAGCATAGAAATAAAGTTACTACAAACAGCTGGTCTAAATTATTCTTCAAGTTTATCTTTGTAAACACCCTCTCTGGGTTGCAGAATATGCATATTTTCTATGCTCCACATTTGGCTCCATAGACATTGTTATGAGTACTGTATGGTATGGTTAAAAATGTTTCTCTTTCATTTCGGAGTCTTTAATTTTATGTTTGAGCTCTGCATAAAAATAGCTTGTAATTGCTTTTTGACAGTAATAAGCCTAAGATTGTGACTCAAAAATTTGAGATATTATGTTCTTTTGTAATTGTATTCAATGAACACATAGTTCAATATGGAACTTTAAAAAAAAATCCCCAGCTTGTGCAGTTCCTTCATTGTACTGACACCACGAAAGTGACAGTGAGAGTCGGTGAACCAGGAGGCCTGATGAGGACTCACACTTACTTGTTAAGAAAGCTCGTTTTTATTGAGAGAAAAGCCATCTTTACACAAGCTGCAGTGTCTATGGAAGAGCTGAAAACTCAGAGCCTTCAACCCTTGTCTCCTCACCCTCAGCTTGCGTTGCACCTCATGGCATCCTGTGGAGCTGAGCAACAGTGAGATTCAAATTCTCTTATCTCATCTCAGGGACAATTCCACCAGAGAGTTCAACAATCAAATGGTGTGTAATACAAATAAAATAAGGCCAGACATTGAAAGCCAAAAGCATTGTACACCTCCCAAGCGTGAATTGAGATGAATACTGTTCTAAGAAATTACACAGAGATGGTGTGAGGTGTTAAAAATTGGCTAACATGTTTCTCAGGGAAACTGAAATCAGATAGGATATTCTAGAAACATAAGAGAACAAACTCCATCAATGTTGTCTCATCAACATCAATCCACATAGACTTTTTATTTGTTCTTTTCTTGTCAAACTTAAATTTCTTCCATAAATATAGCTTCACTTTACATTTCAGCTAACAGCGTTAAGTGGGAAGGGTCCACAGGTCCAGCAAGCTGCCACAATTTAGAACCTGCCACTCTGTTTTCATTAAATTCACTGCCATTTCTCTCAGCAGCAAGAAATAATGTAGAACAGTTTTTAGATATATCAATTAATATCAGAAAGATAGGAGAAAAGGATGGTTTTAACAGCTAAAGTCCAGGAGAATAAAATGTAGCTAAATCATGTTTTTCCTCTCAGGCCAGTGCCTCTGTTGTGATGGGCCTGAGCATTCAACAGAGACATTCAAAGCCACGGAATGTGATTTCCACTTTAAACTTTCCCCCGATGACCAACCGCCATGCACTTTCCTCCAAATATCAATAGAGCAACCAAAGCTGAGGCCCAGCAGTCTTCCTTCTAAGCTTCCAAGGCAACAGAATACATTTTTGTTCATGTACAAAATAGAAAATAGGGAGAAACACAACTCGTTTTTAATGAATTACATAAGTTTAAACACTTTGAGTCTATCAAACAAGGTCATGCTGGCAAAGAACAAAGCACACAGCTCGCACAAGGGAGGTACTCAGGATGAGATGGTGATGGCGATGAGATGACCACCATCGAAACACTGCAAAGCCCCTCCACAGCGAAGACAATAATGATGACCATCATGGGGGTGGTGCAGGCCCTGGAGACTGTGAAGACCATCATGATGATGATGATGACCATCGTGGGGGTGGTGAGAACCCTGGAGACTGTGAAGCCCTGGCATGGTGATGATGATGACCATGACCATCGTGGGGGTGGTGGTGACCCTGGAGACTGTGAAGCCCGTCATGATGAAGACAATGACGATGACCATCGTGGGGGTGGTGGGGACCCTGGAGACTGTGAAGCCCCAGCATCATGATGATGATGATGACCATCGTGGGGGTGGTACAGGCCCTGGATACTGTGGAGCCCATCATTATGATGACAATGACCATCGTGGGTGTGATGGGGACCCTGGAGACTGTGAAGCCCCAGCATCGTGATGATGATGATGACCATCGTGGGGGTGGTGGAGGCCCTGGATACTGTGGAGCCCGTCACGATGATGACGATGACCATCGTGGGGGTGGTGTAGGCCCTGGATACTGTGAAGCCCGTCATGATGAAGATGATGACGATGACCATCATGGGAGTGGTGGGGACCCTGGAGACTGTGAAGCCCCAGCATCGTGATGATGATAATGACCATCGTGGGGGTGGTGGAGGTCCTGGATACTGTGGAGCCCATCATGGTGATGATGATGATGACGATGACCATCGTGGGAGTGGTGCAGGCCCTGGATACTGTGGAGCTCGTCATGATGATGATGATGACCATCGTGGGGGTGGTGCAGGCCCTGGATACTGTGAAGCCCATCATGATGAAGATGATGACGATGACCATCATGGGGGTGGGGGGGACCCTGGAGACTGTGAAGCCCGTCATGATGAAGATAACGATGACCATCATAGGGGTGGTAGGGTGGTACCTAAGGTCCTGAATATTGCAAATCCCCTAATGCCCATGGTCTCCTTGAGGCAGATAACCTAGACTTTAGATAGCTCGGTATTTCTTACATCACTTGTGCCAGCCACAAAGGAATTTGAGACCCCACTCACTCTTCTGGATCCTTCTTGATAGAAACTTACCCTGGAATAAGGTAAATAGTTTTACCCATTGTATTAGGTAATGCTAGTTGCTGTTAAAAAATAAATCCAACATCTCAGTGACTGAATCTTCTCACAGCTTTTCTCTTGCTTAGGTAGCTGTCCATAGCAGATATCTCCTCTCTGTGTTGGCCCCCATCTCCCTGAGCCTGGAGTCCTCTGCATTGGCCAGAGGAGAACTCACACTGCAGGAAGCCCTGTGCTTCCCTGAGATGCCCCACGATGCACTGTGGGGACAAGGTGGCGGCTCCACCTGGGTGGGGGGAGCTGGGCTGCAAACTCCTGCCCACCCCCCTCCCCCTGCGGGCTCCAGGAAAGGGCCATGTATCTCCAGTGGACAAGCCACCATCTCAGAGATGCTCTCCATTTCTGTCATATATTCTATTATTATTTTCTATTCTCAAAGACAGCCTGATAGCAGATGTCCTCAGGATTCCACAGGATGAACTGTCCCTGTAGTTCTGAAGTGTTGAGTCTGAGTCTCCTGATGGGAGACTTGTTACAGGAGCTGTGCCACACTGTTGGGATCACGTCAGTGTTTCATGCCAGAAGGTTCCACACAGACCATTATTTACCGGAGTCAGAACAGTCTCGGTGAGACGGCTCCTCAGCTGCTTAACCATGCCAGCGCCACCCAGACAGTCTCAATTCTCATGGAGGTTCCAGTCTCCATCTGTGGGCCTCGGCCCCAACAGCTGACTGTCTGCAGCATTAACACTAGAGGGGCTGGGGTCTTCGATGCAGCCCTTTTGAATGACTCCACCCTTCTTTCTCTAGGGATTATTTTTTTCTGTGTCTCTTAGATCTACGAAGCCAAAGGCCTCTCAGCTCTGGAATTAGATGGAAGAGCAATCCTGGTTAATGAGGATCCTCCAGGAATGGTGTCTGGGGCCTGCCTGTCCCCTGTACACACGCAATGCCAGGCATGAAGTCACCAACTCCCTGCAGAGAGACATGCACACAGGACACAGGGCTGTGGCCCTTCCCATGGGTGCGACCTTCCCGCCCTCCTGGCTGGCCCATGTTCATAAACACAATTTTCTCTAAACTATCATACCATATACCATCACCTCTTTAGGTATTCAGATTTTGCCTAGGATTTTCTTTATTAACAAGAAAATGTTTACTACAATGAACAATTCTGACTCGTAACAACAGTATCCCCTGAGCACTTTAGTCTGTCACGGCATGCGCCCCTCAGGGCCACATCAGTGCCACGCTGTCTGGGCGGCAGCTGTTCCAGAACCTGCTCTGGGTAATGATGTTCGGCAGACACACAGATCCATGAGTGCTGAGGCTAATTATGTAATAAGGGAATCACTCTTAAAATTTTATAAACGTTAATATAGACATTTAACTTCAATTTCTTTGAAAGTTAGGTAGGAAATGAGAATTCTACTAGTGCTAGTACCAAATGCTCACTTTTATACAGAGGTTTTAAAATGTAGGGCCTTGCAAATCTAATGCTGTATTCATGCTGCAAATTACTCTCCTTGGCATTGAAATATCACTGCAATTAAACCTGCAGTAAAGTATTACAAAAAGCCCTTGACTGTTTTCAAACAAAATCGTGCAGCTCTTCAGAACGCTGTGCGTTGAAGGGCGAGCCATCTACTGTGTAATTCATTTTTATTATCTGCTCAACATTCCTCCAAAACAGTTTGTTCTTTCCTTTCCACAGCGTGGATACTTAGCTTTCCAGAGCTGGTGTCCATCGTGAAGAACGCGGCTGCCCTCACCAGCTCCTACTCGTGGGGTGGGGAAGGGGTAGTTTCCCCTGCCAGCATCCACGCCCCTGCCAGCATCCACGCCCCTGCCAGCATCCACGCCCCTGCCAGCATCCACGCACCTGCCAGCATCCACGCACCTGCCAGCATCCATGCACCTGCCAGCATCCACGCACCAGCCAGGCGCACTCCTCTGCTTCCCAGTTCCCTGATTCCTGGAATTAGAACTATTTCACCTATCGGCAAGAGAGACAGTGGGTCAGCCAGCGCCTACTGAGCGTTCTGTGCCGGGGATAACATGATGAGCAAGGCAGACAGGCCCTCTGGCCTCAGAAAACTTCTATTCTAGCGGGGAAAAAAAAGACATTAAACAAAGCACTGGAGCAAGCAAGCACCAGGAGTGCCGGGACAGAGAGGAGAGTGAGGCATGAAGGAGAGAACGGGCCAATCGGTCAGCCAGCAGGGCCCACGACCAGCCCCTGTTCTCCAGGAAACCAGCCCATCTCCCAAGGAGGATGAGGCACTCCATGAGGCCGGCCTTCCTGCTGGCCAATTCTGACTATGGGCCCTTCTGCCAGAAGCACTGGGTTCTGCCTGCTTTGTTCCTATTTAAGGACTGTCACCAAGAAGCCCACACCAGCAGGTGGGAGGCTGCCTGGGGTCTGTCCTTTCTCTGGTTTCTACACTGAGCTGACACCCAACATGGACCCTGTGTGTGTCCACAGTGGCTCTCCAGCCTGCCCCTCCTCCCCAGTCTGACAATCCACACTCAGATGGTGCCGGAGGTCTGAAGCTGTTCTCCCTCCCATCACATTCTTGCCCCTCCATTTATTTTCCAATTCTATGGAAATTCTAAAATACGACTCTCATTTCATTCCCTCACACTTGAAACTTTCCAGAGGCTCCAAGAGAAATGCAAATGCTCCGCAGGAGGCAGAGCTTGACTTCAGCCCTGCAGGGACACCCGTCACCTCCAGACACCACACGCCAAACCCCTGCAGGGGCACCCGTCACCTCCACTTACCACACGCTCCACCTCAGCCCTGCAGAGACACCTGTCACCTCCAGACACCACATGCTCCACCTCAGCCCTGCAGGGACCCTCGTCACCTCCACACACCACATGTTCCACCTCAGCCCTGCAGAAGCACTCATCACCTCCAGAAACCACACGCCAAACCCCTGCAGGGGCACTTGTCACCTCCAGACACCACACACTCCACTCAGCCCTGCAGGGACCCCTGTCACCTCCAGACACCACACACTCCACTCAGCCCTGCAGGGACCCCTGTCACCTCCACACACCACACGCTCCACCTCAGCCCTGCAGAGACACCTGTCACCTCCAGAAACCACACGCCAAACCCCTGCAGGGGCACCTGTCACCTCCAGAAACCACACATTCCACCTCAGCCCTGCAGGGACCCCCATCACCGCCAGAAACCACACGCTCCCCTTCAGCCCTGCAGGGCACCCGTCACCTCCAGACTCCGCATGCCGAATGCTGCAGCCACACAGAGCCACTCTTGCCCCCGAGTGGGACTCTCTCTTCTCTGCAGACCTGGGACACGCTTTTCGTCTGCTGAGAAAGCTCCTTCCTGCTGGTTTTCCTCACTGCTGCTTGGTCATAAACGTCAAGTCTCAGCTTGGGCCTTTTCTGACCTCTGTGTCAGGGCAGTGCCCACCGAGTTACCTCAGAGCATCTGTGCTTGCTCCAGTCACTGCGCGAATCCCACTGTTATTAAAATGGGGGACGGCGGGGTTAGATTGATCGGAGAGCAGGCTCTGACCTCCCACCGCCTGGGTTCGTGCTCCACACACCACAAGTAGCCGGCAGCCTCAGACAAGAAACTCAGCCCTGGGACGCCCAAGTATCTCTGTCCTGAGCCAAGCTGGGCTACAACCACCCCTGAGAGGAATGGCCCCTGACACATCAACACAGCCCTGGCATTGTGGGGACAGTCAAGTCCAACATGCAATTCTGAGTCTCCCTCCGCGAGGAAGGGAGGGGTCAGACTGTTGCCTTCCGACTGCTTCCCAAGGCCACTCCGGCCAGGAGCACCGCCACACAGCGCTCTGCAGTCCACCTCCCACAATCAGACTGCACCATTTCACACAGAACTCTTCATCCTCTGAGAACCAGTTGCCTACAGAGCCCCAAGATCTGAGCCCCAGCCTCTCACCTGCAAAGACATGTCTGCTTCAGACGTGGCAATGTTCTGCAGAGGCACAAAACCTGGGGGCCTCAAGGTGGGGTCAACCGAGTTGTGGGGGGTTCCTTGGGTGGGCACTTGCTTCCAGGGAGTGGTCTAGGGCCAGGGACTTTGTGGGGGCCTGTGTGTTTTCTTCCTTTTTTCTTCTTTCTCTGTTTTGTTTTTGAAAGAGAGCAGTAAAAAGGAGAAACAGCTCCAAAATCACAGTACTTAGCTACCCGAGGGCAACTGCAGTTAACCTGTCCATCTGATCCTGGGTCTCCAGAGCAGCCGTGAGATTTAAACTGGGGGTCCAAATAACAACTGGGGATGAAGAAGCGGAATTTCGCATTCAGGGGCACTTCCAAAAACATAATCTTCCATGCACGGAGCTATGTAAGAATGAAAGGACGGAGCTGACCTGCTGAGGGTGTTTAAAAGTTTCTGCTGTGGTTGCTGCATGTTGGGTGTGTGGTTGCATGTGCGTGCCTTTTCTTCTGAGCAGTTGGAGGCAGGACGACAAGAATCACCTCTTTTAACATCACAACACTGGCCTCCCCGTCAGCTTCCGACCCACACGAACCAGGCTCAAGACCCAGGAGTGTTGGATTAGGGGGTGTTGTTGCACTAGGGTGCCAGGCTGAAGCCCAGGGCCCAGACGATGCTGAGAGCTTGAGGACACTTCACTTGTTCACGTGCTTGCAAATATATAATGCAATGAACACAGATACGACGCCGCCTGCAATTTTCAACAGCGAATTCAAACCCCAACCAGAAGCAACGTGAGTTGAGAGGAGAAGCATGTGAGCAACCTTCCAAGGGTCTTCACAGCGGCCTCAGTGCTGTCCAGTGACAGTCCACGTTGTGATCCAGCCCGAGGGGTGGGGGACCTTGGCCTCAGCAGGGAGGGAGGATGCACCAGAGTGCCTTCAGCTCTAGCGGCGCTCACCAGCTTTCTCACTTACCACAGGCATCAAAATTAAGAGGATCTTTTCAAATGCTCAAGAGTCCGTACAAATTACACCCCGGGAAAGACAACGGAGATGAGAAACGTTCCTCAGTATGACAGGCACCCCCAAGCTCATCACCGAGCCTACTCCTCCACCTGTCCCCGGCGGGAAGCAGCTGGCCAGGGTCCCGGGGTGGGATGGGGGTGGAAAGGCCAGGAGAGAGGGACTGGTAGAGCCGTGAGGTGCAGAACAAAACCCGAGAAACCAGCCAGGAGTCAGAAGAGCCTTGTGTGCACCACAAAACCCGAGTAGGGACAATTGAAAGTGCCACAGGGCCACAAGGTGAGGAAGCTCCAGGAGTGAGGACTGGGGGGCCAGGAGGCCCAACCCTCCAAGGCATCACCAGCTTCCGCTGCCACGAGGAAGGGAAGGGGTGTCTCCTTTGCTCCAATCTCCTTTTCAACGATATCTGGAGATTCTCATCCCATTTGAGAACAAATCTGGGGAAGAAAAACTAAAAATAAAGAGAGATTTATATTTATGTCAGTTTGGCTAAAAAAAAAAAAAAAACAAGAGAGAAACATGAATAGATCAGTGGGTAATAACTAGGCAAGTTATATCACAATATGAGTGAATCTCCCCAGCAGAAACCAAATAACCAAATAAGTAGGCTTGCATGCCATCACCACACATCGATAACATGCACGAGCCAAAATCAGACACCACAGTTGACAACAAATACCAGGAACCTTTCTTTGAGCAAAAGCTGTTAGTCTGTTTAATCATCTTCCAGGAGAAAAGAGAGAAGCCCCAACATCTAGACGAATTTTGAAACTAGGCTAAGTAAAACACTAAAAATATACTCTGGAAGAATGCGGTACTTAACCCTGGGGGCTGGACCCAATTACCCACCCTCCTTCTCCATCTGTAATGGCTCTCGCTTTGTGCCATCATTTCATGATGCTAACCTCTCTACCTCCTGCAGCTCAAGGACACCCCATGCTTATGTACCAAGTATCACAAATTGTGCTTAATGACACAAAATAGGAGAACCAGGAGGGTACTCTATTTAAAGGAGGGTTCTTTTTCCATCTATGCATTTTGTTAGCACCTGATGTGTCCTTTCAGGGTAATTCTATCTGGGGTGAAAATAAAATGTTTGATGAGTAGATCTGCAGTTGGTCTACAATTAGACATTCAGGTCACATGGAATCCAAAAAACAGTAATACAAATTCTAATCTGTTTTCAAAGCTTTAACATTTGTGGGGCCAGGTACCGTGGCTTACACCTGTAATCCGAGTCCTTTGGGAGGCCGGGGCAGGCAAATGACTTGAGCTCAGGAGTTTAAGACCAGCCTGGGTAACATGGTGAAACCCCATCTCTACAAAAAATACCAAACATTAGCCAGGTGTGGTGGTGGATGCCGTAGTCCCAGCTACTTGCTGGGCTGAGGCCGGAGGATTGCTTGAGCCCAGCAGATCGAGGCTGCAGCAATCCAAGACCTCACCACTACGCTCCAGCGTGGGTGGCAAAGTCAGACCCCGTCTCAAACAAACAAATAAAAAATTTAACATTTCCCTTAATTTCTGCCATATTATTGAATCTTTTCTGCAGACTGTGGAGCTTTTATGATATTTGATGGGTTTAAAAGACCCTCTCTATGCTAATATAACTAACATAAGTAATAGAAAGACATGTTGGTAACATGCACAAATGTTCCACTACCTTAACACCACTTAGTTACATATTATAAGACAACGATTTTATTAATGCTTTCTGATACAATGTAACTCACAAGATGAAAATAGATCTAAAATATAGGTAATATATTTGGTTTAGTGGTTTTTGAAAAAATCATTCTTAAACCATTTTCTAAGAATTTGGGTCTCTTACATTTGAGTGGAAGTCACTTTTCTTAAAATTCAGTGACAATCTACAGCCATTGTGGGAAAGAGGCGTTCTGCAGCCCTGCAGCAGGCCTGTGTTCCAGGAGCCCCTACTTAAGAAATGTCTGGCTTCTGCCACCCCACCCTAGGCCTGAGCTTCCCGCTGGCTGCCGGACGCCGTCCTGCCAGCATTCTGCCTGACCTCAGCGGGGTCACCCCCGAACCTCACCCCATCGATGGCTCAGGCTGCCCCTCCAGGCCGCCGCCCGGCCTCATCACCCTCCCGCTCCCCACCAGGGTCCCACCCTCTCACTCCACTTTCCTCTTCAGTAGAGCACCGGGACTCCCTGTGCACCACCAGCCAAGCTAGACCCGGACATTTCACCCGGAGGATCAGGCAGGGTAACACCCCACTCATTTCATCCACCTGCTTAGAACTCGCCATGTCTCTTCATGGTCTTAGGCTGCAGAAGCCCTTTCCGAGCACGACGCAAGGGCCAGAAACAGAGCACACGAAACTTACAATTTTCTGCATCACAGCGAAAATCAAACAAACAAAAACAAAAAACAAAGTTAAAAGATAATTCTTTGGAGAAAATATTTATACGAATTACCAAAGAAAGGCTATTGTCTTTGTATATTTCATACATTAATATCCTTAGATTAGATTGTAAAGCCATAAGAGAAATATGAACAGAAAACCAGGCCACTGAATTTGTTTGGGGACATATTAAAAATTTGCATGTACTGAAACAAAAAGGTCTTTAGTTGAAAAAAAAAAAATTAAGAAACAAAATAGCATCACATGACAGGAACTTTTTTTGGTCTTTGAAAGTAGGAGTGTCATATGCAAAAGGGAAGAAAAGCAAACAAAATACGTCAAGTTATGTTAAATACGTCATGTTAGCAGTTGGCCGGGCAAGGGGGCTCACACCTGTAATCCCAGCACTTTGGGAGGCTGACACAGGAGGATTGTTTGAGTTCAGGTGTTTGAGATGAGCCGGGGCAACATAGTGACACCATGTCTCTACAGTTTTTTTTTTTTTTTTTGAATTAGCTGAGTGTGGTGGTACGTGCCTGTGGTCCCAGCTACAGGGGAGGCTGAGGCAGGAGGATGGCTTGAGCCCAGGAGTTCGAGCTTACAATGAGCTATGATTGTGTCACTGCACTCTAGCCTGGGTGACAGAGCAAGACCCTGTCTAAAAAGGAAAAAAAAAAAGTTGGGTAACAGTTACCTCCAATTGTAGAATTTTTTTTTATTATCGTCATGTTTTTTCTTTATGCATATCTGTGTGTTTTTAAAGTTTTGCAAGTAAAAAATTCTAAAATCTGTTGGCTCACATTCAAGACCCTCCAAGCCCCAGAAGAAGCTCTGTCTCTCCAGGTGCCACCTGCACTTCTCCCGCAGGAATCCCTTGCTGAAAGCTCCACACTGAACAGAGCTTTTCTCTCGGAAACTCCTGCCCACCTGTTCCACATACTGTAGACACATCCAAGAATTCTAAAAGAATAGAAGGAGGAATAGTGAGGAAGAGTTGGGTCAAAGTACCTTCCAGAAGATATCAGAAAGAGGTGAAAAAAAAAAAAAAATGCTGGGCGCGGTGGCTCACGCCTGTAATACCAGCACTTTGGGAAGCCAAGGCAGGTGGATCACTCGAGGTCAGGAGTTCGAGACCAGGCTGGTCAACATGGTGAAACCCCGTCTCTACTAAAAATACAAAAAATTAGCCAGGTGTGGTGGCACGCACCTGTAATCTCAGCTCCCCGTCTCTACTAAAAATACAAAAAATTAGCCGGGTGTGGTGGCATGCACCTGTAATCTCAGCTACTGGGGAGGCTGAGGCAGGAGAATTGCTTGAACCTGGGAGTCAGAGGTTGCAGTGAGCCAAGATCATGCCACTGCATTCCAGCCTGGGAGACAAAATGAGACCCTGTCTCAAAAAAAAAAGCGGGGGGAGGCTGGGTGCGGTGGCTCACGCCTGTAATCCCAGCACTTTGGGAGGCTGAGACGGGGGATCACCTGAGGTCAGGAGTTCAAGACCAGCCTGGCCAGCATGGCGAAGCCCCATCTCTACCAAAACTACAAAAATTAGCTGGGCATGGCGGTGCACACACCTGTATTCCCAGCTACTCAGGAGGCTGAGGCAGAAGAATCTCTTGAACCCAGAGGTGGAGGTTGCAGTGAGCTGAGATATACCACTGCACTCCAGCCTGGGTGACAGAGCGAGGCTGTCTCAAATAGAAAAGTGTGAAGAATGAGGGAATTTGACAGGCATGGTGGTGCACACCTGTGGTCCCAGCTACTCAGCAGGCTGAGGCGGGAGGCTCACTTGAGCCTGCCTGGTTGAGGCTACAGTGAGCCATGTTCATGCCACTGCACTCCAGCCTGGGTGACAGAGTGAGACCCTGTCTCAAAAAAAAAAAAGAATGAAGATAAAAAATATGGATGGGGAAAAAGGAGGCATCACTAAGAATCCAAACAGCAAACAGAAAGAAAAAGGGGTTGCATAAGATCCCGGAATATCCCGGGATGAAAACAGAAGCTTTCAAGTTAAAAGGAGTGTGAGTGCGACCTGGAGAGGGAAGGAGCCGCATGTATAAGCGTATTTTCACTGAAGGGAAGAACACGGGGCCCGCGAAAGCTGGACGGCCGGAGACCCGCGTTTCCACGTTTCCACGTTTTCGTTCCTGTGCTGTCCCCAGCAGACCAGGCACCATTTCACATCACGATCCCGCTGAGATCAAGGAGACCAGATGTCAGAAAATGCTTTAGAAGTATAGGTGAGAGATAAATGCAAAATAAAGTGTTTACTAAATCAGAGTCATTTTGGAAAAAAATGTTTACGGCTGGTATACTCAACCTGCACTTTAACATCTGTCTAAAGTATCTGTATCGAACACGGGGAGAAAATCCTACTTTACCATTACCTTTGAAATTAAAGTTTCCAGAGCCTTATGATGAAATTTATGTCAAATTAATTTCTGGGACTCAATGAAGCTTAAAATGAATTCATAATGAGGTACACTTAAGAGGTGTGCAGAGGGCCTTGGAGGGACTGATCAAAGAGGTCCCCTTCCTGCCATTAACTCTAATTTCGTGATGATGACACATTTTATCCGAGCACAACACATACTCTCAGAGATGATATGCTTTCACAATTACTGTATATGCAGGATGTGTGACCAAATGGAAGTTGACTATTGCTACATTATTATTAGCATTATTATTATTAGTTAATTGAGTATCAGCAATGTGCACAATCTTCTATGAGATATAATGAAAAGATGGCTCCTGTGTTGGAGATTTATGTCTTAATTTAGACATACTTATAATTCCAACATAACACATACAGCCTGAGAAAATGATTTTCTTAAAAGTGCAAGATTTCCTAAAACTGTATGGTTCCTAATGACAGCTCCCTGCTTCCGACTGAATGTCAGCAAAGAGCAGTATTTAAGAGGCTGCACCTTCAGACAAAAGATTTTCTATTCTTCATATTTAAATATTAAAACTCTTAAAAACATATCTTAAATGAATTTAGGAAATTCTTCAGCAAAAAGAAATGTAGAGTGCTGTAAAGATCCTAAAAAAGTGTGCCATTTCTTATTCACTTTTCATGCAGTGGACACCTTGATTTCATGATTACATTTGGGCTGAAAAGCTAAAAATAGAATATATTGTTTGATTCTTCCAAATCACAGATTCTTAACGAGAGAAATAAGATTTATATTCTTAGGTAGTCTGCCTTCCTGAACAACACACATCCAACAAGAAACAGGCGGATAATATTAACGGCACTTGTGATCTAAGCAAAGTCTCATCATTTTTTTTCACCTCCATTTTGAGAAAATGCCAAACAAAGCCAATTTTACACACCTGAGAACAGAGAAGGGAGGAATCATGGGACCTTCACACTCCGAACAACAAGCGGTCCCATCCTGAACGGGGCGAGGCAATGCCCTTGGGCTGTAAGGTGGGGTGCCGACGAGAAATAAGCTCTACAAAGCAAGGTTTTGTTGCCTAGCTACCTTAGATTGGACCAAAAGCACACACTGAACAAGAAACATACAACGTTCTCCCTGTGAGGAATGAGACACTTTCTCCTCCAGCATCAACGCACTGTCACTGGGCAATTGATATGTTATTAGTCGAGTGGACAATGTGATGTTATTTATATCAATGTTAGAAGTATGGATCCAACATTATTCAATAGTATAAATAATAAAGACAATTCAATAATTATCTGGTCATACTGGTAATTCACAAGACAGCTGTAAATCTTGAAAGAAGCTGTACGTCATTTTCGTTGACTGCCAGGAAGTGCATGGTCACGCCTGCCACAGGTCTTCAGAGCGCCTGTGGGCCTGCATGGGTCCCTCAGTGAGTAAGTCTTTTCCATCTCATCTTTCCCGCCTCTGCTTCCCATTGTACTGATATTTCCATTTATTCTTTCAATGTCTTGTGCTCTGACCTACAACCTCGAATGTGTCATTGGAACATGTCATAATATAAGCCTGTATACAATGAGCCAAGTAAAACTTTTTCTTGAGTCAGAGTCTTACTCCGTCACCCAGGCTAGAGTGCAGTGACACAATCTCGGCTCACTGCAGCCTTAACCTCCTGAGTCAAGCAATCCTCCCACCTCAACCTCCTGAGTAGCTGGGATTACAGGCCCATGCCACCAGGGCCAGGTAATTTTTGTATTTTTTGTAGAGATGGGATTTCTCCAAATGGCCCAGGTTCCTGAACTCCCGAGCTCAAGTGATCGCCCTCCTCAGCTTCCCAAAGTGCTGGGACTACAGGCGTGAGCCGCAGCGCCCGGCCCTAAATCAGTTTGGATGCTCACTGTGACATCTTTACCGCGGGCATGTGCCGCATTGCTACATTGTTTATTAACTGCAGGAGCCAGATCTTTGTTTCCATCCCTCAAAATACACAAAATCTCAATTAATAAGCTTTCAGTTAGATATCTATAAAACAGTGTCAACTCACTGCATTCGCTGCTCAATTAATGCACTGTCATCGCTTGTCAGAGCAGCTCGTCCATGGGTTGGACACCCTCATGTCCGAGAATTCCGGAACATGCACACACATCGCCAAGAGGCTGAGCCAAGTATCATTTTAAAGTCTTCCTAGATTTTGAAAAATGATGGTTCCTTTTACATGTTTGCAAATTAGAACATCATTATTTCTAGGAACCAAAGCATGACGCTGGGAAACAAGCCATAGCTCAATGAAATACACACCACAAAATCAGCAAATCTGGGCATAAAATATTTACAGGCCACCAGCTGAAATGGAGAGCACTGCCTGACCTCCACCCCAGGCCGAAGCCCCAGGCCCTCCAGCTCCTATCCGAGGGCCTCCAGTTCCTGCCCCAGGCCCTCCACCTCCAGCCCCAGGCCTCCAACTCCCACCCCAGGCCTCCAGATCCCACCCCAGGCCTCCAGCTCCAGCCCCAGGCCCTCCAGCTCCTATCCCAGGGCCTCCAGATCCCACCCCAGGCCTCCAGTTCCCACCCCAGGTCCTCCAGCTCCAGCCCCAGGCCCTCCAGCTCCTATCCCAGGGCCTCCAGATCCCGCCCTAGGCCTCCAGTTCCCACCCCAGGTCCTCCAGCTCCAGCCCCAGGCCTCCAGCTCCTGCCCCAGGCCTCTAGCTCCAGCCCCAGGCCCTCCAGCTCCCATCCCAGGGCCTCCAGATCACACCCCAGGCCTCTAGCTCCTGCCCCAGGCCCTCCAGCTCCAGCCCCAGGCCTCCAGCTCCTATCCCAGGCCTTCAACTCCTACCCCCGGCCTCCAGCTCCCACCCCAGGCCCTTCAACTCCCATCCCAAGGCCTCCAGATCCCACTCCAAGCCTCCAGCTCCTGCCCCAGGCCCTCCAGCTCTGGCCCCAGACCTCCAACTCTCATGCCAGGCCCTCCTTCTGTCACCTCAGGCCACAGCCCCAGGCCATCCAGCTCCTGCCCTAGGCCTCCTTCTCCCACCTCAGGGTCTCCAGCTCCCACCCAAGCCTCCTGCTCCCACCTCAGGGCCTCCTGCTGTCAGCCCAGAATCTCCAGCTCCCCCCAGGGCCTTTAGCTCCCACCCCAGGCCTCCAGCCCCTGCCCCAGGCCCTCTTGGTGCCCAGCTGGTCCTTGGAACTGGTGTGAAGAGCAGCCTCATTTGTAACCACTATTTGACTAGGGAAACAAAGACTGATATTTGCTCAAAAACACCTTTACAACAAAAGTCAGTAAAAATATGTTTTCAAAACAATCCTGCAATCATAATAGACAGCCACACTGCCGAAAAAATGTCTTCCAACACATCCACGTCTTCAGGGTTTGGGGTTTTTCAACCAGTGATGGACACAGCTATAGCTGCCCTCTGTCCAAAGTCATTTCCACCTGCGGCACGTGAAGGGTGAGAGTGCAGGGAGAGGCTCTCCTGTTCCAAGGCCCTGCACCCACTCCCACGGCTGCCTCTGCCCTCCCAAGAACCAGGCCCACCGCCCTCCCAGCAGAGCAGTGACCAGAGCGGCTCAGAGCAGGACACAGCTTGGAGGGAAGCCTGGCCACGCACAGAGCCCGTGGGACTCCATGAGGGTTCCTGTGGTTTCTGAAATTCTTTCACTGAAGATTCCAAAATCACTGCTCAGGGAACCATGCATGAAAATTCAAAAATCTCCACAGACTTGGCTCCTGAGCCACCAGATTTACCAGTAACATCTCAGCACAAAACAGACAGGGAGTTGATAATGTGGAAGAAGGAAAAGAATATGGGATTTATCCTGGCCAAGGGCACAGTGCATGTGGGGACCAGGCCAGGCCTCGAGGCAGCCCCACTGCTCCACACCCTTCTCATCCGACTCTCCAAATCCCCTGCCAAGCACTTGCCTCCAGTCTGGGGCCCAAGAAACGCATGTCTGTGCACACGTAGCTGGGCCAGGAGCTTCCCTTCTGCACCATCCGCGATGCCTGCCTCACCTGCCTGGCAGCCACAGCTGTTCTCAGGCCTTCCAGGGCCTGCATGTGTGCAAACTCCACCTTTCCCCAGACGAGGAGTCTGGAACTGAGTCTAAACAGAGTTCCGTCATGGGCCGGTGCACGGCTGCAGAGCGTGCACGCAGTCCTCCCCACCGGGACCGGGGGTCAAGGAGGCTCTGACCCGGCCCAGGGCACCCAGGAAACATGCCACTGGGCTGCTCCCGCTTCTGCTGGCACCGTGGGCTGTGAGCCGGGCCGTGTGCCCAGCGTGCATTCTGGGGTCAGGTGTCTCTGCTCCAGGGCTCCGCTCAGCCCGAGGCTCTTCCTCAGTGCTCCTCCCCACAGTCTCTCCTCCGCCCTTGACCTTCACTGTGGCAGGGCAGCCCCCACTCCCACCCCTGCTCACAGGGACCCCCATCAGGAAAGCTTTCAGTGCCTAATTTCATTTTGGCATCTTCTTCCCAGATGACCCAAAAACCACAGATGGGGAAAAAATTCATCTTCGTTTTCACCAACCTCAAACTGAGATTTCGAATGTCTTCGACTACGAAAGCGGGCAGTGCACCGCAGTGGTGTTGCAGGACCTGCGCCCTCAGCAGGGGGAAGTCACAGGTCTCTCCCTCCCACCTGAGATGTTTGTGCCACGGCTTCCAGTTCAGTGGCCGCAAGACTCACGGCTGGGTGTTGTCATATAATGCATCCATTAACAGCACGTGTGAAATACTAATTGTATTTCAATCTGATTCCTTGGTAGTTCTGTGTATTTTATTTTGTGCATTTCTAAATTCTTCTGGGAGGGGTGGATAGGCCTCGCCAGACTCCCAAAGACTTCCCCACCCGTGAAGGTCAGGAACCTGACATCCCGCCAGCCACGTTCACATCCCAGCTCCACAAAGAGCCGGCCCGAGGGTAAAACTGTTTAAAACAGCCTCCACCGGAGAATAATGGCAACAAGTCAGAAAGGTTTATTCTCTTTATTCTTCTGGAGCTAGGCCCCAAGGACCACGGCAAACGCCAGCCCTGTGCTGCCTGCCCCAGGCTCATTCTTCTCCAGCTGGGAGGGGTGCAGGCCCCCCTCCTGCTGGTCCCTGGACATCCCCACCAGGTGTGGCTTGCAGGAGCCAGCCGCCGCGGAGCCCAGGCCTCCACTCCGTGTAAGCCGGCCAGCTAGTCAAAGGACATCATTTTTCAATTCACAGAAAGCTGCCATTTTCCTGCTTCAGGTTTCCGCGAACTCCACGGCAGGAGGAAAGCCGAGCTCCCTTAAGAGCATCCGCCTTGGAAGCACCATCGCTGCCCATTTTCCACCTGGCTTCCCTGTCCCGGGGCTGCACGCTGCTCCTGCATCCTCCCTCGCATTTGACCAGCGATGCTCACAGGCGTCCAGTCCTCCTGCCAGGGCCACCCCGCGCTGGCACGGGCCCCTGGTGGAAGGCACAGACTCCAAAAGCCATTCCAAGCCAAACCCCAGCGTGGTCCAGGCTCCTGCAGATGCGGCACGCACACAGCTGCGCGTGCCTCCTCCCCGCGCGAGTCGCCCAGCCGCCTGTTGTGCCTTTGCCTGAGGTCGGTGCAGTCTGCGCCCTCCCCGCGGCTTCCTGTCTGTGCCAAGCTCCCCGCTGCGCCTCCGCGGGTCTCTCTGCGGGTCAGTGCAGCAGCTCCAGGTAACCACCTGCATCCGTTTTGTGTTCGGTTTGCTCCTGATAGCCACGTCTTGGAATTGTTTCCTGAGTGTTTATCACCACACGGCGCGAGCAGGCAACTGCAAACCCAGGCGACCTCGCAGCTTCGCATCAGCGTTTCCCCTCATTCATCGAAGATTTCTAAACTGATATGTGCAGAATATTAGTGATCTCTGCAGACTAGCTGCCGAAACCCAACACATTCTGCTTAAGAGTGCAAGCACAGAACCACAACGTGTAAAATCGGTTTGTTCCAAGGCTCTGTGTTGAAACGAGTCGTTATTCATTACACACCCATTCTGACTGTATGAAAACAAGAGGCAGGACTTGGCAGGGAGAGGCTGGCTTCAGATGAGCTATGTGAGAGCAGCGTCCTCACAGCACAGCGTAGACCTTGGAGTTCCGACGCATGTCAGAGCTAAAGGTGCACCTTGAAGACAAAACTGCTGTGGCCTTGAGGGAAGACATGAAGAGGAAGATGCAGTGACCTTCAGGCCCTCTCCAGGTCACAGAATAATCTCCCTTGGCTTTGCCACAGGCTCAGAGCCGTGCACCCTGGGACTGCAGAATCTCTGAGCTTGAATGTACAGCTCAGGTGTGGCACCCAGACCGTCCAGCCATGCGGTCTTCAAGGCCACCCCACCTGTCTCAGCCTCCGGGTGGCTGCAGGGATCAGCTGTTGTGAGGCAGTGCGGTTGGGCTCCATGGTGCCAGCCTCCTGGGCGGCTGCTCTTGGCCCGTGTGCCTTGTGGCCAGCAGGGCTCAGTGAGACATCCTCAGCGAGCCTGCAACCATCCGCTCTGGAGGAATTCCAGGGCAAATGCAAATCCTCCATATCCCTGAGTCTCTGTTTCCTCGTTTGCCAAGTGGGATGATATTCCTGGCCTTACAGGGATGCCAGATTCTTCAGGGAGACGGTGCATGGAAGCATTAGACGGGCACCAAGCCCTCGGCACGCGGAGCCATGGGGCCGCAGGGGCTGGCCGAGCCCTTTTCTTTCCCAGTGTGTGTACGGTGCTCTTCTCTACCTCCTCTGTATCACAGAAATGCAAATCCTGGCTCCTCACTCTCACCCACACGACAAGGGGGGGCACGCACACAAGGCTCAGCATTCACCCTGCCCTGGTCCAGCCATGGCTGCAGCACAACCCGGTATGCTGAACCAGCGTGGCCCCTCACACCCTAACTCCACTTGGCAGGTAGCACCACTGCGGCCCCACAACTTTCCTGAGCCTCAGAGGCAGCCAGGGTGAGGGCCACCTGAACCACAGGGTGGGCCTCCAAGGCAACTTCACTAATCATGACCACCTGGTCTATGGAGCATCTATGAGCCAAACACGCTATTAAAATTATACATCTTATCAAACTCAGCAGAACAGGAATTACTATCTTCATTTTATAGATAAGAGAACAAAGGCTTGAAGAGCCGCAGTGGCTGGCCCCAAATCATAAAAGTGCTAGGTCAGTGGGAAAGTCAACATTTGAACCCAGGTCCACTTGAACTCAAAACTCTTGGCCTTTTCCTTCTGCCATTTGCTGTGCAAGCTCAGTCTGTAGGAAATGAATCTGAGTAGGCTGATTGAGGGCAGGCTGGCCAGTCGGCAGAGCACAGGGGTGAAAGCGTGGGGTCGTTCTAGACAGATGGTGGATAAATGATAGATGATAGATCAATAGATACATGACAGATAGATGACTGATGGATGGAATGGACAGATGACTGATGGATGGAATGGACAGATGACTGATGGATGGAATGGACAGATGACTGATGGATGGAATGGACAGATGACTGATGGATGGAATGGACAGATGACTGATGGATGGAATGGATAGATGACTGATGGATGGAATGGATAGATGACTGATGGATGGAATGGATAGATGACTGATGGATGGAATGGACAGATGACTGATGGATGGAATGGACAGATGACTGATGGATGGAATGGACAGATGACTGATGGATGGAATGGACAGATGACAGATGGATGGAATGGATAGATGACAGATGGATGGAATGGATAGATGACTGATGGATGGAATGGACAGATGACTGATGGATGGAATGGATAGATGACTGATGGATGGAATGGACAGATGACTGATGGATGGAATGGACAGATGACTGATGGATGGAATGGACAGATGACTGATGGATGGAATGGATAGATGACAGATGGATGGAATGGATAGATGACTGATGGATGGAATGGATAGATGACTGATGGATGGAATGGATAGATGACTGATGGATGGAATGGATAGATGACTGATGGATGGAATGGATAGATGACAGATGGATGGAATGGATAGATGACTGATGGATGGAATGGACAGATGACTGATGGATGGAATGGATAGATGACTGATGGATGGAATGGATAGATGACTGATGGATGGAATGGACAGATGACTGATGGATGGAATGGACAGATGACTGATGGATGGAATGGACAGATGACAGATGGATGGAATGGATAGATGACTGATGGATGGAATGGACAGATGACTGATGGATGGAATGGATAGATGACTGATGGATGGAATGGATAGATGACTGATGGATGGAATGGATAGATGACTGATGGATGGAATGGATAGATGACTGATGGATGGAATGGATAGATGACAAATGGATGGAATGGACAGATGACTGATGGATGGAATGGACAGATGACTGATGGATGGAATGGACAGATGACAAATGGATGGAATGGATAGATGACTGATGGATGGAATGGATAGATGACTGATGGATGGAATGGATAGATGACTGATGGATGGAATGGATAGATGACAAATGGATGGATAGATGATAGATGGATAAATGATAGATACATAGATAGATAGATAGATAGATAATAGGTAGATAGATGGTAGATAGTTTATAGATAATGGAGTGATAGGTAGATGATAGCTAGACAGGTAGATGATAGATAGATAGATTGATAGATGATACATGGATAAATGATGATAGATAGATAGATGATAGATAAATAGATGGATGGGCTGGGCGCGGTGGCTCACGCCTGTAATCCCAGCACTTTGGGAGGCCGAGGCGGGCGGATCATGAGGTCAGGAGATCGAGACCATCCCGGCTAACACGGTGAAACCCTGTCTCTACTAAAAATACAAAAAATTAGCCAGGCGTAGTGGCGGGCGCCTGTAGTCCCAGCTACTTGGGAGGCTGAGGCAGGAGAATGGCGTGAACCCGGGAGGTGGAGCTTGCAGTGAGCCGAGATCCCGCCACTGCACTCCAGACTGGGCGACAGAGCGAGACTCCGTCTCAAAAAAAAAAAAAAAAAAATAGATGGATGATAGGTAGATAGATGGTAGATAAATAGTTTAGATAATGGATTGATAGGTAGATGATAGCTAGACAGGTAGATAGATGATAGATTGATAGATCAATAGATGATAGATGGATAAATGATGATAGATAGATAGATGGATGATAGGTAGATAGATGGTAGATAAATAGTTTATAGATAATGGATTGATAGGTAGATGATAGCTAGACAGGTAGATAGATCATAGATAGATTGATAGATCGATAGATGATAGATGGATACTTGATAGTTAATAAATAGTCAATAGATGATAAATCGAAGGATAGATGATAGATAGACACCATTTTCACTTTTATTAATCTTAGTTTGTTTTCATCTTAAACATTCACGTGTACATCACTCCCCAGCCTCCTGGTACATGGCCCAAGCCTTCTCTGTAAAGTGGGTGATCGTAATGCCACAATTTGCACGAACCACAGTCAAAATGCGTTTCTTATGATTCTCATTTTTGGTTTCTCTTAAAGTGGACAAAGATTTTAAAAACACTTTCAAAGCAATAAAAAAGCAGAGTCCATTTATACTTGCATCATTTTTCAAACCTTTCCCTGCTGCCTTGCCAAACCTGATGGAACAGTAATTATTTTTAGCAACTTTTTTTTTAGTGTTTTCTAAACTTTCATCTAAGTTTTCATAGAAGTAAAAATTTCCCTTATTCCCTTACTCATATTTCATCAGTGTGGATGCTATTTAATTAAATTATGGAGTTACAGAACCATGCAAGATTGGAAGCAACCCCCGAGTCCTGTGAGTGCAGAAGGGCAAGACAGGGCAGGGGGCTGGCAGCTGCCAGTGGCAGGGAGCCACGGCAGGCTGAGGGTGAGTGTGGACCCCAATCAGCTGCCAAAGGAGGGTCTTGGATGGGTGGGCTCCGTGTAGCCTATGGCTTCCCAGCCGTCCCCCAGCACCTCCACGTTGACACATACCTCTTTACATTCCTTGGCTCACAGCCCCCAACCTACTGTGAGTTAAAACCAGCAGGGTGACTGGTGGTCAGAGGTCTGGGGGCACACATGATGGAAGTGTACAGGGCGTCAGGCTCCGGAGAAGAGGCCAGTCCCCTGCAGCCGGCACACACCCAGGGGAAGCTGCACAGTCATCTCGAAAACACCCCCTCATCTTCATCATCTCCACTTCAGGGAATAAGAAACCCTCATCAGCAATGTACAATACAGCATTTCTTCTTATCTTTTTTTTTTTTTTTTTTTTTTTTTGAGACAGCATCTTACTGTATCTCCCAGGCTGGAGTGTAGCAGCACCATCTCGGCTCACTGCAGCCTGGACCTCACAGGGCTCAGGTGATCCTCCCACGTCAACCTCCAGAGTAGCTGGGACCACCGGCATGCACCACCACACCTGGCTAATTTGGGGGCTTGGTGTTTTTTGTTTTTTGTTTTTTGTTTTTGTTTTTGGTAGAGAAGGTTTTCCGCCATGATGCCGGGCTGATCTCAAACTCCTGGGCTCGAGCAATCCCTCTTAACATTCCTTTAAAGATTCTTTTTAATTTTAAGATTCGCCCTTGAGGAAGCAGGATTCAATTCAATGGAAAATGTAACCTCAGTGGAGTATCTATCATGATCCCCAACAGTTTGGGCTCTATGAACTAGTGTCACAATGTTTCTTAGTTTGTCCTAGACACAGGCAGAAGGTATATCGATACTATGTGAAGTACAGGAAAATTAAGTGATTTTTCCAAGATTGAGTCAAGGAGCGTCAAGGTCTGTTCACTTCAAATCAAGCTCCTCATTCACTGTGACTCCATGTGAATGAAAATAAAGACGGGAATAAGATCCAAATCCAATCTCAAAATATGGCCTCTTGTACATCTTCTGGGATGAGGCAGTCATCCCCTTCTAGACCTCTTAATCAATGACACTGTCATTACAAACTTTAAAACTACTTCCAAATCCCAAAGAAACCATTGTTTGTTGACCTGATTAGGATTAACTTCATGCAACCAGCAATTGTACAAAGTAGCGGCATCATCTGAACCCCGCCAAGGAAGAGGCATTTTCTCTCTAACACAATAGCTTGATGCTTGCATTGTAGGTGATGAGAGCAAAACTAAGCTAGAACTGAGCCACGCATCCCTCTTTTATCTTCCCATGCATGACAGAGCGATGACTCTTCCACTGTGCTCCAACCAGTCACCTAAACAAAACTCTTTAAACCTCAAAAGTGCTCACCAGGAGGAAGTAAAATCCCTTCACCCCAGGATGGTAGAGGAGTTGAAGGGAACTAGGAAGGTGTGTTACATTCCTGCACCCATCCCCCTCCAACCCCCCCAGGTAGCCTCCCTCCCAGTGAGACGATTCCAGGTGCATTCACCTGGCCAGCTGTCTATCAAGTCTTTTCCAAACTAAGGTTCGTTTTGTTCTATTAGACTATAACCTCAATCCAGAGAAGAGAGAGCTTCCACCTGTGTTTTCTAAAACCATGTACATGTGCCATATGGTCTAAACTATGTCTGCTCGATAAAAAAACTGTTGCTGATTTGAGGGGTGACTGACGCCCATAACAAAAATGCATTTCCAAAAGCATGCATCATCGAGTTATCGTCTGGCCTTACACAAATAGGAGGTCCCCAGGAAACCAGACCAAATGTAGACAAAGGAATTCTTCAGTCAATTTAGTTTAATTATGAGAGTTGAAACCTACTATGGATTCTGCCCGGTTAATAAATGATCCTGGTTAATGAATGATGCTGGTTAAATTGTAGCTCTTTCACCGACCACTTTCTTTATTGCAAACTTCTCAAAAAATTGGCTAAGTGAACTTAATAGAGAACACGTGTATGAACTCAATTCATAAAAAGGGTCACTCACACACACGGGCAAACACACACGTGTGCACACACACTCATGCACACACCCACACATGTGCACACTCACACGTGCACACACACAGACATGCACATTCACACATACACACACAAGCACGAGCATGCACACATAGACCCACGCACTCATACACATGTGCACACACACACAAACATGCACACATTCACACATACACAAGCACAAGCATGCACAGACACACGCACTCATACACACGTGCACAAAGCACGAGCATGCACACATAGACACACGCACACATATACACGTGCACACACATACAAATGGGGAAGCAGAGGGTCATCAGTTAGGGTGGGTGGGTTCAAAAAGTTTTTTTCTGCAGAAAAATGTAAATTTAACCACTCACTCATTCATGGATTTTAACGGTTCTCAGCACATCAGACACTCCGCAGAGATTCTAATGACTCCCAGCTCTGCATCCTCAGCCTTGACCTCGCCCCACTCATCTCTTGCCTGAGGAACAGCCCTCGATGCCTTCAGGCTCCACATCCCAAGAATTCCACGTCGTGTCCACTCCCCATCATGCCACAGCCCCCCAGCAGCCACAGAGGTCTCTCTGTCCCCGAGGCCGTCCCGTCCATCGCCCCTCCCTGTCTGATGGAGGATTCCCTGCTCCCTGCGTCCTCAGCACAGAAACATGTATGAGCTCTGCCATCATAAAACAACTGGAAACCATAAAGTGGGGGAGGCTGAGCCAGAATCTTTCTGCCCCCTCGTGTCCCTTAACCACAAGCCTCCAACCCTAGAGCCCTCCCAGTCCTATTCCTCTACCCACAGTTCTCAGGACTCTGTCTCCAGGGAAGTCTCACCATCCTCATCTTCCCAACCTCCCAGAGTAGACGCTGAGGGTCTCACCATCTCTCCACTCACCCTCAAGCCAGAAATCCCTTGAATTTAAGCCTCAGCCCAGTTGAATCCTTGCTGTCTCCCTCAGTGACATCATTCATTCCAGCAGCCTCAGTACCACCCGATGGCTGACTGCATTCACATCCATCTTTGCAGCAGCCTCCAACACCGCACCTTCATGCCCCCCAGGCACAGGAATCGTAAGGCATCCCTAACAGACATCATAGTTGCCTGTAAATCTCTTGGAAGGAGTTGCCCAAGCTAAATATTTGAAGACATTTTGATAATTCCCTGTCCCTGATGCCCTTCCCCAAATCATCTGACGATAGTGCCCTGCCAGTTCTGACTCCGCTCTCATTTTACCTCTCCCTCCATCACCCGCAGCTCCTGCCACCTCCCATCATGTTATCGGGAATCCTCTGACTCAATGCCATGCACCATGTCAATCTAACCTGTCCATAGACACAAAAAGTCAGGCACAAGTCTGATCAGACCACTCCTTCATACTCTCCACTGCCCTTGGGTTGAGCTCCAAGCCCTTCCACGTGGTGCAGGTCTGGCATTGTGACCTCCCAGGCTCATCTGGGACACCCCCTGCCTTGAACTTAGCATCTCATCCAAAGCAAACACGGCGGCCACCTGTGGGCTGTGGGCACCCCCTTTCACTCCCAGCCTCCCCACTCAGCCCGTGCCTTTTGTGGTCTTCAGGGCTCATCCAGGAGAGTACCTCTTCCAGGAAACACCATCCAGTCTCCCTTTCCATCCTGGTGGAGCTGAGAACTCCACCCACACCCACACCTGTCACTGTCTTGCCAGTGACACAAAACTGCTGTTACAGACATTTGCACCTACCTGTCTCTAGACTTTGAACTCTTTAGGGATAAAAACCATGTTTTCTTTGTCATTCTTGCCCACGGCTGCATGCCTGATGCATAGTAGTTGTTGATGAATGTTTCCGGAATAAACAGATGAGGAAAGAATGAATGAATGAATGGGCTCGTAGAGTTCCAGGATGTGGAAAGGTGGCTACCTGCAGCCACTTTTTTTGACTGGCGAAACATCTTCACAAGACTCCATATTCTGTGGGTTTCTCATGCAGGGTCAGGTCACTTTAGCAAAGGGGTTTCTGCATGGCAGGGTCACCCGTCAGCAGAGGGAAGGTGCTTGACAGATGGCAAGTAGTGAAGGACCCCACAGACGAAGCTCCCGAACAAAGCAAGTTCGGGAGTGAGACAAACCGGGGCCCTTCAGTGCAAGGGCAGCAGGGGAAAGCCCGCAACTCTCAAAGGGTTTGTGCCACGGATGGCCTTGGGGTGATCAGTGCCCAGGTCCTCAGCTTCCACTCTGCTCCTGCCTCACGCCAGTTGGCTTGAGAACGTGCCTGTGACGGTGAACCCCCCGCCTACCCTCCCCTCCGAGTCTCGCACACACTGGCGCTGGGTGACAGCCGACTTCAGGAAGCAGCGGGAGAATGGCAACAGTGCCATCAGATCCACAAACCTGTGAGCCACGGGGGCTCATGACAGCGAGCTTTTACAAGACAAATGCATCCAACAAGGTGGAGGGAGCACCTACCTGAGTCCTGGGCTGATCCATCATCAGAAATCCTTTTGGTGATAGACCATCGTGTGATCATTGGCGTGTAACTCATGGCGTGTAACTCAGAAGGAGATCAAAGCATTGAGTGCTGTTTGTACAATGAAGTTCCTTCCATTTCTATTCACTTATATTTCTCAGTATTTGCATCTATAAACACAGAAAACAGGAGTAGGTTTGCAGATAAAACACTATCCCATTCTAGCAATGAGGAATATTTATCCACAAATATATAACTAAGTAGGAGGGAAAAGCTGTATCCATCCCATTAATAAACATTCTTCTGATCATGTTTAATAATTATTAAGATTATTAATAATTATTGATCAAATTTTTTAATCTCTTTATTTTTGATTAACTATGCACTAATGATAATTATATTAATACCAGAAAAAAATTAGAGCCTTAAGGACATAAAACTTTTACGATTATTTTAATTTTAGCTACATGCATATTTTTCTGGCAGAGAAGTGTAAGATAATGGACAACAAACTTCAAACATAATATCTACATAGCACTGGGGTACGTTTCTATTGGGGAGAGAAACAGAAATACATGTTTAAAAGGAAAAAACAATATTAACCTTCCAGCTGTCGAGAGGCGCCTGAGTATGTATTTTTCAGTGGACAATAGCTAGCATGTATCAAATTACTATAGTATTTAGATTCCATATGATAGATTTTAAAGGTATTGTAGAAGTTTAACTTTAAAAGATCAATATGTATCTCAATATAATGGGAATTATATCTTTGCAAGTATTTAAACACAGTGGAAAAAACTTAGATGTCGCAGGGCATGTCAGGGCTTCTGGGCTGGGGCAGAGTGGAGGCCAAAGGCAGCAAGAAAGGGGTCAGAGAGGCCTTGGGCACGAGCCTTGGATGCCACGGTGAAGGTTAAGCACCTGCCCCTGCAGGATGGCGGCCTAATGTGGGCAGGGGCAAGGGTGAGAGGGAAGCATGAGTAGTCAACGACCCAGGGCAGGACGCAGATGAAACCATCACTTACTGTCCTCCCTGTGGCCGCCCTTCAGAATCCTCACACGGATGAACTCTTGCAACCTTCACCGTGGTGCTATAAGATAGGAACGACTATCTGTGAACCACCTCTGACAGCTGGCCGGTCGAGGCACTAGCCCAGAGCCGCACAGCTGGTAAGAGTCGGTGCCGTGGCAGTCACAGCTGCCACGCTCAGGTGTGCAGCGCTCCGCCCCCTGCCCCTGGGCAGCCTTAGTCCAGTGCCACAGGTGTCTGTTGTCCAAACATCGTGCCTACCTGGGGACAGGACCTGTAAAACATATCTGGACAAAGCATGAGAGCCAAACCAAACATCTGCAAGCCAGCATTTTGGCCTCACCCTCCGTCAGAGCTCAGGGCCCAAAAGGGTCACTTAGGTGAAAAGGGTTGGGTGGGTGACGAGGTGGAGCGAGGGATCAGGGGTCCATCCGGACCCTAATTCAGCATCCGAGTGGATGGAAGTTCAACTCACCGAGCCGGGGTATTAGGATAAAGACTAAGCTTCTAGAACAAAGAGGCCCCCAAGCGGAGAAGCTCCCAGAGGCTAGCGGTTCACGCCATCCGCAAGCAACAGGCGAGACTGCAGGTGGGCCGGGCCCGCTCTCCACCTTGTGGTTTTGGTCCCAGGTCCTGTCCTCGTCTTCGTGGTTGAAGCTGTTGCAGATGCCTCCTTTCCACCCTGGGGAGGGGGTGAAAATCCGGGGCCCTGGACGCCGTTTGCTCCAAGGAGGGAGAATTTTCACGTGGCCTTTTCATGCCCCTCACTGGTGGAAACTGATCCCCACAGCTGCACCTGAGCCACAGCGCGGGGCTTTGCTCCTGGCTCGATGCTCATGTTCTGAGGAAGGACAGGAACCCACAGGGACACGGGCGTCGGCCCAGGAAATCCGGGAGGAGGAGCAGGTTTCCTGGAATTGGAAGCAGCCGGTGAGGAAGATGCTGGAGACGCCCTGAGACGGCGGCTGAGACACCGAGCTGAGGCCGAGGGCACCGGCTCGGACCGCCTGGGCCATCCCCACAGGGTTAGCAAAGACGCAAGAGGGCGTGAAGCCACGCGGTCGCACACCTGGTACCGCGCACAGTGAGAAAGGAGGGCAAGTGCGCTGAGACCCAGGAGGGAGGGCAGCCCTCCCCTGCGCTGCTGAGGCTCGTTTCTTTCAATGTGTCCCTGGCTCTGTGCTGTATCGTGCGTTTCAGTGTGCATGAAATATCTTGTGCAATCATTTACGTGAAATTAGAGCTAGTAGGAAAATGTATCGTCAGGCGTGGAAGAGCGCACTGCACCTTCTTTTTACTTGCGCGCACCTGAGGATTGTCTAAAATCCAGGCCTCACGGGACTCCCAGAGCCCGTGCTCGTCACAGCTGCTGGCTACAGAAACACAGCCTGCAAAGTCGGCCTCACCGCCAGCCAGACGAGCCCAGCCAGTTTCCACGAGCAGGGGAGGGCACACCCGGAGGCCACCGTGGAAAGCAGCCTGGCTGCCCTCGGGAAGCCACACGCGGAGCCGCCGCGGCCCAGCACTCCCACCCCTCGATGTGTGCCCAGGTCGAAGGAAGGCTTGCCACCCGAAGGCCTGCACGGGAAAGCTCACAGCAGCGTTCTCCAAACAGCCAAAACGCGGAAGCAACCCCGATGTGCGTGGGCTGGTGAATGCAGGCCCAGCGCGGAGTGCGCACAGCCCGGAACGGCATTCAGCCAAGAAAAGACCCACAGCCGGGAACAGCATATTCAGCCAAGAAAAGAAAGGGCGGCCTGGGGCGCTCTGCACCGCGGGTGAGCCGTGAGAACACGGCGCTCCGGGAGAGAAGCCAGCACGAGACGCTGCCTCGGGCGCGACTCCATTTACTTGAAGTCCAGAGCCCGTAAATCCGCGAGACAGACATGGAGGAGCGGCTTACCAGGTCTGGAAGCAGGGAGGGGAGTGAGGGACTGCTGAGGGGTGCGGGTTTCATGTGGGGCCATGAGAAGGTTCTAGAATTAGATGGTGGCGATGGTTGCTCCACGCTGCCATGGGGGCAGCTGAGGGAAAGGAGGTGGGATCGGGGCTCGGCCAGCTCTCGCCCTCTCTCGTGTTTTTCCACGGTCCTTCAGGAATGGGAGCACGGGCAGGGGAGGGCAGGACTCTGGCCCTCAAAGGTGGGAGCAGGGTGCAGACACCCAATTCCGAGGGTCTGCAGACATGAAAGGGCAGCGGGCAGCTTTCATCTGGGCCATCTCCAAAAGCAAAAATGAGATCTCATTAACACAATGAAAGCAACACCCTGAGAGCATCTAGCTTCACTAAAACCGGAAATTGCCAGGCACGGTGGCTCACACCTATAATCCCAGCCCTTTGGTAGCCTGAGGGGAGCGGATCACTTGAGGTCAGAAGTTCAAACCTGCCTGGCCAACATGATGAAACCCCTTCTCTACTAAAAATACAAAACTTTGTCAGGTGTGATGGCTCACGCCTATAGTCCCAGCTACTCAGGAGGCTGAGACAAGAAAATCATTTGAACCTGCGAGGCAGAGGTTACAGTGAGCCAAGAAATGTGCCACTGCACTCCAGCCCGGGCAAAAGAGCGAGACTCCATCACAAAAAAAAAAAAAAAAAAAAAGAGAGAGAGAAAGAAGAAAAAAGAGAAAGAAAGATTTCTAGCTGTCAAACACACAAAAGGTGTTTCTGCCACAAGAATTTGTTAAAAGCTTCACATTCTCCTCTTCATACCCCTGTAGGAGCAAAACTATCCAAAAACACAGAAGTGACATCATGATATGCCACCTTATTTCTTGCGCCTGTCTGCAGAGGCCTGGGGTGACTCAAATCCGCCGCTGCTGTGTGATCTGGGACACTTCAGGATGTGGGCACCGTGGGGAACCAGCTTGGTGCCCATCTTGGAGGTGTCATTCTGAGAACCTGGAAGCAGCTCTTGCCCAAGTCACACTCAAGAGCCACGGCTTTGTTAGGCATTGCCACATTTTCCAGTGAGTTCCATGCTCAGGTATGAAGCCGGGTGAGCAGGGGCTCTGAGGCCACTGGTTTCCAAGACAGGCGGAGATTGCACAGCAAATGCTCAGAGCCTGTCGGCCCCTGGGGGGGGACGTTGGCCCTGGAAACCAATGATACGCCACACTGGGCCAGGAACTTGTCCACATCACAGCTCTTGCTACTGTGTGTTTCCGCTGGAGCTCTCCGTGGCTTCCTGCTGTGTTGATCATGCCTCTTAATAAAGGCAGGGGGTTGGAAATGACGCCAGAGCTGGGCAAATTTAGTCCAGCAGAAGGTGCTCAGTTTTGCTACTGGTTAAGTCGTAGAAAGGAAGAGGGCAAAACTCAGATAAATCATCTCTGAAGATGCTCCTGAGAAAATCCATGCTTTGTTTAGATTGTTCCTGCTTTGTACAGCCCGGGATAAGCCTGTCATGATTACCAGAAAGCAGAGATGTGGGCCACGGAAGCATGGGTGAATGCCGATGATGAATACAGCTGGAGAGAGTGGGACGTGGTCTGTCCACCCCTCATTAGGTGAGCAAGCGCAGAAAACGCATTTTCATCCCCCAGGCTTCTGTATACTCTCGTGTGGAATAAAAACTCTATTGCTCCGGTCTGCATGTTGCTGACGCCCCAGAATCCCGATGTGACAGCCTCGTACCTGAAGTGACAGTGTTCAGGGTGGGGGCTTTGAGGAGTGATTAAATCATGAGGGCTGCACCAACGTGAATGGGATTTGTGCCCTTATAAAACAGGCTGGAGCATGTTCCTGTGCCCCCTTTGGCCACGTGAGGACACCTTGAAAGGCCACTCACGAGGAACAGTCCAGGCACTGAATCCACTGGCGCCTCCAGAACTGTGAGCAGTAACATTCCATTGTTTATAAATTACTCAGTCTCCAGTACTTGGTTCCTGCAGCTAGAACAGGCTAAGGCCTCTGTCCGTGTTCCAGGGAAGCCTCCACAGGGCAGTCACTGCTGAGGATACTCCGAGCAAAAGGTTCCGTGATCCAGCACGGTGATGCGCGCCCACTGTGCGACTTCCAGAGATCACCGTGGCATTCGTAAACCAGGAACCTCGTGGATCTTTAGCCGTATTAAACGTTTCCTAAACCTACATGTGTATTGGCCATCCATAAATCTTTGGAGGAACGTCTATGTAAATCCTTTGCCCATGTGTAAAGTTGGGTTATTTGGTTTTTATTACTGAGTTGTGAGAGTCCTTTTGTAATATTTTTCTTACTGAGTTGTGAGAGTCCTTTACATATTCTGAATTTAGGTGCCTATGATTTGCAAATACTCTTTCCATTCTTTGAGTTGTCTTTTCACTCTCTTGATGGTATTGTTTCAGCACAAAATCTCTCATTTTGATGAAGTCTAATTTATCTATTTTTTCCTTTTGTTGCTTGTGTTTTCCATGTGCTAAGAAACCATTGACTAACTCAAGGTCATAACTCGTATTTGCTCCTGTGTTTTCTTCTAAGAGTTTCAGAGTTTTGGTCTCACACGTAGGTCTGTGATCCATTGTAAGTTAATGTGTGTGTATGTGTGAGGTAGGAGTCTGAGATCATTCTCTTCATGTGGATATTCAGTTGTCCCAGCAGAATTTGTAGAAATGGTCAATTGAGTTTTCTTGGCATTCTTGTCAAAAATCAATTGACCATGTATACAAGGGTTTACCGGGGGCTCTAAATTTTATCCCATTGGTCCAAGTCTTCCTTACACCAGAGCCATGCTGCCATGACGACTGTACTTCCTAGAACATTTTGAAATCAGGAAGAGCGACCCTTCAATTTTGTTCTTCTTTTTCAAGCTGATTTTGGCTCTTCTAAGTCTCTTTCTTTTCCATGTGAATTTGAGCATTGACGTGTGAATATCTCTAAAGAAGCACAGGGATTTTGATTTCCTGGAATTCTTGGTCTTCTTTAACTCGACACCAGTTATCGGCAGGCAGGTGCTGAGAATGCGCAGAGCAGTGGGGTAGAAAGACCATGATAGAGAGGAGGGGAGTGGAGTGGAGACGTTGGGGTGGGGGGGGACCAAGGTCAGTTACATGATGGTCACCGTCACTTTAGCAAATAGTGGCAATGGGGGATTTTGTTGTTTCTAAAACTCCTTTGTTTATCCTATAACCCCTTCATCCTTTAAACTAGACCTCAGCCCCCATACCTCAGAAAAAGGAGGCCGCAGGATAAATGGAAAAAGAATCAAAAATGACTCAGCAGCCAGGTGTCATGGCTCACGCCTGTAATCCCAGCGCTTAGCGGGGCCAAGGCAGGCGGATCACTTGAGGCCCAGAGTTGGAGACCAGTCTGGGCAACGTGGCAAAACCACTTCTCTACAAAAGGCATTAAAATTAGCCAGGCGTGGTGGTGTGCACCTGTGGTCCCATCTACTCAGGAGGCTGAGGCGGGAGGGTGGCTTGAGCCCGGGAAGCGGAACGTGTAATGATCCAAGATCGTGCCCCTGCATTCCACCCTGGGCGACAGAGCGAGACTCTGTCAAAAAAAAAAAAAAAAAAAAAGACTCAGGAATAAAAAGGAGCAAGCAGTGACATGTGTGACCACGAAGGTGACTCCCTAAAGCATGTAGCACAAAAGCCAAACACAAAGAAGGCCGCACACGTGATTCCACACATACATGATATGTACGTACAGGTGATGCCGGCTGACAACAACAGGAGGGAGACATGGGGAAGGAAGGTTACATGTCAACCTGACAGACACAATGAAAGAATACAAACGATACACAGATTTCTGCTTTATTTTGTATAGCCGTGAGCTAAAGCCTTAACATAATAACCTAACTCATTGTTATTAATTCCATTTCTGTTTCTTAAAAATGTTCACAAGGAGAATCACTGTTCATAGAATCCCTGTTCAAAAGAGCAGAACCATGCTGCTTAGATGATGCCAGAAACCGTCTCCTGTGGTCACGGATGTCCAGGGAAGCAGAAGCTGGGAAGAAAAATCTCTCATTCCAATAGAATAGAATAGTCAACTGGGAATTCCAATAGAACAGAACAGTCAACTGAGATCTCTAAAAGAAAGGTGTGTGAGACACACAGACTGCGAATCTTAGCAAGGAGTGTGCCACAGAGGAGTCAGGGCTCCTAAAAATAATACCAGCCTAAATAATGTCTTCACATGACACAGATAGGTATAGAGACAGAGGCAGAGAGAGACGTGGAGGTGATATAGATACGGGTATGGATTATTGATTTGGATATAGACTGGATATAGGCACACAGACATGAATGTGTCTAACGGAACTGTTCAGCCTTGTGTTTGCTAAATCTTTGTATGCTACAAAATATTTTCCTTCCTTTTGATCTGATTCATACATGAATATCAAACTAGTACGCCCCCATGTCACAAAACTCTCAAAGAATGATCTAATGCGATTAAAAGGAGCAAGGAGGGAGCCGCTGGGACGTCGCACCTGCCGCCCCGTGAGTTATTGGCCTCTTAAATGTCTACAGCCCACCCCGTCATCGAGCCCCTGTATTTACCCTTAAGGCACTTCACAGCTGCTGAATGGCTGTCTATGGCAGTTTGGTGGAAACAATAATAATACATTATAAATCAATGAAAATGAAGTTTTGCTGTGATAATCGGATATAGATTTGCCAACATTTGTATGAAATTCAATTCTGTTTGATTGCATCAGCATATGCTGTGTGGCACTGCTAGCACTATTGATTTGAAGGTTCTTATCCATATGTCTAAATTATTTCTATTACATCTTTGCATTACTGTTTAGAAATAACCTGGGTAAACCGAAGCCATTTATTCCATTTTCAGTGGTATTTTCTTCTGATTCTAGTTAAATGCTCAGGTCTGTATTTTGAATGGAAAGAAATGCCTTTTTTTTCAGTCCTCCTTTCTTTAACAACAGCTAATGCTAAGCTATAATGGTAATGTGCCTATTTCCATGTTTAACATTCATTGTTGTCATTATTGTTATTATTTTCATTGTTATCTTTTTCTGAGAGCATCTGACTGTTATGATGGGTCAGATTTTCAAATAGCACTTTAAATGATTCCAGACGCTACAGCTACACATTAATCTTCTTTTAAAAAAAATACGGTTGTGCGTCTTACTGAGGACAATTAATCAGTGAAAATACTGAATTTCCGACACAGAGTCGAAAAGAAAAGGAAACCAAAGGGGCAACCTCTTGTATCTGTCTAGTGCTTTATAGTTTCGAAAACTCTTTGGCTACCTTTAGCTCATCTGACATAACATCCTTTAGGATAGATGGACCAGGCTTGGTTACCCCCATTTTGAAGTGGGGAGGAAGGCCCATTAGTGTGAGGATTTGGGCTACAGCTCAGGTCTACAGATTTCTGCCCAGGAAAATCCCCACCTCGGCTCGCAGACCCAGTTTTCCTTCACTCCGAATCTTCAGTTAATATTACCTTATGGGGCGGGAACGAGAAGTTAATATATTCACTTAATGAGGCTTTTCTGCTTTAAAATGAAATTGATTTCTAAATAAGCGCACCCAGAAGTTAGCCTACCATATGGCTTTAAAATATTTCAGAGTCTTCGGTTTTTTTAAGGTTGCATGATGATTCCTCGCCCAATAGTGACATTTTCCCTCAAACTGCACCTGCCGTCTTTTATAATGGAACTTATGTATTGTAAATAAAGCAACTATTTCAACTTCAACAATAGCCCTTTACAATGAGAATAAATCACAGTGCTGTAATCAGCACACCCAAGCCCACCACAACTCCAAAAGTAGAAGAAACATTCTCTCCCTTTAGAGATTATTTCAGCAATCCCTGCACATACTTTAAATTTGTATTTACACATGAGACAAAATCACTACTGTGAATCACAAATCACCTTAGAAGATGACTTTGTATCTCCGCTGAGTAGATTCTACCTGCAAATGGGAATAGGTAGCACACAGTCATTTTTAACAACACACAATACAAAAAGTTAATTTGCTTTTACTTTCTACTGCATTAGTGCTTTCCTTTTCGCACCATGACCCTTTATTTTTAAGTAAGTACTCTTAGGTGGGGGAAAAAGCAACCACAGATACAGCTGCTAAGTCGACACGTGCCTCTGCGCCTCCACAGGGCAGTGTGAGTCCCGGAGCCCAAGCGAGACAAATGCAGCCAGGGCAGAACAATGGCCGGACCCCAGCATCTGAGCAGCTCGGCAGAAATGGCCCAGGACAGATGGCTGTCTCCTCCAGTCTTACACACCTCCAGGGACAGGGAGCCTCGGAGCTCCTAGCAACGTGCTATGAGGTTAAATAAACCGTTTCACCTGGGCTTCCTGGAGCTCTAGAACTTAGTAGAAAGTGTTCAGGAGGCCCTGAGATATCGACGCACATAACACGCCTCTGAGTCCACCCCTCCCTTGCCTGTCATGACTGTGATTGCCAATAGAATTGGGGTTGGGGGTGACGGGCCTTAATTTCATTTGATGACAAGGCATTAATTTCTTTGCAAAATAAATAGCTTTGGCAAGCCACATTTTTAAAAGTCGTGCGTTAACTTTATTTAACTGAAATTTAACCCCAATCAAATCGGGCCGCAGTGCACACACAGGCACCTTCTGTGAGTGATCACCAGGGATTACTTGAGCAACAACAGGTCCCTTTAATTGATTTTAACAAATGGAGCTTTCAGATTAAAGATATGCTGCTTAAAAAGCAAGAGCTCCAAATTCCACATCAGATTTTTAGTCTCAGGTGTTCGTTTATAACATGATTAACAGCTATCTTTATTTCATAGTCCAATGTTGACCCTGAAGATTTTAATGTAAGTCCCATTTAAAGTCTAATTTATACCACTTCGGATTCAGCTTCATACTTTACCAAAACCCTTGTTAAAGAGAACTTTACGTCGTGGTTTTACAAATCATTTTCACACTGAACTCCACTCACACGATACAGAGTTACCAGCCAGCTGTTCCAATAGACTATCACCAACATGTTAGAGATGACACTAGTGTGGCCAATGCAAGCGTGTGTGAACGAGCCGGCTCTGTGCACGGCACATTTCATATCACTGCTTTCCTCTTTTTACAAAATTAAAGACGAAGTACAGAAACAGAACTTTCATATCATAAAAGCCAGAACTCATGGAGCTGGAAAATAAACACATCCCAAATATTGGGCTCCCGAATTGCCCTTCATTTTTTTGTACACGTAGCTATCCAGACAAGGTCCCCTGTTGACAACCTGTACATTTCCTGCTCCGAAATGAAACGGAGGGCTTGTGTCACATACATCTGTGAGCAGAATCTCCCAGGAACGGCATTCGAGATGAAACACGCATGGGTCTTCTGAAGAAAGACCTAATAGCTACGGGAAACTGGCTTTTTATAGGGATTTGAATACCTTGCAATTAAAATTGCTTAAAGTAAGAGAGTTGTGTGTGCGTGATTTTAAAAATGTCATCTCTCACCTATTCTGGAAGTTTCTGGTTTTGCTGTGCGGCCCACTGCTCTTGAACATCCCGGGACCTTTGTCACTCTCCTGTGACAACCAAAATGTGGCTGAGCTGAGCCATTACCGCATCACTGTTTCTTTTTCCAAAATCCCTCCAGGCCCAGGGTCCCATCGCGTGCAGTCCCTGCTGTGCTACACACTCACCTTGGATCGACGTCTTTGAAGCCTCCGGGGGCTGCATGTGTAGCGGAACAGGCGATGCTGAAGTCTTCCTCAGTGACTTCTCTGAAAAGCGAGCGTTCCACGTTGCCCGGCACCCACGACTCTGAGACTGTTTTCTTAAGGATCATCTAAGTGCAATCTAGTGATGGCGCCCACGCCTCGACGTGCTCACCCACCCGCATGTTTACTCCTGGACGTCCAGGGGAGGAGCTGAGAGTGGAACGTCCATCGCCCGTGGGGCCATCCGGGGATCTCGGCTTTGGAACGTGCTCATCCACCTGCATGTTTACTCCTGAAAGTCCAGGGAAGCTGAGAGTGGAGCATCCATCGCCCATGGGGCCACCCAGGGGTCTTGGCTTTGGAACGTGCTTCTGGAAGCCAGTGGCGGTGTCCCCACGCAGAGCCACTGACCGGACGTGAGCCTCAGGGTGCTATCTGTCTGGGGCCTGGCAGCATGGTGTGGCCACAGGACCCACGGTGACAGGAGGCGATGGCAGGGAGCGAGCGCACCATCTCCTTAAGCAAATCAAGTCAGCAGGGCTGTGGAGAGCAGGGTGGCGAGAATCCGAGCGCCGAACTCCTGGGATTCTGTTTCTCACTCTGCTTGTCTCCATTTCCACCACAACGTAAGAGAAACCATATTATTAAAATGACCCACATTAGCCTCTATGTTTTGTCAAATTTCATCACACTCCCTCAGAAGGCTGGAAGTGGAAAGGGGCGTTGGAATCGCAGCAGCGTCAGGCGTGTGGGCTGAGACAGGTTCAGCCTCACAGGCCCTGACCAGGGTGAGGACAGCAGGTGCCACTGAGGCAGCCACATCTGGGACGGCACCAAATGCCGCCTCCTCAGGCACTCTGCCACCGCTGTTGTGTTGTGCTGTGTTGTGGCTTCCTGGGGGTGAGGAGGTGGAGGTTCTTTTGTTCGTTTAAGGAAGAAAATGATAAAGTGAAGCTTTGGTTCTCCTCCCTGTAGACTTTGCAGCCAGACTCTTCGATGAAAAACTGTCCTGGCAGTTTGCAGCGACTTTAACGGAACATGCTGATGGGGCTACCTACACCTTGGACACTTTTCCCTCAGCCCGGCCTGTTTTCCTGTTTCTCACATGCGCTTTCTCACTTTCCAGCAGCCTCTTTCTCCTTTTTCAATCTCTCCTGTCTGGCCTTCCATTGTTATTCAGCCTGCTCATTGCTGCGGGCAGCCCGGACGTACTGGCCATCATCTGAAACCACAAACGACAGCGCGCAATAAGCTGGAGAAAGCAGCAATCTAGGAAAGTTCTTCATTCACTCTTGTTCCTAACTCTCTGTCTTCTTATCCTACACAGAAAATAAAAAAATCAATACCGCCTCACAAGGCTTGATAAAAGTGCCGGCTGAGTACAGCAGGCATGCTGGATATAGTAAATTAAAGTGATCAAAACTTTCCAGTCGACTCTGCCTATAGCCCACATAAACTAACAGCCCTGTCTGTCGGATGCCCATCAGCTGGAAGCTTTATTTTATCGGTGCCTCTGATTATCTGGGGAACGAATACATAGGCCTGCTTGGGTCCAGGAGTCCCTGTGTCCGTGTGTGAACATGGGTGGCCCTGGGAGAAATTCCACGGCGAGCCGAGAACAGAGCCAGCAGTCTCCCAGGGGTGCATGTGGGTAGACGGGTGGGTGCCAACATGAGGACTTGCAGGCTTTGGCTCAGACATGGGGAGGGAGAAGCACCGGGCGGGAGACTGGGGGCTGGCCAGACTGTGCCCAGCCCTGCCCTGTGAGCCAGTGACCTTGGGTGAGTGACTTGGCCTCAGGAAGCTGAGTGGTTTTGTCTGCACAACAGCTGCAGTGATGGTGACAACAAAGGGACAGTATCACAAACCTCAGGTGGAGGTGTGAGAATCGTGAAGCAATGTCTACAAAACCCCTTCAGTGTGGTGAGTGCTCGCACAATGTGTGAGCAGGTGCGCACACACATACACACACACACACGCACCATAAGAAACTGAAATCTGGTATGCTTTTCATCTCCGTAAGAGACAATTTTCCATCTAGGTAAACAAATCAGCATTCAGCGTGCATATTCCTAACAGACCAAATTATGAATAAATGTCATTTCAATAGCAGCTTTTTCTATACCATTTACCAACATAGAAATAAACATTTCATTTAGCTTTAGAGTGCAATTCGAATTAACTTGACTAAAATCCACTGGGCTGCCTTCAGTGAGAGATGGAATATCTCTGCCATCTACAATGACAGCCGAGAAATCACTGGCATCACTACCATTAGCCCAATTCTCCCATCAAAACCCGTGACCCTAGCTAAGTAACTGACATTTGTCCAATGCTGGAAATGAACTAATAGTTTCCATCGACCATCAGAGAAATGAAAAAGGAACCAGAGCAAATCAGCACGCCCTGGCCAGGGCAGAGAAATCAGGGATGGCCGCCAGGCAGCGCGGGAGCACAGGTGCAGCTAACGGCCAAATTCCACCCGTGAGCACACACGCACGCTTCCAGGTCCACACCATGGGCCCAGACTGCCTCGGAGATCAAAGAATAAACTCAGGTATCTACGTTAGCTGCCTGGCCTTAGTGGGGCTCACACTCCGCCAAGAGTTTCCAGCTGCAAGGATGACCAGGCCCAGCCTGGGACCTGAGTGTCTGTGGAGGCAGAAGCAGGGCTGCTTTGCTGGCACAGGCCGAGAGCCGGGGAGGTGGGCAGGGAGGGGGCACAGCCCAGGAAGGCTGAGGGCCAGGGAGGTGGGCGGGGCGGGGGCACAGCCCAGGAAGGCTGAGGGCCAGGGAGGTGGGCAGGGCAGGGGCACAGCCCAGGAAGGCTGAGGGCCAGGGATGTGGGTAGGGCAGGAGCACCGACCAGGAAGACGTCGGGCCAGGGATGTGGGCAGGGCGGTAGCACAGTCCAGGAAGGCCGCACGGAAGAGGAGACAGGTAGGGCGGGGCCAGAGCTCAGGAAGGCCACGAACCGGGAGACGGGCAGGGCAGGGCTGGAGCCCAGGCTCATACCTGGCTCGGCCTCTCTCAGTGCAGACCATCTCCAAACCTCGGTTTTCTCATGCATAAAATTGGGTTATGAAAGCTACATTTCAGTATGATTGAGAAGATTAAAGGGAATATATGCAGAACATATAATGTGATACCTGGGTTCAATAAATGGTAGCAAGTCTTACTGCAAAATCTGAAATGACCCACTAAAACCTGACCTAACCTTTTCCCCCACAGACAGGTGCTGACGAAAGACAGGAGATGAGCTGGGAAGGTGGACAGTCACATGCAAAAGAAAAGAGGCAGAGAGGATGAATATTCCAAACTCCCTTCTCTCAAGGGATGTGCATTTGCCCCAATTCAAACCAACCTGTGGAGAGATGGGGCTGGTGGTTGCCCAGGGACCAGACCACTCGGCTTGATCTCAGCTGTGAAGGGATGGGGCTGGTGGTTGCCCAGGGACCAGACCACTTGGCTTGATCTCAGCTGTGAAGAGATGGGGCTGGTGGTTGCCCAGGGGCCAGACCACTGAGCTTGATCTCAGGTCTGTCACCATGGGTAATAGCTGACCTTTAACAAACAAACATCTTACAAAAATTTCCAAACATGCATAAAGATGGATGGATCAATACAGCGAAGCCGGAGCGCCCGTCACCACCCGGCTTCTGCTGCTGTCGACACACGGGCGATTCAGCTCATGCTCCCCAATTCTCCACCCGCTCTGTGTTTTTTGCTTGTTCGGTTGGTTGATTGGTTGGTTGGGGTTTTTTGGGTTTTTTTTTTTTTTTGAGATGGAGTCTTGCTCTGTTGCCAGGCTGGAGTGTAATGGCGCAATCTCGGCTCACTGCAACCTCCACCTCCCGGGTTCAAGCGATTCTCCTTCCTCAGCCTCCCAAGTAGCTGGGAATACAGGCATGCACCACCATGCCCAGCTAATTTTTGTATTTTTAGTAGAGATGGGGTTTCACCACATTGGCCAGGATGGTCTGGATCTCTTGACCTTGTGATCCGCCCACCTCGGCCTCCCAAAGTGCTGGGGTTACAGGCATGAGCCACTGTGCCTGGCCCGCTTTGTGTTGTTTTAAAGCAAATCCCGGGCATATTATCTCATTGGCAAACACCTCTGCTTGTTTAACCTAATCCTATCATCATCACTTTTTTTTTCTTTTTTTTGAGACAAAGTCTCGCTCTTGTCCCCCAGTCTGGAGTACAGTGGCACGATCTTGGCTCACTGCATCCTCCGCCTCCCGGGTTCAAGCGATTCTCCTGCCTCAGCCTCCCAAGTATCTGGGATTACAGGTGCGTAGCAACACACCCAGATAATTTTTTGTATTTTAAGTAGAGACGGGGTTTCACCATGCTGGCCAGGCTGGTCTCGAACTCCTGACCTCAGGTAATTTGCCCATCTCGGCCTCCCAAAGTGCTGGGATTACAGGTGTGAGCCACCGCGCCTGGCCTATCACATCTTAAATACCTAACAAGTGTCTTCATATTATCAAATGCCCCAATTATCTCATAAATATCTATGATTGTTGGCTTCTCTGAATCATAGCTGCCTTTTTCAAAGGGCAAAATCTGGGATACAAGAAGGTGTTCAGTCCAATTTTCAGGCAAAAGAGGCAGTGGCTTTGCATTGTCATCTGAGTTTTGCTACAAGCTCTAATCTGTCACCAAAATATCTGTCCCTCCAGTACTCAATAATGATGACATTTCTCTCCATTGGAGTCTCATCGGAGTTGGACAGTAATTGTCAGGAGGCCCCTGTTCCTTTGTCGTGGTTTTCCTTAAGGCTGACTCGTGTGGGTATCAATACTATTAATAGAATTCTCCATCCACAATATGAGGAGTTTCCAGTCCTAGAAAGGTTTCCTTTAGGTTCAAATCTTTTATCTCAAAATCTTAGGCTACAGTAGAAAAATTAACATCCAGAGATACCCTCCTGGCAACATGCAACCCTCAAACCAGCCCATCCTCTGTTGTCTGGGCGAAGACAAACCAAATGAGAAACACATTCTGCCCTCAGCCCCTGTCTGAAAAGCTTGGCTGGTGCAGCTCTGTCTTATTAAACGTCTTTCCCAGCTGTGATCTCCTTTCTTGACTCTTTTTAGAAAGGAAAAACAAATTCTCCCTAGACACACTGAAGGCTTAAGTCAAACTTCCCTCATTTCTTCTTGACCACTTTTTTATTCCCACCACATTTTATCTTCTCCCAGTCTGGCCGTTTGATATATGTGCATATCACAAGCTTGTCTATATCAATGTACGTTATGTCTGTATGAGTCATGGCCCATTGGAGGCAAATGCTAGGTCTGGAAACCAAAGTGTCTGCTGGAGTTTCATTTTCATGGCCATACAAACCCCAAGGCGTGGCCAAGGCTGAATCACATAGAACTGACAAAAAGCATCAATACACAGAGATTCTCAGCCTCCCACACTGGCCCCACCGCAGACGGCCTGGGCCCCACCTGCCCAGGGCCTCTCCAGCTGGAAGCCAGGCTGAGGTGCTTCCCTCAGTAAGATTCTTATCACCAGTTTATTAAAAGTTTATTCATAGTTAATACTCCAGACAGTTCTAATCTTATTGTCCAACATATAATTCTAGGAAGCATTTCATATTTTCAAAAAGGATGGGACTTAAAATGTACCCATTTAAAATGTAAATGAGCATAAAATATGTGCTCGTGATATTGAGTGAAACAGGCCAAGGTTATGCAACTTCTAGAAGGTGGCTCCCCCGGGCCTGCAGGGACAACAGGCCTGCTGGACAGTGGAGAAGGAAAGAAAAAAAGGGGGGAAAGTGTTTTCCCACCCTGCCCCCCCGACTCGTGAGCCTCCTAGCTGTCCCCTAGGGAAAGTGTGCTCACCAGCTCTCCTGCATTCACACCGAGTCCCCAAAAACTCTCCAGCAGAAGGACCTGCTCCCGCACCCCTTCCCTCCACCAGCAAGACATAGCAGGGAGCGGGGAGCCGCAGGCTGAGGGGACGAGGGACACAGGGTCTCAGGCGCCCAGCACCAAGAGCTAGCACCGTATGCCCCTGAGGCTGAGCGTTGGAGCCAGGCAGGACGAGGGCCGTCCCACCACAAACCCCCCCACCCCCGAGATGAGCCTGGGCTGGCAGCCGAGGAAGATCAACAGCTGCCCTCCAGTGCAGAACACCTGGCTTCAAAACCACGCTCATCATCTGCAGAATGAGATGAGACGCTCTCTGTCTCTCCTAGAGCAAAACAAAGACAGCAACAAAGAAAGGAAGGAAAGCAAATCACCTCCATGTAGATTTGTGTGTCCACTGCTCTTCCCCTCCCACACTGTTTTTACTCACGAACTTGGTTTTGCCTCAGAGAAGGGCTGTGACTTCAATAACTCCCGTCACCAAGGAGTTGCTCAGTGCTGGACATCTAGGGTCATCCCTGGAACCTAAGACTCAGGTCTCCCAGAGCCCACGCATCCCCCAGCTAACAAGCATGGTCACCAGACTCCTGCAGCAAACTGGCATGCGGGGCAGGGCCACCACCTCCACGAAGACACTGGTACCACGGCCTGCATATGTCAGGCCTCAGCAAACACCGTGGAATTATTTTGGTAGCGACATCATACACCCCTCACAGCTCAGGCCTTTGGAACCTTAAGTTAAAGTGGCTGCTTTTTTAATCAATCTCATGATATGGTTGCTGATTTTATTTCACAAATAAATATCTTTCCATTGCCTTACCTTTGAAAGATAAAATCTTATTCTATTCTAATTACATGACTATTATTTTAATGTGATTATTACAAAAAACCCAAAAAGCTCTAAAGCAAATAAAAGGTCATTCCTCCCCTCTGTGACTTCGCAGATGCCTCCAGGCCTTACTTTCAAATCGCCCTCTTCTCTGAGGTGCTTAAAAAAAAGAAAAACTGGTTTGAGACATAAGGGACTTCAGTCTACATCTATTTAAAGGTCTGACTGCAGATAATATTTCTTAAGTTCAACCCTCTAGGATGAGAACATGCATTTACCTCCAAGCTTTCACCTCGCTTGTTTTATGGGGCTTGATTAAATATAACATGTGACCCTGATATGGTTTGGTTCTGCGTCCTCACCACAATCCCATGCTCAGCTGTCACCCCCAGTGCTGGAGGTGGGGCCTGCTGGGAGGTGACGGGGCCATGGGGCGGTTTCTTGTGGTTTAATACCATCCCCTTGGCACTGTCGTCACGGTTGTGAGTTTCCGTGAGATCTGGCTGTTTGAAAGCGTGCGCCAACTCTCTCTCCTCCCCAACTCTCTCTCCTCCCCAACTCTCTCTCCTCCCCAACTCTCCCTCCTCCCCAACTCTCTCTCCTCCCCAACTCTCCCTCCTCCCCAACTCTCCCTCCTCCCCAACTCTCTCTCCTCCCCAACTCTCTCTCCTCCCCAACTCTCTCTCTCCTCCTGCTCCCCCTTCGCCTTCCCCCATGATTGAACATTTCCAGAGGCCTCCCCAGAAGCCAAGCAGAGGCCGGCAGCATGCTTCCTGCACAGCCTGTGGGACTGTGAGCCCATTAATCCTCTTTTCTTTATAAATTACCCAGTCTCAGAGATATATATATATATTTTGAGACGGAGTCTCGCTCTGTCGCCCAGGCTGGAGCGCAGTGGTGCCATCTCGGCTCACTGCAAGCTCCGCCTCCCGGGTTCACGCCATTCTCCTGCCTCAGCCTCCCGAGTAGCTGGGACGACAGGCGCCCGCCACCACACCAGGCTAATTTTTTTGTAGAGATGGGATTTCACCGTGTTAGCCAGGATGGTCTCGATCTCCTGACCTCGTGACCCACCCGCCTCGGCCTCCCAAAGTGCTGGGATTACAGGCGTGAGCCACCACGCCCGGCCCAGATGTTTCTTTATAGCAGTGTGAGAACAGACTAATACGGGTGCTTTAGAAACTCTGGTCTAATCTGTAGGGCTGAAGGAGGCCAGCTCCTAAAGATCTTGGGGTTGGGGGAAGCATTTTAGGGCAACCACTTGACATTAACAAGAGACCAGGTTTGGGCTCAATTAGCCTGAAAGATGATGCTACATCCCGTGAAAAAAGGGGAAATGGAGGAAAACAAAAATCAAGGAACTCGGTGTTTGCCAAATGCAGGCGTAGGCTTGGTAAATATAGCTTTTTCTGAATTAGGATTGAAACCAGCAGAGTTCCACTGAAGGGCTAAGGGATAGCAGAGAATCCACTCTAACCACAGCCTGCAAACCTGAGCTCGGGGATAGCAGGAGTCGACCCCAACCACAGCCTGCAAACCTGAGCTCGGGGATAGCGGAGAATCCACCCCAACCACAGCCTGCAAACCTGAGTTCGGGGATAGCAGAGAATCCACCCCAACCACAGCCTGCAAACCTGAGCTTGGGGATAGCGGAGAATCAGCCCCAACCACAGCCTGCAAACCTGAGCTCGGGGATAGCGGAGAATCCGCTCTAACCACAGCCTGCAAACCTGAGCTCGGGGATAGCAGGAATCGACCCCAACCACAGCCTGCAAACCTGAGTTCGGGGATAGCGGAGAATCTACCCCAACCACAGCCTGCAAACCTGAGTTCGGGGATAGCGGAGAATCCACCCCAACCACAGCCTGCAAACCTGAGCTCGGGGATAGCAGGAATCGACCCTAACCACAGCCTGCAAACCTGAGCTCGGGGATAGCAGGAATCGACCCTAACCACAGCCTGCAAACCTGAGCTCGGGGATAGCGGAGAATCCACTCTAACCACAGCCTGCAAACCTGAGCTCGGGGATAGCGGAGAATCCGCCCCAACCACAGCCTGCAAACCTGAGCTCGGGGATAGCAGGAATCGACTCTAACCACAGCCTGCAAACCTGAGCTCGGGGATAGCAGAGAATCGACCCTAATCACAGCCTGCAAACCTGAGTTCTCCCTTTCTGCTTCAAATGAAACGTGAGGACATGTCCCAAAAACACGTATGAATTTTTTTTTAATTTTCCAGGCACTGTCGCTGTTTCTTTCACAGAATTGAGATTTCCCCCAGTGTCACTGAGGATTCTTCTGAACATGATGACCTCGGCAACTGTATTTTACAGTCTGTGTTCTACAGACTGTATTTTACACAGTGCCTCACACGAAGCACTCCTCCACGGCGGAGTAATTAGTTGTCGCATGGTGAGGGTTGTTTCTGTTGTTGCTTTACTGCAGGGAGTCTCTTCATACACAAATGTCTGTGCTTATCTGATTATTTCCACAGGAGAAAGTCCTGGAGGCGGAATGGTTAGGGGAGAAGGTAAACCTTTGATCCTGCAGTTCTGCAGTACCTATAAACCCAGGCATTTCCCGGCTCCTCCATGGTGCTCCTCTGGCTACATTCCCCAGCTTGGAACATTCCACTTGGAACTTTGGTGAAGAAGCCTGGTGGATCGACGCCACCTTCCCTGAACCCACATTCCACCAGGGACCCCCATTACCCAATAATCCTACTGTCCTTTGACTCTCAGAAACCAATTTGTTGTCACTTTTCATGACCATTGGCCACAACCAAGGGCCTCTCAGGGTTCCCAATGATGGGAAACGACCTGGAAATGTAGGCACGTCGTGCCATGTCTCCAGGGTTCTGCAGGAGTTCCTAAGTGCTTTTTCTTGCTTCTGTTTGTTTAACTCTTTGCCTCAACATTAGCACAGGCTCTGGAGAAACTTTCCTTCTCTTCCACTGAGAACAAATCACTTCAACCTTCTGAGGTTTCTGTTTTTGCCAAAATCCTCAATTCACATCCTCCTAGATAAGAACCCTGCTTGGAAAATCCTCCTGGCATCGACTCAATGGCCTTGAAACGCCTTTTCCTTCTTCTGTTTGCCATGACAGCCAGGGGACACGGACAGCGTGGGCCACCAGAAAGCAGCCCTCTTTCCCAAGTGGGCACCCACTGAGTTTTGCACCAAGTCACACGCGATGTGAAGATACGGAAGGAGGAATCCAGCACGCCTTCAAGAAGACATCAGGGAAAGAAGCTTGGAGAGCTCGCTCTCCTCTCTAGACCCATCCAACCTGGCCTACGTGGGTGAATTTCCCCTTGACCTTGGGTTTGCTGCATCGGGAGGTCATCCTAAAGAACAGTAGACTTAGCGATTCTGCCAGAGGCTGCAGCTCACTCTCTATGTGAGCGGGAAAGAGGACACTAAAAGGTAAAATCAACAGAGAAAGGAGAAGACCCAGCAAGGGAACTAATTTAAAAGAAAACCATAAGAAGCACCAGATATTCCCAAAAGGACTTAGCATCATTGTCTTACACCCTCTTCCCAAGAAGCTTCAAAAACGGGCGTTCCGTCTTCACTGCTTGTCTTTGATTGTGTCACCTGACCCGAAAGAGCAAAGAAACATTTTCTACTTGATAAAACACCTGGTAAATATCAAAGGTTGGGGACACCAAAAGAAGAGTCATTTCCCTGGGGATTGGTTTTGTAAACTCCTGGTTCACATAAGGTCGTGGGAACTAAGATATGAGGTGATGGGCAGTAAGGGAGAGGGGCCGGCTGAGCAGCAAGGAAGACAGTGTGCGAACCTCATCGAGGGAACGCACGGTCCTCCTCGAGATTTGGAAAGGGAAATCTCAGCCCACCTATTTGCAGTTTCAATTTGAATAGCCCATGTATTCATATGTCAAAGGAAATGCAAGAAATTAAGAGCATCCCTGAAGAGATGTGGATCTCCCAACAGGAACATTATTTTTAGCCAGGTGCAGTGTTTCACACCTGTAACTTCAGCACTTTGGGAGGCCAAGGTGGGCGGATCACTTGAGGCCAGGAGTTCTAGACCAGCCTGGCTAACATGCTGAAACCCCATCTCTACTAAAAAAATAAAATAAAATAAAATTATTTTTAAATACTTTCTCATCAAGGGAAAACTTTCTTCCAAAACTATATCTAATAAGACGGGAGGAAGGGATGGAGGGAATCGGGGTTATGCATTTAGAATTCTCTGGTTCTGACCCAGTGACACAGGCCTCAGGCTACATCTCCACCAGCTCCTAAATTCCGTATCCATCTGTGTGAAACAGACTCTCTTGCCTGACAGGCTGCAGCGGCCGTGCCGACTCTCCAGCATCTCGAGCCATTTTCTAGGCAAACAGGCCTGTGACGTTCTTTTTTTTTTTTTTTTTTGGTTCAATCTCTTTCACCCTCTTGTCTGATATTTTCAAGGGTTTTTAATCACAACTCCAGTGGATTGATCAATGACAGATATGAGCAACAACTTTTGCATGCTAACAGTGCCGGAATTTTTATCTAAGATAATATTTCTCTCTTAAAAAGCCTCTGCACAGCTATGTATTAATTAAAATCTAAATACTAAATATTGATTGATGCGTTATCAGGCCACAGCAGTTGGGCCCTGCCACATTGATTTTTTGCTGTGATTTATTATCATATTTAAGAAAAATCATTTTGTGTGATTATACGAGGAAATGGACTCTAGCGAGGGTGTCATTCTTTTGTATCACTTTTGTTGTATGGAGGACGGACCAATCCCTCAATTGTGGCCGGGACTGCTGATACCCTTCAGCATCCGTCTCTGTGGCCTCCGCCGGCTAATGCTTTAAGCCTGCTTGGTCTTGTCATTAGGAATAATGGGCTTTAGGGTTGCCTCCTTAATCACAGCTGAGATTAACAGACGGATGAACTTAGGTTCTTAAAATTATCTAGTTATTACAAGTATTTCTGTTATCACATAATAACATTGCTGCAGAGGATTTTTTTCCTTTAATGACTCAAATTGAACCAAAACCCCAGAACAATGTCCAGGCTGGCCTAACATGGAGCCAGGAGTCAATCCATCTTTCATCTTAGTGCAGAAGTCATCACCGTCAAAGCAAGAATCTAGCTGTGAGGAAAAACAGAGAAACGCGTGTCTACATAAAACAGGCCAGCGCTCTATGCTAAGGACTATGCCTGAGTTGATGTGAGTCATTTATATGTGAACAACGTGCACCGTGAAGAGAAAGAAGATTTCTGATTACTTCAGATGCCGTCATTTACATCATTCCCTGAAGTAATAATGAGGGGAGAGACGCAAATCTGACTGTGTGAAAATATTTGCACTTATAAATGCTAGATCAGAGGACTAACAAATAGAATCACTCCTAAGCCGTTTTGCATTATTGAGTCTAAACATTCCTTATATTTTATTTTCTTCTCATTTCTTTTGTATGTTCATTGTGAGAGCATAAATTTACTACTTTTGTATTATGTGGAATATGCCAAAATCATTCATTGGTTTTCCCACTTACCATGTCTTTCTTACATGGCAATAAAAATAAAGAAAACAACTATATTGTCTTCAACTTTATATTTGGAGGGTTTTTTGTTTGTGTTTTGTTCTTTGTGAGGTCAATGATTCTTGAAGAAATGATGTGGAATTTCAGCAAGGAAGTCTCCCATGATCTTCAGTGAAGCTTGTCTCCCCCGTAGCCCTCTCTGGTGGTATGTAGGGAATTCGTGTTTGTAAGTGAACTGGCTTGTGCCTTATCACTGGCTACTGTTGCTTTTATCACAAAAGCCAGCATTTTTGCTCATTTGGTCAAGGAATTCAAAGATCAGGCCAGTTCGAGTTTTCTAAAGGGATCATCACCATAAACACTGAGGAACTTAAGAAAAATTGGATGAGCTTTAAGAGCACATTTTAAAGAAAAGAAATTAGACCACTCCATTATCATTAGATTAAAACAAATTTAAAATAGCTGTACTTTTTCTCTAATTTCCTAAAAGTTTAGCCATCTACTTTAAAAAGTAGAATCAAAGATGACCTTGGGAAGAGACTAAATTGGGAAAAATACATAAATACGTGAATCTTGTACCTGCAGCTTGATCCTTGTCATTACTGATCAGTTTTCGGAGCGGATTTACAGAAAAAGAGGGAGAAGAGGGGAAAGGAAGGGAGGAGGAGGAGAGAGGAGGAAGGAGGAGAAGGGGAGAGGAGGAGGGAGGTGGGGGAGGGAGGAGGAGAGAAGAGGAAAAGGGAGGAGGAGGAGGATGGTGAAAGATGAGGGAGGAGGGGGAGGGAGGAAGAGGGAAAGGGAGAGAGGAGGAAAAGGGAGGAAGAGGAGGGAGGAGGAGGAGGGAAGAGGGGGAGGGAGGAAGGAGGAGGGACGAGGGGAGGGAGGGCGAGGGAGGGAGGAGGAAAAGGGAGGAGGATGGAGGAAGAGGAAGGAGGAGGAGGGAGAAGGAGGAGAGAGGAAGAGGATGGAGGGAGGAGGAGGGAGGAGGAGGGGGAGGAAGGAGGAGGGAAGAAGAGGACAGAGGAAGGAGGAAGAGGGAAGAAGAGGATGGAGGAGGGAGGAGTAAGGAGGAGGGAGGAAGAGAATGGAGGAGGGAGGAGGAGAAGAGAGGAAGAGGATGGAGGAGGGAGGAAGAGAAGAGAGGAGGAGGAGGAGCTGCCATTTCTCACAGTCAGACAGTCCTGTGTGCCAGGGACATGGTAGCATGTGTTACCCCACAGCAGCAGTGGCCACCACAGCTCCTCCTGTGTGCGAGTGTGGAGGACACAGAAGTGAACAAGTGCCACCCCTGCCCTGAGGTTGCTGGGGCCTGGTGAGAAGCGACCACCTACCCCCCACCTGCGGACGCCGGGGGGCTGAGACACACACCTGCTGCTGGGACACAGGTAGCCACAGAGGCAGGGGCGCTTCTATAAAGAATGAACGCCTGAGCTGACAGTGGAGGGACAGGCGCGAAGGAGACGGTGGGCAGAGAAGGGAGCTGGCCAGGCAGGGCAGCCAGCAGCACGGTGCGGCCGCAATCACGCCGAGAGGGTTTCGTCAGTCAGAGGATTGTGCATTTTATGGATGTCCAAAAAATGAATTCTGAATCAGGGCTCCTATATCAGAATGAGAGCCTGAAGCTAAACTTGTGGAAATTATTTTATAGGAAAAACACTAAACTCAGTGCCACCTATAAAAACCCTGTCTCCTTCCCTTGCAGTATGAGGTTGAATTATGAAACAGAAAATAATAATAAATGGTTCCTCCACCACTCCTGTAATCTCCACGCACGCCGATGATGAAAAGACGACCGCGTGAAAGGGCAGATGGATGGGACCATTTCCTCTGTAACGGCTTTCAGTCTTTCTATTGTGCTTTTGCATCTCACTGAACAGCAACAGCAAAACCAGGCTAACCTCGCTGCTGCATAACTCCCAGCCCAGTGCAGCATCTTAAACATGCAGTGCTCTCGCCAGTCCTCACACTGAAAACACGTCCTGCTTTGCCTTATTCCTTACATTTAGGAAAATCCCGTTGTAGAACTTTCTAAAATTATGTCTGGTGGAAAACAGGCTCTGGTTTTGCCCTAAATTTTCTCACTTGGTATGGGATGGGGATGAGAACTGAGAATTCTGGATCTATTTCTTCTGCCGGAGATCAGTATTGTGATGATAAAACGCCGGTGCAGGTTGGAAGTCACACCTGAGGAGGAGCTGGGGTCTGCCGGCCTCGCTGGAAGAGAAGACAAAGGCCAGGGCTCAGGGCTCAGAAGAGCCGGGCTGAGAGAGAGGCAGCCACCATCCCGCACCAGCCTGGGTCTCCGAGCAATTGTCTGACATCCCAGAAGGAACCCTGACCTGGTCTTCGTTCTGCCCTGTGGGGCGTGTCTTGCTGCTGAGTGTCCTTGCAGCAGGCACCTGTAGTTTCTTATGGGAGGTACACCCTGAGCCCTAGCTGACCGTGGAGAAAGCAACGCAGGTGTGGGCCGGGGAAGTTAGCACAGAAATTCCATGTGATAGATCAGAACCATGACCCTTGCCATAGACGTCACTGTAATCGTTGAGCTCTTTAGGTCAACTTTGGCACAGCAGCACATCATGATTTATTCATCACGTTTATAAAATTAATACAATCACACTAAACCAGTACATTTAACCTCTCCCTGTTCTAAGATAGCTATGGAAAGAATTAGCTACATAAACATGTGTTTCCCTCCATGCACGCCCTGCCAGGGCCCCGCAGCATCCTGTTACACGTCCCACTGTCACGTGGACACGCGGCTCACTGCAGGATGAGACAGCGCTACACGGAACGGGAAACAGCAGGATTGACTTTAGTAACTCATGAAGAAGCAACAGCATCCTCACTGGGTGCCAGACCCCAACCAGGCACGGATTTCCCCTTCCTGTCTCCAGGTGAATCGGAAAAATGCTCTTGCTGCCCTGTTTTTCTCATGACGGGGTCTCTTTGCATCCTCCTTGCTGGCATTTCCCTCTCAGCGAGTGACTCTCACTGCTCAGCTCATAATCCAGTCTTTTGCTTTGTAGCTGAACACATTTGGGCAGCTCGATGGCTTTGTCCCATTCCCAGTTGAAATGGACTGAATGTCGTTGCCCCCCAAATTCCCATGTTGACATCATCACCCCCAAGGCGGTGATCTTAGCAGGTGGGGCCTTGGGGAGGTGACGAGGTCCCGAGATGGGAGCCCGTGTGGACGGGATTGATGCCCTTAGAAAAGAGGCCCCAGAGGAGCCCTCAGCCCCATCCTTCCACGCGAGGACACAACCCGGAAGAGTCCTCCCCGGAGCGGCACTGTGCCGGCCCCCGGTCTCGGACCTCCAGCCCCAGAGTGCTGGAGAATAAAGGCCCGTTGCTCATGAGCCACTCTGCCTATGCATTTTGTTACAACAGCCTCACCGGAGTCCAACACCAACATCCAGGTGAAACTGACGGAGAGACACAGACCCAGTCCTGAGCCTAAAGCAGCCCTGGCACCTTCAACTCTCATGGCACGATGGCTGTCAGGTGACCACCAGGTGCTCCGACATCCCCAGAACCCGGCAGGGCCAAGGACTGTCCTGGATGACCCCAAAGCCTGGGGCCCGGGGTGTGACTCCTGCAGCACCAGCCACAGGCGATCACACAATGGCACTCTCATAGTGGACATTATAGACACACCACAGCGCGTGGTTCTGAATGCAAACAATCTACACTACACGCCACACAATGGCACTCTCATAGTGGACATTATAGACACCACAGTGCGTGGTTCTGAATGCAAACAATCTACACTACACGCCACACAATGGCACTCTCATAGTGGACATTATAGACACACCACAGCACGTGGTTCTGAATGCAAACAACCTACACTACACGCCACACAATGGCACTCTCATAGTGGACATTATAGACACCACAGCACGTGGTTCTGAATGCAAACAATCTACACTACACGCCACACAATGGCACTCTCATAGTGGACATTATAGACACACCACAGTGCGTGGTTCTGAATGCAAACAACCTACACTACACGCGGTCCATGTGGTGTCTGTCGTCTTCTTCAGGACACAAGTGCTCTTCTTTGGCAAAAATCATTGAGCTTCTAAACTGCAGCCCAGTTCCACCCATCACATCGCACTGTCATATGTACAAACTGAGGTACTCTGTTCACCAGTGTAATTATGTGTGCAATATTCTTCCTTTTGGGGGGGTTGTACACTGAATGTGTCCCCCAAGAAAGATGTGCTCAAGTCCTAAACCTTAGCCTCTGAATGTGGCCTTATTTGGAAACAAGACCTTGGCAGATGTAATCAAATTAAGATGAGGCCGTGAAAGTGGCCTGCTCCCATGGGACTCGGTGTCTTTATAAGAAGAGGACACAGACGCCCAGGGAAGGCGGCCATATGGGGATAGAAGCAAGGCCTGGGGTGACACGTCTGCAGCTGAGGGGCACCAAGATTGCCGGCCTCTGCCAGAAGCTGGAGAGGGCCCTGGAGCAGACTCCCCTGAGCCTTCAGGAGAGCACGGCCCTGCTCACACCCTGGTTTTGACTTCTGGCCCTAAGAACTGGTTTTAAGCCACCCAAGTGTGTACGCTTTCTACACAGCAGGTGCTGGTAAAAGACTTCGGACAACCGGTGTGAGGCATCACCTGGGGAATGCAGGCCTCCCTCGTTCCCACAAGGGCCTCTGCCCACTCTGAAAGCTCAGCTCCAAAGCTGTGGTTTTCCAAGGCCATCACCCTCATCATTATCAACAACACACAGAGGATGTGGCACGCTGTGTGGCCGAGAGCGGATCGGCAAATCTCGCCAAAACGTGTCTTCGCCCATTAAGTAACAGAGCTGCTCCAGGGGTCCCTGAAGTGCCCTGCACTGTTCACAGCACCTTAAAGGCTGCTAAGTCAATGGTCAATTTTGAACTCGGTCTGAGAGTCCAAATTATTTCCCAGCTTTCACCAACAAGTCACGATTCTAGAGAATACCACGCACAATGAAGACTAATCAGTTAATGTTTGAATGAATTCGGCCTGAGCAAACGCAGGGTCTGCAGCCCCCTAGCTGAAGAGAGCCATTGGATAATATGACTCCGTTGCTCAATCTTTTATTGCTTGTCTTAGATAGACATCAAATCTGGGAAAGTCTATTAGAATCGCACTCTAAAAAGTCAAATATTTCTCACATTTGCTGTATTTTAAACATCAGCTGCAAAATAGAGATAAAACTGCACAATTATCTTGACTTTCCAAAGACATGTATGGGCAAGCTCCTAATCCCAACAAAAGGTCCTGGTGCCTCCAGGGTGGCCGAGGCCGACAGAGACAGGGATTCTGGTGAGAACAGCCTCCGCAAGTGGCTTTCGTCCCTTCTCTTGGTTCCTCTTGGGCAAGGAAGCTGGGTGATTTATCTGACCCCTTCTGTCCAACTGTATCTCCGGTGCCCACACCCAGTGGGCTCCAGCCATATCTCCAAAGCCACCCTGATGCTGAAAACTCTCCTCAACTTCCCTGTTCATTATCCTCAGCTCCATGCAGACTTCATATACCACCTGCATGGGTCTGTTTTCACACTGCTATGAAGAAATACCCAAGACTGTGTAATTTATGAGGTTTAACCAACTCGCAGTTCCACATGGCTGGGGAGGCCTCAATTATGGTGGAAGGGGACGCAAACACGTCCTTCTTCACATGCCGGCAGCAAGGAGAAGTGCAGAGTGAATGGGGGGATGCCCCTTATAAAACCATCAGATCTCATGAGAACTCACTCACTATCACGAGAACACCATAAGGATAACCACCCCCATGATTCAGTGACCTCCCACCGGGCCCCTCCCATGGCACGTGGGGATTATGGGAGCTACAACTCAAGACGAGATTTGGGTGGGGACACAGCCAAACCATGTCACTACCTGAAATCAAAATAAAGATCATCCATTTTTATGGATGGTTTCAGTGTGCCCAGATTCCATGATCAATTTTTCCGCTGTATGTAAGTAGCATGATGTCACCGACACCCTGTGGATGTGGCCGCTATGAGCAAACTGCCTGGACACCCTCAGATATCCAGGCACAGTGGCTCACGCCTGTCATCCCAATACTTTGGGAAGCTGAGGCAGGAGAGTTGTTGAGTCCAGCAGTCTGGGCAACATAAGGAGACCCTGTCTCTACAAAAGAATTTCAAAAATTAGCTGGACGTGGTGGTGCATGACTGTAGTCCCAGCTTCTCAGGTGGCTGAGGTGGGAGGATCATTTGAGCCCAGGAGGTTGAGGCTGCGGTGAGCTGAGTTCACACCACTGCATTCCAGCCTGGGCTACAGAGTGAGATCTTGTCTCAAAAATAAAAATTAAAAAAACTCTAAGATCAGTGTGGACAGACGAATGCAACACTAGCTTTCTCACGTGCCAAAGGCTCCGTGTGCAAACCTTGCCATCGCCTGCCACCAGGGAGGCCTGTGTTTTAGCACTCAGCTGCTAAAGAACATCTGAATGTTTGTAACATCCACTGCATTTGCCCATAGGGACAATCACGTAACAGGTTCCAGCCACACCAGGCGGCCCACTCTGTCATCTGTGGCCGGATGTAGAATTCTCCGGGGTGTCCAACAATTAGAAGTCGCTGAAAGGCAGCCTGAGCGTCCATGGACCTGGTCTTCATTTCCAGAACCCTCGTGCCTGCCTCCGTTTGCCTCCAAATGCAGTCGGTTCTCAACCTGAAAGAAGGAAGCTCTGCTTCCCCAGGTCCACTGTGATGCTGCCCAGACCAGAAGCCAGTGGAGACACCTCTGCTTGCCGGTACTCAGCCCCGCACGGCAGGGCCTCCCGAGGCCTGTCACTAAAAAGCTAGGGGCCGGGGAGTACTGGGGCACTGCTCCATCTTGTTGGGGGCCAGCAGAGAACAGGCAGCAGCATCTGGCCCTGGATCTGTCGGGGGTTCACGCCCACTGAGAGGAGCCTGGTCCACAGGAGGGAGGCCAGGAGCAGAGCACCCAGCACTCGGACAGCGCTGCCCAAGCATCCTTGAAGGCCAGTGTTCTAGAAGAACAAGGCTGCCTCATGAATAATGAAAAGCTGATAAAAGCAGAAGATAACAAGATAACGGCTAGCATGAGAAAAAGTTATCACCTGGCTGGGTGCGGTGGCTCACGCCTGTAATCCCAGCACTTTGGGAAGCTGAGATGGATGGATCATCTGAGGTCAGGAGTTCAAGACCAGCCTAGCCAACATGGTGAAACCCCATCTCTACTAAAAATACAAAAATTAGCCTGGCTTGGTGGCGGGCACCTGTAATCCCAGCTACTTGGGAGGCTGAGGCAGGAGAATCGCTTGAACCCAGAAGGTGGAGGTTGCGGTGAGCCGAGATCACACCACTGCACTCCAGCCTGGGCGACAGAGAGAGACTCTCTCAAAAAAAAAAAAAAAATCACCTGTAGTACGTTCAAATAACTCAACTCATAAAAACCAAACAGGATCCGCGTGAGCCCAGCAGAGAAGCAACTCGACAACCACACTTGCTGCTGCCTGGTTACTGCCAGTGGCTGTGCCCTTCGGGAGAAGCAGATCCGGTCCTCGCCTTCCTCTCTGTCTGCCGTGCCTGTCACAGTCCTGCCCGAGGCTCTTTCTCACTGTACCAAGCTGCAGTTTCCAAATAAATGATTACACCACCGTTGGCTCGCAGTGGCGGAGTGGCAGGGTGGATAAGCAGTGCGTGGGGCTTCACGATCACTCTAAGTCTTCATCAGACACGGTTCCAGTGGCTGCACTCCTTTATCTTAAGCATGTCATTCCTAATTTCCCACCGCGGATCCTTCCACAGCATTTCATATTGTTCTCACTTGCAGGACACAGGCCCACACAGCACAGAGGACCTTGGCTGAATAAGAAAGGTGCCCCAGAGTTCTTGCAGCCAGGTAGTAATCGCTAACACATAAATCTTGACTTTTTGCATTAAAATTAAAAACTCTTTTTTTTTTTTTTTTTTTTTTTTTCAGACAGAGTCTAACTCTGTCGCCCAGGCTAGAATGCAGTGGTGCGATCTCGGCTCACTGCAACCTCTGCCTCCCAGGTTCAAGTGATTCTCCTGCCTCAGCCTCCCGAGTAGCTGGGATTACAGGTGCCCGCCACCACACCCAGCTAACTTTTGTATTTTTAGTAGAGACGGGGTTTCTCCATGTTGGTCAGGCTGATCTCAAACTCCTGACCTCAAGTGATCTGCCCACCTCGGCCTCCCAAAGTGCTGGGATTACAGGCATGAGCCACCGTGCCTGGCCAAAATAAAAAACTCTTTACTATTGTGAAATAAGATGAGACCAAACAGTTGATGTCGAAACTGTAGTAATAATTAAAAGTCACAACTAGTTATTCTATCCATATTCCAGAGTTTATATCCAGGGAGATAATACTACATACGTAAGCTTTTTAAGCTTGCAAGGAAAAGAAAAAGTTTGAAATTAAAATGTGTTTTTATTTATTTATTTTTAAGACAGAGTCTTCCTGTGCCGCCCAGGCTGGACTGCAGTGGTGCAGTCATAGCTCACTGCAGCCTCCAACTCCTGGGCTTAAGCGATCCTCCCACCTCAGCCTCCCAAATGCCTGGGACGACAGGTGTGTGTCATCACACCCACCACTTTTATTTTTATTGTTTTTTGTAGAAGCAGAGTCTTACTACATTGTCCAAGCTGGTCTCAGACTCCTGGCCGCAAGCAATCCTCCCACCTCAGCCTTCCAAACTGCTGGGGTTATAGGCATGAGCCACCACACCCGGCTGAATAGATGTTTTTAAAAAACATAATTGCTTGCTGCTTCCGGGGATTTTTTTACCAAATGGGCATTTTCTCCCAAAATTTCTGCTAGCTCCACCAGGCAGGGGAGCAGCCTGTGGTTTCTGTCTCTCGGGGTTCCCAGCAGCCACACCGCACACATGATGGGGACTGTCCTTGCAGCGCGACACACACAGCCTGTCCCACAGCGTACACCTATATCCCTCCACAGGCCACTTCTGCAGGCCAGGAGAGCCTCGTTGTGCCCACCACACATTACCAGGGGCAGCCAGGCGTGCCGGGAGGCACTGACGGAAAGCAAGGCACTCCCGTGCATAAACCATATCCTGCTCTCAGCATTTCAACACACCATCTCCCCCAGAGAAGTACACCACAGGGAAGAGAAAAAAGAAAACTTAGCCCGAGACCCGTTAGTTCTCAGGGAATTTATGACGTGAAACCCTCACGCCTCCCTTCCTGCCCAGGCGGCCTGTATTTCCGTGCGGCCTGTCCTCCTGGAATCATTCGGAGACCATGCCTTCGCCCAGAGCCACCTCACTGAGGTCTAGACGTTCCCTGGACGGCAAGCTCGCGGGACACGCTCATGGAAAAGGCAGGAGTGGTGAGTGCTGGATGGTTCTATAATGAGAATTCAACGTGCATTTCGATTTTAGGCAAATCCAGAAAGTGAGCTCCCGGAAGAGTCCCCTAAGGCCGGTCTAGATGAGGCTGGGCCACTCGAGGGCTGAGGCTGTTCCCTCGCTCGCTCGAAAACACAGCAACGCATCACAGAGCCTTTAACGTTTAATGCTGAAATTACACCTAAAGACAGTTGATTAATGACAACATCCTAAAAATACTAAGTAGAGCCTTAGATGAGAGAAGAGAGTAAGAGAAAAGTAGCAGAAAAGCTCTGTCAAAGATACAAGTCCAGCAGCAAAGGCAGAGGCCAGAAAACCCGCTGGCTGATTTTCAACACAAATGCATTTGAGATGTGGTGAATTTCAACACATCTCAACGTGATAGTATGTTAATTCTCTTTGAAATTGATGCATTGTGACAAAATAATAGCAACTAAATTATCTCTCTGCCTTGATATGACCAACATATGTGTTTTACGTGGAGTAAGAGTAGCTAACATGTCTGTGTTTATAGTCTTTGTAAAACCCAATGCCACGTGACTAGGAGGAAAAGAATTCTAACTAATTCCAATACGAATTTAATAACAGTTCTCAGCAAGGAGCTGGAATTTGGAATCGTGTTCAGATGGCCCTGGCAGCACGTAGGTGCACTGGGCACAGCTAACAGGTAACGATGAGAACGAGATTTACCTGGAAGGGCCCAGCACAGGCCCAGTAATTAGTGAGCTCTCCAGTTATTTTTAAATTACCCAAATATGCCATTTTTTTGGATAGCCTTGTTTTTTTTGTTTTTGTTTTTGTTTTTGTTTTTGAGATGGAGTCTCACTCTGTCGCCCAGGCTGGAGAACAGTGACGCAATCTGGGCTCACTGCAAGCTCCGCCTCCCAGGTTCACACCATTCTCCTGCCTCAGCCTCCCGAGTAGCTGGGACTACAGGTGCCCGCCACCATGCCAGGCTAATTTTTTGTATTTTTAGTACAGACGGGGTTTCATCGTGTTAGCCAGGACAGTCTGGATCTCCTGACCTCGTGATCCGCCGGCCTCAGCCTCCCAAAGTGCTGGGATTACAGGCGTGAGCTGCCGCACCTGGCCAGCCTTGTTCTTAATTAAACACAAAAATGCAAAGAGCATCCAAAAAGCATGTTTTTATATTACATAATTTACATAATATGTATGTTATAAATTCTATATTTAAGTTTTTCAGCTAACTGATTTACAAACATGAAACCACAGTATAAGCAAAATCAATCAATTAATAAAGTACAAAATTCAAGCAAAATAAATTTGCCGTTTTTACTTTTCAGATAAATATGAGATGTGTGCCTCGATCATAAAAACAGCTGTATCATATTTCAATTTTCCTTTACACATGTAGGCATGATCTAACTTTTTGAAAATATATTACATAGCATTGCTCTGGAAAGTGAGGATTGGGATAAGGGTCTGTTGGGGTATAAGTCAATTTACAATTCTTCATTCCTCTGCCTCATCTACCAACTTCTCATATGTAAAAATCTAATTACTTGCTGATATGGTTTGGCTCTGTGTTCCCCACTCAAAACTCATCTCCAATTGTAATCCCCATAATCCCCACGTTAGGGGAGGGGCCACGTGGGAGGTGATTGGATCATGGGGAGGTTTAGGGAGGGGCCACATGGGAGACGATTGGATCATGGGGAGGCTTAGGGAGGGCCACATGGGACGTGATTGGATCACGGGGAGGTTTAGGGAGGGGCCACATGGGAGGTGATTGGATCATGAGGAGGTTTAGGGAGGGGACACGTGGGAGGCGATTGGATCACGGGGCGGCTTAGGGAGGGGCCACATGGGAAGTGATTTGATCAGGGGGAGGTTTAGGGAGGGGACACGTGGGAGGCGGTTGGATCACCGGGAGGCTTGGGGGGGCCACATGGGAGGTGATTGGATCACGGGGAGGTTTAGGGAGGGGCCACGTGGGAGGTGATTGGATCATGGGGAGGTTTAGGGAGGGGACACGTGGGAGGCGATTGGATCACAGGGAAGTTTAGGGAGGGGCCACGTGGGAGGTGATTGGATCACGGGGAGGTTTCCTCCATGCTGTTCTCCTGATAATGAGTGAGTTCTCTGGAGATCTGATGGTTTTATCAGGCAGTTTTTCCTGCTCTTGCTCGTGCCCTCTCACCTACCACCATGTAAGACGTGCCTCTTCCCCTTTCACCATGACTGTAAGTTTCCTGAGGCCTTCCTAGCCATTCGGACTGTGAGTCAATTAAACTTCTTTCCTTTCTAAATTACCTAGTCTCAAGTATTTATTTATAGCAGTGTGAAAATGGACTAATACACTTGCCTTTCAAAGGTGCAAAGATTAAAGAAATCAAAATCAAGAAGTGAATTACAAGGGCCTAAACCCTGCAGAAAATATTAGTCAATGAAATTTGCTTTTCATAAAAACATGCCAAATTGGCCCTTTTTAAAAAGTATCAGTGCCATTAAAAAGCAGCCAGACCAACTAAAAAGAGATGCTGGTAAGTTAGAGCTACGTGTTTGTCAAAAAGACCATGTGCCAATTTTAGTTTATTGTCATTTCATTTTCACCCATTCTTGCCTTTTGTTTTTAGTTTTTCGAGTCTTCTCCTGCCCCACCCATACCCAAATGAGTATTTATATTTGTTTGTTTGGTGTATTTCTGCAAGCATGAATGACCAGCTGCTTTGGACGTGTGATTCTGAATTCACCCCACCCCACTGCCTTAGTTCCGTGAGTGTGGCCTTCGCTGAAGTTTACTGTTTCCTGCATGCCACTTAATCACTAATGACCATGGGGACTTATTTCAAATGCTGAGGGAGTTAGCCCCCACAGCTTAAAGTGCTTTTGTCTGTAATATTAAATGAAAATGTTGTACATTGAACTAAGAACACAATAGCTCAGAAAAAGTTTAAACAACCTGGATCTTACTTTTCAACCAGGAAAATGAATTTCAGGTTGAAATATAGATGGGAAAACATATAGCTTACTCTGACAATAAAATGACATGGTTTCACACTATCGAGTCTTAATTTTTATTCATCGTAACTCCACTTAATTTGGAACTAAAAACACTGCTAGAAAATAGTATTTGTATATCACATGATAGGAAAGGGAAAAGTTGACTCAATAAAGGTCTATCAATAGGTGTACACTGCTTATTAACTAGTCAAAATTTTTTTCAGACATCAGTGGTCTACAGAGATAGCCTATAAAACATCCTAATTGCATACATTTTATTTCTTGCAAGCATATAGAGAGCACATTCCTCCTTTGATATTATTCAATGAGTCATGCTGGAGCTGTAGAAGAATTTCAACTGATGTTTTACAGAAATGATACAAACTGCAACGTTTTAACAGTGTTCACATATGATAGAAATTATTAAATTGATAATATCTAATTTTCCATAACACCTCGCGTTTTCTCCTCCAGGCCAACAAACTGCAGAAACAATGGTCAGTAAAACAACTAAGAGAGGTCCTGAACTTCTTCCCTCAGACAATGACAGAGGTTTATGCAGCCACATCCCACAGACGTTGTGGGTTCAGCTCCACCACAATAAAGTGAACATCACAATAAAGTACGTCCCACTAGTTTTTTGGTTTCCAGTGCATATAAAAGTGATGTTCATGGTACATTGAGTCCATTAAGTGTGCAACAGCATTGTGTCTAAAAAAAAGTGCATACATTAATTTTAAAACAAATACTTTATTGCTAAAAAAAAAAACAAAATTCTAAGGATCCTCTGAGCCGTCAGTGGATTATTAAAACAAATACTTTATTGCTAAAAAAAAAAAAAAAAATGCTAAGGATCCTCTGAGCCATCAGTGGATCGTCATCTTCTCCCTGGTGGGTCTTGCCTCGATGTTCACAGCTGCTGACTGATGGGCGTGGCTGTTATTGAAGGTTGGGGTGGTCTTGATGATTTCTTAAAATAAGACAACAGTGAAGTTTGCCCCATCAATCAATGGGGCCCTTCCTTTTGTGAAAGGTTTCTCTGTAGCATGCAACGCTGTTCGATAGCATTTTACCCACAGTAGAACTTCCTTTAAAATTGGAGTCCGTCTCTCAGATCCTGCCACGGCTTTATCAACTAAGTTGACGTAACATTCTGAATCCTTTGTTGCCATTTCCACGACGTTCGCAGCATCTTCTCCAGGAGCGGATTCCATTTCAAGAAACTACTTTCTTTGCTCATCCGTAAGAAGCAACTCCTCATCTGTATGAGTTTCATCCTGAAGTTGCCGCAGTTCAGTCATCTTCAGGCTCCACTCCTAATTCTCTCGCTATTTCCACCACACCTGCAGCTCCTTCCTCCGCTGAGGTCTTGAACCCATGGGCATTGGAATCAACATCCTCCAAACTCCTGTTCATGTTGATATTTTGACCTCCTCCCATGAATCCCGGATGTTCTTAATGGCATCAAGAATGGGGAAGCCTTTCCAGAGGTTTTCAATTTACTTTTCCTTATATCCATCAGAGGAATCACTGTCCAGAGCAACTCTAGCCTTCCAAAGAATATTTCTTAAATAAGACTTGAAAGTCTTATTACTCCTTGTAATTTAGACTGCTGACTGCAGGCTGTGTTAGCAGGCATGGAAACAGCATTCATCTCTTTGTGTGTCTCTGTCAGAGCTCTTGGGTGACCAGGTGCATTGTCAATGAGCAGGAATATTTTGAAAAGAATCTTTTTTTCTGAGCAATAGCAGTAGGTCTTAAGTGCGGGCTTAAAATATTCAGTAAACCATGTTGTAAACAGACGTGCTGTCATCCAGACTTTGTTGTTGCATTTCTAGAGCACAGGCAGAGGAGATTTAGCATCATTCTTAAGGGCCCTAGGATTTTCAAAATAGCAAATGAGCACTGGCTTCAACTTAAAGTCACCAGCTGCATTATCCCTGAACAAGAGAGTCAGCCCGTCCTTTGAAGCTTTGAAGCCAGACATTGACTGCTTACTAGCTAGGAAAGTCCTAGATGGCATCTTCTTCCAATAGAAAGCTCTTGGTCTACATTGAAAATCTGTTGTTTAGTGTGGCCACCTTCGTCGATGGTCTCAGTCAGATCTCCTGGGGAACTTGCTGCAGCTTCTCCATCAGCATTTGCTGCTTCACCTTGCACTTTTTATGTTACGGAGATGGCTTCTTCCCCTAAACCTCATGAACCAACCTCTGCTGGTTTCTAGCTTTTCTTCTGCAGCTTCCTCACCTCTCTCGGCCTTCACAGAATTGAAGAGAGTTAGGGCCTTGCTCTGGATTAGGCTTTGTTTGAAGGGAATATTGTGACTGGTTTGATCTTCTGTCCAGACTGCTCAGACTTTCTCCTTCTCAGCAGTAGGACTGTGTGCTTTCTTGTGGTTCACTGGAGTCTCAATTTCAGTTTCCTTCACGAACTTGTCCTTGGCATCCACAACTCGACTAACTGTTCGGTGCAAGAGGCCTCGCTCTTGGCCTATGCCAGCTTTTCATATGCCTTCCTCACTAAGCTTAATCATTGCTAGCTTTTGGGCTAAAGTGAAAGACCTGCAATTCTTCCTTTCCCTCGAATACTTGGAGGCCATTGTAGGGTTACGAATTGGCCTAATTTCAATGTTCTTATGTCTCCGAAAATAGAGAGGCCCAAGGAGAGGGAGAGGGATGGAGGAAGGGCTGGCTGGTGGAGCAGTCAGAACACATCCAGCATTTATCCAGCAAGTTTGCTGTCTCATGCGGGCACAGTTTGTGGTGCCCCACAAACTATTTACTATTTACAATAGTAAATAACATCACAGATCCCTGATCACAGATCACCATATATCATAAGTAATGAAAATGTTTGGAATATTGGGAGAATTACCAAAATGTGACACAGAGACACAGAGTGAGCACATGCTGTTGGAAAAATGACACCCATAGATTTGTTTGATTCAAGGTTGCCCCAAACCTTGATGCTACTCAATGTTACAAGGATTTTTTAAAATTTCAGTTTAATATAATTTGGGTGAATTATATGGAAGAAAATTGATAGTTTAAATTGATATTCTTCTACATGCAACATTGAGTAACCTGATTCTAGTATTTAGACAGCGGGTACTTTTATATCAAATAATATTAGGAATGTACTTTCTCTTTTCCTCCCAAATGTTTGATTATTCATAAGTTAAAGGCAATCCGGGTACACTTGAGTTCCTTTAATAGTTGTTCCTGAAGTGTGTGGGATGAATGTTTGTAAATTAAATCAGGTTTTTCCATTGAGCAGCTTTATTACAACTTCGGAAATATTTATCTTATTTGATTCTTGATCTTCAAGATTCCCACACACCTTCACATTTCCCCACACACATTCACACACTCACACACACTCATGCTCACACACACACGCTCACACACTCTCACTCATATGTACTCACACACGCCCACACTCACACATCGACACACACTTATATACACTCACACGTGTATGCTCACACACTCTCATATACACTCACACACATGCCCACACTGACACATTCACACACACATGTTCACACACGTACTCACACACGCATGCTCACATACATACTCTCACTCATATACACACACATGCTCACACACACTCACACGTACACACACATGCTAACACATGCTCACATACACGCATATGCTGTCACACATACTCACACATACACTCAAACGCTCACACTCATACACTCACGTGCATATGCTCACACATGCTCACACACACGCTCACACATACATGCTCACACACAATCTCATACACACATGCTCACACACATGCTCATACACATATACACGTGGTCACATACAATCATGCTCACATGCTCACTCACACATGCCCACACACCCATACACACACATGCTCACACTCACACATTCAGATATATTTACACACACACAAATACACACAGGCTCATATTCACAATCATACACCCACACACGTGCTCACACCCACATAGTCAAACATGCTCACACATATACTCTCACACTCATCTCACACACATACTCATACACTCACACATGCTCACACTCACACTAACAAACTCACATATACTCACATGCATTCATACTCAAATACACTCATATACACATTCACATTCACACACATGCACTGACACTGACACACACATATTCACATACATATACTCACAGTCACACAAACATGCTCACACACCTGCTCACACTCATACTAATACACACATGCTCACACACATGCTCACACTCATTCACTTATATATTCACACACACAATCATACACACACATGCTCAGACACATTCATATGCTCACACACGTTCACATACATGCTCACACATTCACACGCATGCTCACACATGCTCACGCACCCACTCTCGCATACACGCATGCTCACACACTCATATTCACAGATACACATGTGCACTCTCATACACTCACACAATGCTCACACACATACACGTTCACATCACACACACATATACTCACACACATATATACTCATACTCAAACACACACATGCTCACACTCATATTTTTCACATATCCCCGCTCACATACATGCTCACACACATTCACTTATATATTCACACTCACAAATACACACATTGACACACAATTATACACCCACACGCATGCTCACACACATATACTCAAACACATGCTCACACACATTTACATACACACATGCTCACACATATACATGCTTTCACTCACACTCATGCATGCTCATACACACTCATACACTCACATCCTGACACACACATATACTCACAAATGCTCACACTCATACACTCACATGCTAACACTCACAGTAACATACACTCACACATTAACACGTACTCACACTCAGACTCATATACTCACACAGATATACAGACTCACAATGCTCACACACACACTCACATACACACATATGCTCACACAGACATACTCACACTCATATACTCACACATTCACATATATGCTCACATTCACACACATACTCACACATATGCTCACACACATGCTCACACTCACAGTCACGTATCCTCTCACATGCTCACACACATTCACTTATACTCATACACACATGCTCACACTCACACACTCACACTCTGTTGTGTTAATTAGGCTTCTTAGTCTGCTTTCTGCTGCTATAACAGACCAGACAGATTGGGTAATTTATACGGAAAAGAAGCTCCTTTGGCTCATGGTTCTGGAGGCTGGGAAGTCCAAGAGGCCGCGTGGCACCTGGTGAGGATCATCCCATGGTGGGCAGCATTGCATGGTGAGAGCACACGACCCAGAGAGAAAACGGGGGCCAAACTTATCCTGTATCCAGAGCCCACGCCCACAGTCACTAGACCTCTCCCTATAATGGCGTTAATCCATTCACGACGGAGGAGTCCTCACTGCCTAATCACCTCTGAAAGGGTCCACCTTTTAATACTGTTACAATTAAGTTTTCAACACATGAACTTGGGGACACGTTGAAACCACAGTATTAGGCAATGATTTGTCATCTGTCACTATAGTTCAATCATTTCATCAAGCAGTTTCCTTTTGAAATATAATCACTCCCTTAATAATCGCTTCTATGAGTCTTATATTTAGTTCTTGGAACAACAAAATGCTGAGTTGAATCACCATTATACTGCAACATTAAAATGAGTTTCAGAGAAAACACAAAGTTCTATTTAGACTTTAATGACAAAGAGATAATGTCCTTTAACAAAGGTTTTGCTGTTATTATTCTTGCCATGATAGTTTTAAGTCTGTTCCTTGAAACTAATTTTTCAAATGAGTGCACATTTTCTAAAAGCATTATAATTTTTAATAACTTGAAAAGTCTGTGACCATCATAACAAAAATCGATTTTAAGAATTCACGGTTTGGGCTTAGGTGCATGTGTGTTCATTCCAGATCACCACAGACTGGAAGTGCCTGTTAGCTTTCCTCTCATTGCTGTTTTTCATTTACAAAAATGTTTAAGTCATCTACAAAAACAGAGCATTTGGTACTTTTGCCTTCAAAAACACACATATATTCTGGGACTGGTGAAAACATTAATGTTTGATCAAATATGTAATTAAAGAGGTAACTGTAAAAACGGTTATATAATTCTAGAACTAAGAAATACATTCTTACACAGAGAGGCTTGATCAAATTCTTATAAAGGGGAAAGCTCATTGAAGTCAAGTTGATGGTAGGGTAAAAAGTTTAAAAGTTTTTTTTAATTTAAAAAAAAGGTGGGGGAGCTTAGTTTAAATGAAGGCTCCACCACCCCTTTCACTGGAGGACGGTCACTTCCCAGGACCCATAGTCCACACCAGCCACAGGAGTGGCTCCTGGGGAGCAAAAAAAAGGGAAAGGCCTGCCCTGTCCAGAGCCCGCAAGTCAGCGCCCACATCCTGACATGGCCGACCTGCAGGCTGCACCAGCGCCGCCTTCTCCGGAGCCGTCGGTGGGACCCAGGCTGCCCCTCCACCCGGCCTGCACCAGCACTGCCTTCTCTGGGAGCCGTCGGTGGCACCCAGGCTGCCCCTCCACCCGGCCTGCACCAGCGCCGCCTTCTCCGGAGCCGTCGGTGGCACCCAGGCTGCCCCTCCACCCGGCCTGCACCAGCGCCGCCTTCTCCGGAGCCGTCGGTGGGATCCAGGCTGCCCCTCCACCCAGCCTGCACCAGCGCCGCCTTCTCCGGAGCCGTCGGTGGGATCCAGGCTGCCCCTCCACCCGGCCTGCACCAGCACTGCCTTCTCCGGAGCCGTCGGTGGGACCCAGGCTGCCCCCCCACCCGGCCTGCACCAGCGCCGCCTTCTCTGGGAGCCATCGGTGGCACCCAGGCGGCCCCTCCACCTGGCTCCAGGCTCAGCTCCTCCACTCCCAGATTCCGAGGCCAGGTCCCGTCCCTCTGCTCCCGCCCACCCCCTGCCTGGGACCAACCCGCTCCCTCTCCTCTCGCACTCCCACGACCTCTCAGATCCAGCTGTCCCTAGCCGAGTCTCCGCCGCTCACTGGCCCAACCCCGACTGAGGCCCTCCAGTGTCCCCTCCACGTGACCTCCCGTGTTCCGTTCTCCCACGTGGCGCAGATCAAAAGCTCCGGGCCAGCCTTCATCCCCCTGCCCTCCCACCATGCTGCAGACACACCCCCGCACTGTCTGCTTCTCAAACCGTCTGAAAGCCACACAGCTGAAGGGTTTCTCTCCACTCGAAGGAGTCACAACTCTTCAACCACAGCTTCTCTTCATTAAAAAATAAAATGTTTGTCTCCCTCAACAAACACTCACATGCACAATCCATCATCAATTCCTGTTTGCTCTACCTTCTACCTAGTTCTGGATTGTAGAGTGGGTTAACTTAAAATGTACGTCTCCTGACATCTATGTAGTTCTGGATTGCAGAGTGGGTTAATTTAAAATGTATGTTTCCTAACATACTCAGTGAGCGAACTCCATGCCTTCCACTTCCTTCTCTCTTCCTCTCTTAGTCTCTAGGAGGGCAGCATGTGGGGCCTAAGGGTCACGCCCCTCTGGGCAGGGACGCCGCCATAGAAGAAGACACACACATCTGACACCCACCCCACTGCCCCAGCCCAAGCCCAGGCCAGGCACCCCTGGAGGCCTCGCCCTGGTGACTGCCCTCCCACCCACCCCCTGTTTCTTTACAAGTTTCCCCTCTCTTGACCTGGTGCTAGCCTGGTTCCTTCCAGGTCGGCCCAGCGCCACGGAGGCTCCTCGAGACTGTCTTGCCCACCCCAGGAAGCTGGGTAGCATGGGTTGCCCTGCCGATTTCTCTTCCACCCTCCTCTCTAAGACCTCTCTCTCCCTCCCCCTGACTCGAAGCCCCCACCCATTGCTGACCAGGGAATTCTCCACCTGACGCCCCTGGTGTGGCCTGAGTCTATCTCTTCCAAAAGCACAGCTCAGCCATCTGCTCACACCAGAGCCACAGCCTGGGGCAGGTGATTCCCCCTCCCCCACCAAGGGGTGCCCTGGCATCCAGTGCGCAAAAGCCAGTGGTGCCGTGAACACCCTCATGTACAGGGCACACAGAACACCCTGTGCTGTGAACACCCTCATGTACAGGGCAACCCCACCATGAAGAATGACCTGCCCCGAACGCAGGGTGCTGGTGGCAAGAAGCCTGCCCCAGGGCTCTCTGGAGGTCAGCACGGCAATGGCTGCCCTAACACAGGAGTCTGGCTGCAGGTGAGGGGGTTTCCCATTGAGAAGCCCAAGGAGCTCTTCCCATTACAACAGAAACTGTCCCTACCCGGAGTTCCCCGCAGCTCAACCAATCACACTCACATGCTAAAAACAGAAGCTGCCTGAAAACTTTTTTCTGGTGAAGTATCCTTGGAAAAGGCTGAATTACACTGACCAGAGGTTTCTTCACTGTAGGAAGTGCCAGGGCCTTTAATACACTTTCATGTCAAGAATCCCAGAGGGTTGTACAGCAGGCAAGACTTCTCAAATTTCTGTGACCATAAAACACTTCTTTCAAGGGACTTGAGGAGCCCACACTTGGAGGAACACCTCCTCTGCCCAAGCGTTAGGGTTTCCATGGTGAGTTGACCACCATGACCTGCTCTTCAAAGCAGTTAGATTATATTTTAAGCTTCATCATGCAAATAATTTATCATCTTCAGCAATTTCCTCAAAAAACATTATTACAAAAATAAAAAATAAACTGAGCAGACCTACGTCCTACATTATGGGTTATGATGAAAGCTTACGAATCTCCAAAAACTCAGAAACCACACATGCACCTATAAACATAGGAATATATTTTGGGGGTCACTGATCCCAGGTCGCAAACTCTTTCATGAACAGGAACCAAGAGGCTGCGGATGGACCCAGTAACCATCAGACAGCTGATGGCAAGACAGAACCGGGATCCGCCCCGGGTCTCCTTTCCATCACCGGTTTGAATGGTTTTTATAGAATGCTGTCATATGGAGATGGCACCAAGGGTATATCTAAGTCACATGATCTAGGCAGGTCAACCTGAAAATCACCCAAACGGGTTCCTCAAAATCTTCCAGCTAAAAACCACTGGTTGGCAAAGAAATAATTGTTGTTTGAGATATCCCAACTATTCTGATTTGATCATTATCCATCGTATGCACAGATCTAAAAGCCTCATACCCCAGAAATATGCATAATTATTACATCTCCACTTCCAAGCGATGCTGGGCTGACCCACAGTCATGGGGCAGGAACATCCATGGTCATCGTCATCACCCCTGGGATTTGGAGAGTTTTCTTTTACAGCACATTATCAAAGAAATAGCTGATCAATAAAACATATTTCAAAAGGCAAAAAAAATAAAACAGTCCGTGGTTGAGATAGAAAGTAGATGTATGGCTTCTGCGATGGGGGTGAGGGAGTACTGAGTCACTGCTGTGGGCAGTTGTGTTTTTTTTTTGTTGGGGGGAAGATGAAACAATTTGAAACCAGATAGGAGTGGTGTTTGCTACTGTGAATGCACAAATGCTATGAAATTGTTCCCCTTACCATGGTTAACTTTATGCGTTGTGAATTTCACCTCAACTGAAAACAGAAAAGCAAAAAATGGGTTGCTTCCATTTCCACAGTCGTTCATCTCTACCACCGGCCAGCTTTTCCTGGGAGGACACATCTATTAACAGCAGGTCTCTTGGGAATGTTTTCAGAGTATTCTTCTACCAAATAATATTATGTTACTAAAGCATATTCACCTTCTGCTATTTTTAATGGTACTTTAAAATGTATTTATGTCATAAAATGTTTCTTCTTAAGTCATTCCTATTTTTAGAAAACATGGTCATGGTATACGAGTCTACCTTACTTCTTGAAACCTGCAGGTGTATTTAATAAGCTACAACCTGAAATTGCAGAAGACACCCATAATCATATGACTAGATAGGAACATTGTGTTCAGACTTTTCAAAGAACCTTATTAACAGACAGAGGAAAGATATAAAATACATAATTCAAGGAATGGAAGAACCTTATTAACAAACAGAGGAAAGATATAAAATACATGACTCAAGGAATAGAAGAACCTTATTAACAAACAGAGGAAAGATATAAAATACTCAAGGAATGGAAGAGATGACAGCACATTCACTCCACCCCATGGCAACTTAGAGAAATGGGCTGGGCTGGGCTGGCGCCCCGAGACGGGGTACCAACACCCTGAATCTTGTTTTCAACCCTGTCTCTCTTGGCTGCTGAACCCACCAGCACCAGATCTCTCTGGAAACAAGTCAGGGTGCCCTCCCACACCCTCCTGAGCCTGCTTCCCAGTCTTCTCGTTATCCACGGCCCTCCTCTACCTGGCGTCTAGGACTCCTCGTCCAGCATCTCCAGGAAGTCCTGTTTGATGTTGCTGCACTCTCTCTACCCTTCTAATCACAGGAGTCTGTAGTTTCTAGAACGCCTAATCTTGCTCCTGTCCTGATCCTTTTAATAAACTCTCTTCATGATCCTGCGGGGTGGTCTGGTTTTGCTACCTGCAGCTAAGTAACCTGTTTTCCCAAGCCTGCATCTGAGCTTAGGCCTCTCTCCTGCTGTGAGAACCCTCTTTGGCGGCACCCTGCCCCAGAAAATAGGAACACTTTAAAAATCTGTATATGCGCGTAGTGATGTTTTAAATACACACACATCTCTTCATAAAAGAGAAAATAGAAAAGCAGCATGTATGACATGAAATCCCAGGTGGTTCTATACAGACTCAAGGTAAACGGCATGCAAAGATGACGCAGGCCCATCAATCCTCTCCTTATCCCCTCTCTATAGACAGACGCAAAACGTTCACTGATTTTTGATCATCGCTGTGGCAAAGCCATTGTTATAACAGCATACCACACCCTTGTGATACTGGAGTACAAGTTGACCATCAAAGGCTGCTATTTCTCCCCGCTGTCTAAGGAAAAGTACTCTGCATTCATTTCACTGACAGAAAAGCAAGCGGCCACCATGAGTGCTCCCTCTTGTCTTCCTCTGGACGAAGGGGCTGCAGGGAGGTGTTGGGGAGAGGGCGCTGAGGACGCTGAAGCCGCAGGCGCATCACGGTCTCAGCACCGGGCCACGTTCCACAGTGCAGAGGCCATTCTCTACAATGGCCCACTTAACAGTTTCAGAACACAAATGTGCCTGACGGCATGAGGTGGCCACGTTCACATTCATGCGAATTCCCTGTGGCACATTGAGATCTTTGCACACTTCGGAGTGAAGTGTTGATCACATCTGGGAGAACGAACCAACCCAATGGCCAGCCTGTGGCCCGGGCGGCAGAACTGCTCAGCCGTGACGGTGCCACTGGTTGAAGCATTTCCTGAGAACGGCCCCCTCTCCCCACACTTGTCCACGACTCCATGGAACTGACTGCTGTGCCCTGGGCTGCACCAGCCCACAGCATACATCAGTGTCCTGGAGGGCTGGCCACACCCAAACTCCACGCAAATCATTTCTGCACCACTCCTCTCTTCAAACGCTTCATCTTCTCTGATTTAGCACAAACAACTAGAAGGTTCTGAGGACCAGGCGGGGATTCCTGTTTAAGGGGAAGCACCCTCCTCAAAAACAGTCCCTGGAAGGCTGGAGACAGCAGAGTGAGCTCGGCATTTGGAGAGGCCTGAGTGTGGCCTGTGGGAGCCCAGACACGCCACCTAACCCGGTTGCGCCCTGGCTTCCAGCACAGAGACGTCTTCCCAACAGCCAAGTGGCCTCGGACAAGCTATTCCAACTCTTGTGGCTTCAGTTTCCTCATCCTTACTAAGGGGACAATAATAAGTACCCAGGGGCTGGGTGCAGTGACTCACATCCATAATCCCAGCACTCTGGGAGACCAAGGCAGAAGGAGCACTCGAGGCCAGGAGTTCGAGACCAGCCTGACCAACACAGTGAGACCCATCTCTAAAAGAAAACTGAGTAAGTACCTTGCTGGGTATTGTATGGATTGTAAAGCCCTTAGCACAGGTAAATAATCTGACTTAGGAAGACATGTGCCAATACCATATGACACGGAGGAAATGAGGGGCAGCTCCAATGTCCTGTCCTCTAGCGTCTGGAGCAGGAGGGAGTACTGGCAGATGGGCCGGGCGGAAGGACCATGGTGCTTGCATGCAATGGATGGGCAGTGTATTCTTTTTTCCTTTTTGGGTTTAGGGAATACGTGCGCAGGTTTGTTTTGTGGGTAAACTCGTGTCACCGGGGTTTGTTATACAGATTATTTAGTCACGCAGGTACTAAGCTGAGTACTCAATAGTTACCTTTCCTGCTCCTCTCCTTCCCCACCTCCTCCAACCTCTTTGATTCCATGTGACCTCATCATTTACCTCCCACTTACAAGTGAGAACATGTGGCATTTGGCTTTCTGTTCCCGTGTTAGTTTGCTAAGGATGATGACCTCTAGCTCCATCCATGTTCCTGCAAAGGACATGATCTCTTTCTTTTTATGGCTGCATAGTATTCCATGGTGTACTGTACCACATGATACATATGTACATATGTACCACACGTGTGTGTGCACACATGTGATCTCAAATCACTCCCATCCCAACCTGGCACCCTCCAAGCCACCCATCCCCAGTGGCTCTGACGTCTGCTTAGAAGACATGGGCCGGCGCCTCCTAACCTGGGTCCATAAAGGCTGGTTGTGACACGTATTTGAGAGGCACAGACAATGACACCTGCCAGAGCTATGCGGCAGGCGATGGGCTGCGACGGGGATCTTCAGAGTCCACAGAGGAGGTCCTGCTGGAGAGCAGGAGGTGGCCGTGGTGGCCTGAATATGTGAGCAAGTATGACCCTTTCTGAAATTTGCCACAAGAAATAGACGGTTCCCATTAGCAAGTCTGTTTACCAAGCACTCAGAATCGTCGTGTTTTGGGAAATACCGAGATGCTTTTGTAACGGAGAAGGTCACTAAGACTGCCTGTGCTAGAGGCACTGACTTCCTGCCAGGCCTGGGAAGGACGTGTCTCGGGCTTCTCCGTGGAGGTATTTTTCTCCTATCACGTGTGTCTTATTGTCTGGGTGTGTCACATTCAAGTCTCAGCTCTTCCTTAAGGCCTTCAGCACCTCTGAGACAGAATTTTGAGTGGGCTGACCTGGAACCCCACACTACTCCGGCAGCTCCACTGAGGTCCCCTCTTCCCCAAGGCTCCCATTGTCTGCAACACCCAGAGCAAGCCCACTGCCCAGTCCCCAAGCATCGAGGGTCCTGGCCTTCTCCCACTCTCCTTCCACATCCAAGCCGGTCTGGGAGCCTTCGTTCCACCTCTGCCCTCTGTGGTCTCAGAGCCTCACGGGACCCCTCTGTCCTATTTTCCATCACAGGGTTCCACATGGCCACGTGACCCTCATGGATACTTTTACTGCCTTCCGCGTTTCTCACACTGCCTGGGGCTCCCTTTTCCAGCCTCTCATTTTCCTCCCCAGCCTCTGAGGACACCTTTATTTAAGGGAGGCCTAATGCCACCACTGTCCAGTCCCTGCTGCCTGCCCAGATCAACAAGCAGGCATGTCACGGCAGATTGTCCCTTCCTAGAGGAATGACTGTAATAAAACACAACTGCAGCCTTTCAGCGACTCACTGAAAGGCCCCAAACACCACTCCCAAGGTCCAGGCATGTGGGCAAGCCGGGCTGAGTAAGGCAGTACTGGCATCTCACTGCACACCGCACTGCACGCAGCAAGCCAATTTTACAACACATGGCAGAACTGGCTACTTAAGAGACAGCTGCAGTGAACACTCCTGAACGTGAAGAATCCTTGGTCGAGCAAAGAAAGATCCCTTCAACTTTCCTAGCTTGTGAATTTTGACTTACTAGGTTTTCTTAAAGCAGGGTGCACCTGCACAGCATCCAATCATTTCCAGACTTCAGGCAAATCCACCTTCCAACCAGGAGTTGAAACTTTTATAATTAATTCCTTGTTTTGACTTTGCGATTCCAAGAAAGTCAGTTTCTTTGGGGCCCATGCGTCTCCATCAGCGAAGGCCCCTGCCTGTGGCCCCTGTGACACCGTCCTTTCCTGGAGGCGCTGTGCCTTTCATTCCTCCATTTCTGATTTCAAGCAGAAAAGTGCTGATGAGTCAGACATCCACACTCCAAGGCACAGAATACGTGTTATCAAGCAAAACTCAGCAGAGGCGGGCCTGGGGGACAAAGGAGACACAGGAACCCCCGCAGATCCGTCACATCGTCGGGCGGCACAGGCTCTGCAGTGCTGGCCCTGGTTCTGCCAAGGTCACGAGGAGGCCTCACACCTGGCCCCCGGTTTGCCCAGGCCAGGCATCTCTGGGCGCCAGCACGTGGCCCCTGGACACACCTGCTGAGTATTTAGCTAAGTTTGAGAATGGCCCAGTTTGAGAATGAGATGATCACTCTACTCTCTTTCATGCTGGAGACAGCACTGATTCTAATCTATCTGAATCTTATACTTCTTCTCCTGTCCCTGACCTGCCAGGACAGCCCGAATGGGATCTGTGGGCCAACAGCTCAGTGCAATCGGTCACAGAGAAGACGCCCATCCCGGAACGCGAGCGGGAGCCACCCCCGCCCCCACACTCGGCCCTCTTTGTCCCCTGCTCAGCGGTCAAGGACCTTGTGGTGAGCGCCTCCCCACAAACGCAGCCTCCTGCGGAATTCAGCCCTGCACTTTTGCAGAGCTTGGAGCCAAGACAAATGACATTTGTGATCATGAGAAAGCCAAGAACGATGGAAACGGTAGCATCGAAGTTGTGCCGCTTTCTGAAACTTCTTTGAACTCGTTGTGCAGGGCCGGGGAGCTCTACGGCCAGGAAAAGTGCGCAGGGGGCGTCCCCGCGTCGGGCGCGCACACGGCCAGAGCACGGGGCTCCCCACGCGGGTTTGTCTCGGACGCAGAGGGGCCGCGAGCGGAGACATGGACGCGGCATTTCTCACGCCAGGAGCTCCCCGCGCGCGCTCCCCTTCCACAGTCCCCGCCCCGCAGGCCGAGAGAGGACCGCGGGGACCTGCGAGGGGCTGGGCCGTCCAGGAGGCCTCGGGTCTGCGCCCCGCTCAGCCCCCGCGGGACGCCTTTGGCGAGAGACGCGGTTCTGAAATCAGCTGTGGGGTTTCGCCCAGGCCCGTCCTCTGGCTGCGGCCATCCAAGTGGCCCCCGCGTGGTGAGGCGGGGCCAGACCCGGTGACCTCCGAGGGGTTAGAGACCTGGGCGGGGGCGGGGGCCAGTCCTCCTCCCGAGAGGGCGCCGCGGGGACACAGCCCACCGCCGGGAGCCAGCGGGACACGGGCCTCGGGCCTGACGCCGCCCACCCGAGGGTGCCCGAGCCCCGCTGGGACCCGCTCAGAGCCCTGGCACCGCCCTGGGACGGGACCGACGGGAGCGGGGGGAGCGAGGACCCGTCCTGCCGTCGGAGTGGAGCCCGGAGCCAGGGGGTCCCCCGTCCGCCCCCAACCCTCGCGGCCTCGCTAATGAGGAAACTTGGGGGGCGGGGTCCCCGTGCTGCCGTCCCCGCGCCTGTGGCCACATTCTTTCCACAGTCACCTCCCCGCCCCCATTTGGCGCGCGACGTCTGAGGTCGCGGATATGCGGTGGGAACAGCCCGCGCCGGGGCGTGTGGAATGAGGGTGCCCGGGCGCCCCTCCCTGCACGTGGGGTCCCGCAGGCAGCCGCGCCTTAAGGCCAGAGTCGAAGCCTGTGGGTGCGGACACAGGGAACGTTCGAGGAGACAGAAACTGGGGTCCTCCCTGCGTTCCACCCGCCGCACCCTTAAGCCTCGCTCTCCCCAAAACGCGCCCGAAACTCGGCCTCGACGGGGCCTCGGGGCCCGGCGACCCTCGCAGCCTCCCCTGGGCAAATCCGGAGCGCCCCTGGGACCCTTCGCACGCGCACGCGCACGCGCGCACTCGCACGGACGGGCGCGCGGGAAAAGGCTCGTCCCCGCGCTCAAGCAGCCCGGACTGGCGCGGGGGGGGCGGGGCGGATGAAGGGAAGCGAGGGGGCAGGAAATGCCGTTAATTGAGGGAAACGCGCATGCATTGCACGGGCGGCCTTTGATGTGCGCCTCCGGGCCAGCCCGGCCCCTCCACGCCGGCGAGCCCACCCGGCGTGCGCCCCTCTCCGCCGGCGCTCCCGGGAGCGCAGGGCCAGCTTGAGCGCCGAGGACGCGTGGCACTTCCAACGAGCAGGAGGCTGTGGGCTCACTCTGTCTCTAACGGGAGACAGTGCGTGGAGCCCTTTTTGTTTCTCCCCCAACCCCTGGGCCTCCCGGGGTGGGTCCGGAGACCGAGCGCTGCGGGGGATGACCACGCTGACCGCGGCTCCTCATGGGGAGAGGCCGCCTTGTCTTGACCTAATGTATGTACACATATAAATACAGTGCTCGTCCAAATGACATTCCACTCACTCTCCCTCCCCCTCTTTTTCTTTTCATCATCAGCAAATAAAGATTAGCCGGGAAGATTATAGAAAGCGTTTTCAGGCTGGCGCTGATCTTTATTCCAGGGGCTTTGTGATGATATTGATGATGATGATGGTCAAGTGGACAGTTTGATTTTTGTGTTTGGAGCTAGTTATAAAGAATCAATATTATATCAAGGGGTAACTTTCGTGATAAAGGACTTTAACCACTCTGGCTATTCATCATAAGTCTGTAGCAAGCAGATAGGTCAAAAGAAATTATATTGCACTAAAGAGTGAGTCTTCTTATCTCTCCCATACCAGGGGAATAAGGGACCAGCCGATCGATACAGTAGCTGCTGTATACTTCTTGCAATTATCAATAGCTGATTTCGCCTTTTGAGGCCTGCATCTATTAATGCAAGCTAATAATAATCGTTTCGGCCTCCCTATAGGCAAGGAGTCAAAGTTTTAACTTGCTAGCATTATTTATGTAATCATACATGCTGAAATGTCCCTCCTGGTCTACATGCAGCCCCGAGCCACAGTTCAGCCATCAGGAGAGAAGTACTTCACCATCGTTTGCATCCCTCAGTGCGAAGACGACTGTGAGCTGATGTTTCTGTGTATGCCATAAAAAGCCACGGAATGTTTGCCTCTGATGGCTACGGTGAAGCTACACAGCGTCCTGGAATAAACACACAGGAAGGCTGCGGAGCACGTAACCAAAATGGACTGATACACTCCACACCCGGCTCACATCTGTTAAAAATATTTAGGCATATTTATCTCCAATAGCTTTGAAAGCAAAGGAAGTCACAGCAGTTGTATCCAGTGTGGACAGGGCAGTTAGCTATGTGCTGGTTTATTTACTTAGAGCATTTTATTTTTACGGGGAAAGTTATCTTCAAGTAGGCAAACAGAGGATTGGAAAAAGCGTTTTCAAAAAACCATAAATATAATTTTTGGCTACATGTTTCCTACACCCCCACCCAATGTAATAGAAAAGCAACATCTTTATAATTGGCACTTGACATGCTGTTTGCGTTGGGCTGTGGCACACCAAGCACAGATTTCCTGTTGATGGAAACATTTATCATCCTGATTGCCCCAGAGTGGCAGGTGGTGTTATCAATTACCTCTTCTTACCAATAATAATATTAGTATGGTAATATCTTTGCTCAAGTGAGAACCAATTAGCAGTCACTTGTCACAGCATTAGAGGCACCAAATCATGCTGAATTTAACTCTAAGAACCTAAAACAAAAGTTGGGGGTAGGGGAGGAAACGGAGAGAGGTGGCCAGAGAATAGAAGAAAGGAACTTTGGGTGGGGGGAGGAATGAAAGAAGACAGAAAATGAAATGAAAGCCCTAATATTTGAAGGTGTTTTTTTTTTTTTGCATTAAGTGGTTGGGGAAAATAAACACTTGTAAACAAAGCATCAAATGCACCTTAGGTAAAACTAGCTTCTGTGAATCTGGGGCCAGGTAGCTTCAATAAACTGTGACTGTGATGGTAAATTAGAACCAACTACTCCACTTCCAATCAATCTTGCAGATAGGCTTTGTTTTATCTGAATGATACCGATTGAACCAAACACCTAATTATATGTTTCACTAATGTAAAATATACAGCATTAATTTGTAAATAATATTAGACAAAATAATAATGTGTCACCTCAAGATGAAAACAACATTGCAAGAGGAAAGACAATTAACAAATTAGATTTAATTACAGGGAAGAAAAGCAACTTTTGTTTTTGCGAGTGTTTAGGTATGACAATATTAATAGACAGTGGTCATGTGGTGACGAGTATGTGTGTGCCCCTCCGAGTCTGCACTACACAGGCACATGGCCCAGCGTCGCTTTAATCTGGGCACGACTAGAGCGCATGTCCTGTCTCATCTGCGAAAATATTCCATAGACACGTTGTCACTTCGCAATAAATCTATGGTTGCAACTCAGGCTTAAAATGCAAATGCTTTTATTAAAAGTTGTCGCACTGAATAAGAGCAATTAAAGAAAAGTTTCTGATCTGAGTATAGAGAAGGAAGAAAGGCGGGAACAAGCCAGTCAAGAAGTCGCACGCCTTTTGTTTTCTACCTTTGCTTTCTTAAAAAATTGATCTTGTTCACTTGTCAATTTTTAAAAGGGTGCACCGCAGAAATTACTCGTGCGCACCATTTCCGCTGTGGGGGCATTCGTACAAGTTTCCGCTGCACACACAGCCTCCCGGGCCCTCTCCTCCAAGGCTCTGCCGGATCTTCCAACGAAATCCCAGAGCAGCCTGCGCTGGGGAGCCCGCAAGTCTCTCCAGATCTCTGCACCCCGCACCGCCCGGAATCTGGGACGGCGCCCACGCAGGGCTGGGCCAAGGGCAGAGCTCGCACCCTGCCTTCACGCCCGGTTCACTTGCGTCCACGAAAGCAGCGTGCCGGCCTCCTCCATCTTCCCACTCGCGCAACGCACGGCGACCCGCGCGACACTTCTGCAATCTGAAGGCTTGCTTCTTACAAATAAAGGGCCAGAGTCTCACACTTGCCTTCGTTGGAGGGACTTAGAAGATCCTCCCCACGTCCACACCTTGTAGGAAATGCAAAACAGATCGATGAAATTAAACAGTTGCATTTGGAAGCCCCAGAAAGACCTAAAGACATCGTGCCGGTTTGTTGGAGAGAGGGTTGCGGGACAGGGGGAGCGGGCCTTACGCAACAGAAAAGGTGGGCACAGCGCGCTCAAAATGACCCAGTGAGGAGTTGGTGCCGCCGGGCCAGAGGCTGCGAGTCCAGCTGGCTCTGGACTTGCTCCGCAGGCGTCAGACGCCGTGGGAACCTGTGTCTGCTTCTTCTCTCCAAAGTGTATCGGTTAAAAAAAAATAAAAGTAGTAGTAGTAGTAGTGGTAAGGAAAAAAATAAAAATAAAAAGGAGACACAATTAACCAGGTCATAAAAGCTAGGGCACCTTCGACCAGGGCTCTGGCCCTCCAGCGATCGTTTTGCGTTGTTTCTCTTCTCAAAAGTAGTCTCAGACCCCTGCCTTTCCGCTGCAGCTCTGCGACTTCCCCAAACTCCTTAATCCTGTAAATTCTGCAAGAAACTCCCATCCTGCAAGCTGCTTTTCCCCCTCCCCCCTGCGTTCCTTTTTTCTCTCCCCACCCGCGCCGCCTCTCTATGCCCCTCTCTTCTCAGAAAAATTCCTGCCCCCCGCGCGCCCCAAAGCCCGGGCTGCAAACTTTTCCCCGCCGGGCGCCTCTGCGCCAGATGCCGGAGCGTCTCCACAAAGCCTGAGCATCTGCACAAGTTCGCAGCCTAACTGCGGGATAAAGACGTTTCCCCCGTAGCTTAACTAGAAAAGCGCCATCGATGGGTGTGTTAAACGGGATAACTAGAGATTTCAAACACCTTTTATTTGCCTGTCTTGAAAAAAAAATCTAAATGAATACGCCCGCTACCAAAAGGCAAAATAAAACCAACCTTAAGGGTTTTTGTTGTTTTTTTTTTTTTTCAAAAGTGGCGATAGGGACTGTTTGGACCTGACTCCAACCTGCGCCCTCCCTTCCTCTATGACCCTCCTGCGCTTTTCCTGGAACCCAAAGCTCTGACTTCGTCAAACTTACACAATTAAAGGCAGGCGGAAGAACGCGGGCTGGGAAGCAAGCGGGAAGATTCTAGAATGGAAGGGAGCCCGCCGAGCGCCGCGAGCCGCGCCAGGCCGGGTCCGATGGAGCAGGCGGGGATTCCTCCCCCAGGCGGACCCCCGCCACCAGCCCTGCCGGGAGCTCGCGGCCTGCGGAGCGCCCGGGCTGGCCGCTCACCGCCCGCTTCCCCCAGCGAACGACTCGGGGAAGCTCCAGGAGGCCATCTGTGCTGACGGTTCACACCAGACAGGACCACTTGCAAGGACAAAAATAAGAAATTTAGGAAACGAAAAAAGACGTACTGGGGCGAGGGGCGCGGGCGCGGCGACGACGGGGCCGGGGGCACATCCTGGCGGCCGCTCGGGGAGAGAGGACACGCGCGGGAAGGAGCGCGGCGGGTGCACGGCCGCGGGTGGGAGTACGCGCCTGTGCGCGCGGGGCGAGGGCGAGGGCGCGTGCGTGTGACCGCGGGGAGGGGGCGGGCGCGTGTGCGGGGAGCGCGCCGCGCCAGGGGCCGAGTGTGTGGGGCCGATCCAGAAGTGCGCAGCCCCCTCACCTGGCCCCCGTGTCATCCCCGAAATCCCGGGAAAGGGTGGGCCGCGCGCGGGAGTTTGGTGGAGTTGGAACTTTCGGTCGCGCTCGCTGCCCACTCCGCTGGCGCCCGGTGGCCCGTGGTGAAGGGGGACTAGGGTGGGGAACACCGGGGCCCTGCGGTCCCCTCCCTTTCCTGTATTTAAGAAGCCGCCGGCGGCGCAGAGGCCCAGGCGGGCTGGCGCGGGGGCGAGGCGGCCCGGTGGCAGCAGCGGGCGGGGCGGGCGCTCCGGAGTCGGTGGGGCCCGCGGGTTGGGGGGCGGGGAGAGGGGGGAGTGGAAGGGAGGGGGAACGCAGGGGAGGGAGAGGAGGGGAGGAGCCGCGCGGCCCGCGCCGCTTCCGAACCGGAAAGTTGGTCTTGCCGAAGTCCTGCCACCCCGGCGTGCGCACTCCGCTCCGCTCCGGCCGCGAGCCTCCGAGCCCGGCCGGCCGCCGGGGGAAGCCCGCGGAGGGGACGCGGGGCCGGGCGAGAAGGTCCGGAGAGCGGGGGGCACCTGAGCCCGGGCGGGCCCGCCGCGCTGAGCGGCGCTGAGAGCCGCGGCGGAGCAGCGAAGGCGGCCGGCCGACCCCGCGCGCCCGGAACAGGAGGCGCGGCGCCCGAGCGGCCCGGGCGAGACAAAGGCGCCGGGTCGGAGCCCTGCCCGCGGCCGCTCGCTCCGGGAGGGGCCGCCCGGCGGCGGCGGCGGGGGGGGCGCGGGCGGCGGCGCAGACACTCTATAAAGGGGCGAGCCCGGCGCGCCGGCGGAGACGGCGCCGCGCGGACGCCGCCAAAGTTTGCTGCCTGCGCCCTGCGGAGGGACGGCCACCGCGGCCCGCGCCGCACCCGGGCCCCGCCACAGCCGCACCCGGGGCGGCCGAGGAGCGCGGCGCCGGAGCCCGCGATGTGAGGCGGCGCCGGGCAGCGCGCGCCCCGGTCCCGAGGCGCCGCGGCCCCCTCCTCGTCGGCGCGGCCGCTAATTGCGAGCGCGGCCTCATTTGCATAGGCCGCCGGAGTCCGCTGGAGCCCGGCCAATCGGCGCGGCCCTCCGCTAATGGCCATGCATTATTCACCAGCCTAATTGCTCAGCCCCATGCGCGGCCCGCGCAGCCGCCGCCGCCCCGCGCCCCGCGCCGCGCGCCCGCCAGGCCGCCCCGCGCCGTCCCCGCCGGCCGCCCCGCTGATGCCGCTGCCCCGCGCGGGGCCCGAGCGCCGCTAGCAGCATGTCTCGGCGCAAGCAGGCCAAGCCCCAGCACCTCAAGTCGGACGAGGAGCTGCTGCCGCCTGACGGGGCTCCCGAGCACGGTGAGGGCCGGGGCTGCGGGGTGGCCGGGGGGTCTGGGGCTGCCCGTCCGGGCTGGGGAAGCGCGTGCGGCGGGAGCGGATGCGCGCGTCCGGGAGCGGGAGAAAGTTCCCTGCTTCCTGCGGGCAAGCGTCCGCCCCGCGCCAGGCCGGCCGCGGGGCCCCGGGTACTTCGCCGGAGCGCGCGCGGCCGCCGAGAGAGTTGTGGGCGAAGTAAACTTGGCTCCTCTCCTCGGAGTCGGGGAGCTGCCCGCGAAGGGCGCCGAGGCCGCGGCCGGCTCGAGGACGGCTCGGAGGCCGGGGCGGGAGGGAGTCCACGGTGCCTCCGCCGCCGCGCCGCCCCCCAGGGTCTCTGCGCCAGGACGCTGAGGCCGGCGGCGGCGGGGAAGGCGACCGCAGCCCACCTACCGCTGGACGCGGGTTGGGGACCCCGCCGCCCGGCCAGCTTTGTTCGGGGGCCCGCGGCCCCTCCCGGGCCCCCGCACCGCCTCGGGTGACCCGCGGTGTCCCAGCGCGTTGACGCAGCCTGTGATCCCTCGCGAGGCGAGGAGAAGGTCGGGGGCTTGGCTCTGCCTAATGGCCGCCCGGGGAATTAAGCTGGGGGTGAGCGCAGCGGCGGCGGCCTGGGCCTGGCCCCTGCTCGCGGCGTGTTTCCGGGGCGTTCGTTGCAGCGTCTGCGCGGGCCTTTTCTCTCCCGTCTTTTTGGATCCGCCGAGGCCGGGCGCTGGAGACCTCGGCTTTGCAGTCATTTCGCTGGTAGGAGCGTCCTCTTCGAAACATCCAAGAGCAAAGGGCAGGCGCCGCGAAAGTTAAGAGACTGGCAAAGGGCTGGACTTCCCAGAGTGGCGCCTTAGCCCCGCAAAGTTTGGGGCGCCCCCACCCCCTTCGTCGAGTCAAAACCTCGGCCGGCGGCGCCCGGGCTTCGGCGCGCCCCGCGGGGCCCCCAGGGCGCCAGGAAAGAGGGCCGAGGAGGGGCGACCCCACGACCCCGAGCCCGCAGCACAGCTCGCAGTAAAATAATTTGCTCCTTAAAAAAACAGGCAGGCCAACTTTTATGATTGACCTGTTATAAGTTGTTGGAGGCAGATGGTGATCTTTTTACTCTGAGAATGAGACTGTCTGCGAAAAGGAAACGGGGCGGAAGAGTTTCCCACACAGTGGAGTAAAGTTTGACAAAGCGGGTAGACACCCATGTCGGATGAGAACGAGAGAGCATGCTTATGACGCGGCTGGAGAATTAATGAATTAAATAAAATTAGTGAGCTCGCTGGGGTCTTTTTGTTGCGGTGGAGGTAAGGGAGTCTTATCTGTGTAGCCAAGTCAGCCAAGATGAGAACAGGCGATATGCTAAAAAGAAACGCTTGCATATGGTGGGTAGATTAAGGACAAAGAATCTTTTTGTCATGGAAATGGATTTTTTTTTGTTTTGTTTACTTCATCACATAGAATTTCTCACACTTGGTTTGTTTTGTATCGCCCTCAATGACTACATGATCAAATGAATGGATTTATTTCTGCCGAATGAGAAAGACAGTCTTTCCTTCAAAAGAACTACATTGCGTCCCAGTGAGGAATTTTAAAGCTTTATTATTGTGGCTCCTGAATGGCTTAAAATCGGCTTTCACAGCCGCCCCAAAATGCAACAATGTAAATACTTCTCAGCTTTGTAGGGTCGGTATCAAAATGTGCGATGTCTCCTTTTATTAAAGCATATTTTAATTAATAGAGTAAACCCCCTGGTATTTAACAATTAACAAGCTGAGGCACTGCTATTCATTTTTAATTTCACTTCAGAAATGTGAGCATGCTGAACTTAATAGTGTAAACGTGTGGAGGGCTATATCGCCTATATTTGAAAGCCTAAGATGGGATAAATTATTCACAAGTTCTACTTTGAATCCCTCTTGTTGCTGCTCGAATTTATTTAGAGATGCAAAATATTCAGGTTTTTTACCCGTGGTAGAATTGAAGTTCTTGTCAAGCCTGTGTTTTTCACAGCATCCAGAATTGTAATCCAGACGTTGCCACAGTTCCTGGTCATGTTTTGCAAGAGGCCCAAAATACCCTGTGTGGGGCCGAGTCTTGGTCGAGCAGCTCACATGCTTGTTTGAGAGAGTTTAGGCAAACTATTTTTTTTAAGTTCTTTCTCATTTAATTATATTCGAAGCAGCTTGTTCAAGGAGCATAACAGACACTCTGTTCCGTGTTAAGTCAAGGAATGCCCCATTTGTGTATTACTCGGTCGCACTCAGCATCGTTCCTAAGATAACTAAGTAAAAATTATAAAAAGGTAAATGGGTGTGGAAACCAAATTACTCCAACCTGAGTCAGATCTCCTCAAAATTTTAATTTTGTTAAATGCAATGGAAATAAACAGACCGTGCCGGAAGTTGCAAGTGAGCTCAGTTAGTTTAGTGTTTTAGAAACGAGGTAAATAATTCCTTTGTATCACTCGGGGAGTGACATATTAATTAAAGCAGCAGGTCCATCTACATGCAGTAAAATGGAAAGCTACTGATAATGTCCTGCAGAACAAATATTCTATGCAAAAATGTTTAGTATAATGGGGGACAGAGATGCACTCACATTAATTTACAGCACAAAGCCTGTATCTCTTAAAAAAGAATTATGATTTATTTTTGAAGCAATGAAAAGATTCTATACAAAAATAACTGGTGCTACCCAAACCTTACCACTACAGGAATGAAACATGACGTGTCTAGAATGAGAAAAAGTAAGGATAATTTATGTAAAGTTCTAAAGTCATGCTTTTGTTAAAAAAAAAAATTAAGTCATTGAGACATTCCTAACAGAAATTGCTTTTTAAAATTACTTACTTGCAAATGATCTCATTCCTATTTTAGAAGAAAGGCGCTGCAGCTTTAGGATCCAGTGAACTTTGCGCCACTAGTAATCCTGTGAGCCAGCTGAATATTTTTGTTCTAAGAAAAATTAATTAAAACTTCCAATGACAGTTATATGCCCACTAAGAACTTTAAAAGATACAATACTGCTATTCTTTATTGTATAAAATATAATTTAAGAAAGATGTATTTTGTTGTTGTTAGAAAATATGTATTTAAGAAGGAACAAAAGGGTATTATAATTTAAAACCATTTACCATCCTGTATTTTGTTTGTTAGCACTAATTGCTTCAAAGTGTGTTTTTTTTTCTGCCAACTTAGAAGTATATGGCTGTCTTAAAAATCCTTTTAAATGTGTTGAGCATGTGATTTAAGAATTTACCAGTGGTTTTCACAGACTGTGTTTGAATTAAGGGAAAGAAGCTCGGCCACCAGTGCTTGGCGCAGGATCTTTTTCTTTTATCTGTATATGCATGGTTTGCCCTCAGTGCTCCCCCAGCACACTACACACATTTACAATTCAGCATACCAAAAGGAACAATGCAGGAGCTACTTTCTAACATTCACAGGCAGATTGCTTTCTCTGAAACATGAAAGGTAAAAAGTAAGTAACCGGGTTGGGTGAGGGGAGAGGAAAAGAAGACTTTGCCAACATTTCTTTTAAAAACAACATTAAAAAACTTAACCTATTTAAAAGTGCACGTTTCTGTGATCAACAAAAAAGCATACCAATTAATTCCCAGCTTGCAGAGAGAGAGAGCTGATTATGTAACAGTTCTCGAATTTTATGTGCAGTACGTTTTCAACTTCCATGGCATATGCATTATCCAATATTTTTAGATCTGTTGTTCAAAGCCAGAAAAAGGTATGGAGTAACAGCAGGAATTACTTAGCAAGCTGATTCTTTTTTGTATACAAGATGATGGTAAAAGTGGGTCAAATTTCATTTCCAACTGCAATCTCTAAGAAGCTGTACCATTCATTTCCAGGTAGCCCTAAGAATATTTTCTTTTGGGGGGAATTCAGCAAAAGCACAACCAGGGTTTCTATTCTGTGTGCTGACCATTAGTTGGAATTTAGCATTCTTAAAAGTATTGGCACCAGCTTTTATTTAAGTACAATAAAAATCTTTTTCACTTCTAATGAGGATATGCACCATCTTTCAGTGCTGCAAGATAGTTTCAAGAAGCATAACTTTTAAATATAACAGGAAGGATTTTTTGTTTTTATTAGTTTTATTTTCCTACATGATTTGTTCAGTAGTTGCCAGAATAAGACCAACATGTTTTAGTCTTGGAAGGACAGGTTTGTAATTACAGCATACCTTAATTATTACACATTTCATACACAATGAAACAAACTGTATGTAAAAATTGAGCAATTTAATGTTCCAAGTAAACTTTTATTTAAAAAAAAAAACCTGTCTAGGGTTATTTCTCATGTAATTTCGACACATTTATGATTTAAAATGCAGCTAACTGATTTCTAAGCAAACCAGGCCAGTCACATGCCAGAAAGTATAAAATATTAATTGTAATAAAATAATGGAATGGTTTCTATGTTAGAGATGAAGATTGATTTGTTTCTTAATTAAAGGGAGGCGTTCTCCAGACTGAGACGGTGTCCACCAAGGGGATCCGATAATGCCAGTGTGGTGTCTAAATATTTTCCTCTGTGGGCCTGTCTTTTTCAATCACCTTCAGATTAGTTCTGCTTACTATCTAAAATCCCTACCCCCTTCGCATTCTCTGCGAGCATTAGCAGCCAGCTCGGCGCAGAAAGCCTTTTTGTCTGATGTCTGAAAAGGTGGGGTTGCAGAGTGCTGGCCAGCTTCCGACCGTCTCTCCCTGAAGGTGGGTAGTTAGAAGTGCTTTGACAAGCCTTGCTGATTTAACCTTTGCCTGCTTTGCCCTGCCAGGGGTGGCCACTAGATGTCAAGCTCATAATACAATTAGTGCATCTGTGCTGTTGACCTTGGCAACAGGGCTCACCACTGTTCTGTTAAGTGTTAACACTGAATCTGAGTGTTAACTAGAGATCCCGCGAGCTTGCGCCGTGCTGCACGGCTTCTCAGACGCCATCTAGTTCAGCACAAGTGTTTATAGTTCTTAAAGAAGAAGAGAAAACGGCTTTCTTTTGTGTCGTTATTGCATCTTGAACTGTTTAATTAACCCTGCAGGTGCCGCGGCACTTTGTCGTGATTCGTCGGCGTTACTGGTCTTTTCGAGAGTGACCTTCACCGCACTGTTTGGTAATTCTGTTGTAGGATCTGTATACGTGCAGAGTCACTGGCTTCAACGACCCAGGGCAGTGGCTTTTCCAGGATGATTTTTTGCATATGTGCAAACTTTGCCTGTAGAAATGAAAGTGCCATGAAGTGCTGACAAATGATGGAAATGATTCCATCGCCTGATCCCGAGTGTGAGCGGGCTGATGGTCACAGCTGATGGTAGCCTTGCTTCTGGACGCAGCGTGGCTCATGTGCCCCTCTAGAGCTATTTACATGTAGGCATTTATATGTCTAAGTGGTTTTGCGTATTTATTTCTATGCATAGTGGATTTGAAAAATGGACAGTGTTTGGGTGCTTTCAAGTAGGCATGTCATGAAATAGCACGTTTAATTTCATGTGTCGGATCAGTGAGACCACAGCCTTTGAATGTAAACCATCTGCATCTTCACCAAAAGTGATTTAGCAAAACCTTGTTTTCACCCCCTCATCAAATTTCGATTGAAATTGTTTGCATCAGCTGACATATTTCAGGTCTGCGTATTTTTCATTAGGCATAGATAGTGATACACACGCGTTCCTTATAAGTGTGATGACAGCATAACATCTAAATGAAAGAACTATTGTGCAACCTTGAAGTGTAACAAACGTCTTATTATTTGAAGCAGCGTCGAGGGCAGATAGTTAAAGCAAATGCGAGTGCTGTCCAGCTCCCATCTGCATGTACCCATAAAGGCAACCGTGTCTCCTCCCGGGTGCTTCACTGCACAGGTTAAAAACTGCAAATGTTTTAAGCAGAAGACAGTTGGTGACTGTGCCACAGGTGGTCGTGACTTAACAAATTTGAGGTGTGGGCCATGGCGTCGACGCGCGGGAGTGTGTGGTCAGAGCCGCGTTGAGCATGGCAAGAGTGCCCTCCACTGTTCAGCGCTGTGCGTACACACTCTGAGGTCTCGGGAAAAGGACAGAAAATTTTTCTATTGCGTCTGGAATTTCTTCTACATTGTTAAACACAGTAGGGGTCTCTATTTGTCTCCTCCTGTTTCACAGCTTGGGCTCAGTATGTGATAATTCATCTTTCTTTATGGGATTCAAAGCTATCATAAGGAGTTAAAAAGAATTAATTTGCAAGAAAATAAGTGTCTCCTAACAATTTAGGAAAACTGGAAAAAAATGCTTTCTGGATTTTTAAGAGATGGAAAGGCAAAGGAAAAAGTCCGTCTTCCTTTCCTGAAGATCCACGTGGCATTTTAAAGTTACTCATTGAAGTGGATAAGTTAACAACCCTTTCCCTGCACTAAACAAATTCTGCTTCTCTTGTTCATTGTAATGAGTAAAAAACATGCAGCAAAAGTGTATTGAAGGTGAGCTTTTGAGATTGATAAAGGAAATTACAGAACACCTATATTAATACTACTTTGTAATTGGTTAGCTTACTTAAAAACCACTGTACTTGAAATGCCAAGAACTGTAGCTTGAAATTTTTGAAGAAAGCATCGTCTTAAATATTATATAGGTATACACAGCATATCTTAAGTTATATATTTCATACACAAAATTTATGTAAAAATTGAGCATTTTAATATTATTCTAAGTAAACTTATTTTTAAAAAAAAAACCTGTTTTAGGTTTTTTCTCATGTAATTTCTCATGTAAAACCAAATCAGAGGATTAGTTTGCTTGGAAATCACATAGCTGTATTTTACACACACATATTACAATGATGTTTTTCACTTGTGGCTTTAAAAAGATCATCCAGGCTAAAAATTCTGCCTGTCATTCTGATAGAAGATAGATAGATTCTATAACAGACCAGGGATTAAAGCTGAGCGAAGACCAAAAACAGACAGTCTGAGGGGTTCCTTTCACACCAAGAGTCACTCCTAAGAATAGGAACATTTTTGTTAAACATTCTGTGTATATTTTATTAGTTAGAAGGGGAAAATACATATTTTTTTTAACTATCGTCTTTGAAGCTATGCTTTTGTTAGAGGTTTTCTCTGAAAGGCCTGTGGGACCTTCCTCCCCTCTTCTGTACAACTGAGAAACACAGACAGGAAGGAATGTGCACATGGTAATAGAGGCCCTGAAAATCTAGGTGTAAACAGCAGATATTGGGATCACTGTAAATTAAATGGAAAAAAAAACTATATTTTTATCCTGTGTAGTGCAGATGGCCAACATGGCACCATGGGTGTGATACTTAATTTGAGATCAGCTAAGGCGGGTTGTGGCAGAGCAGGTCCTGAGGCCACCTTCACGTTCACATAGAAGCAAATGGGTTGGTACTTCCTAAAAGTAGCCCTGGCCAGATACTCTCATTCACCAAGAAGGGAAGAGTGTTCGCTAAGTTCTGTTAGTTGGTGAACTGGTTGGCATTTTTCTTAACTTGTTCTAATAAAATCCCATTCCTGCCCATCCCCTGCCTGTTTACAGTTTCACGTCTCTTAGCTGTTGAATAGTGTGCAAAAAATAAGTTCCTTTGACATTAATGATAATGTTTGCAATGCTTGCTTTTTAATTCGCCCCTTAAACAAAGAGAGGAAGAAAATGAAAATTGCATTGGAAATAAATTTCTCAAACTTGTCACTGTTGTACTGTTGTTACAGTGCCTCGCTGACATGGTTTTGCCTTGACATAAAAAGTTTAGGCCATATTAATTAATGTAATAACTTCTATTTTTGGAACATGCATACAGGCCAGTTCAAAATACAAGTTTAATTTAAAAAGGTGGTTAAATACATTTGAATCTGACATAATACTGGCTTTAAATGATGGCAGGATTAAAGGGCTTTAGAAGTTTATATGATAAAATTGTGGACTAAATGCAGATTTTTCCCATATGGGTTTGCTTGTTATAGACAGCACTTAAACGTAAGTAAATAATGTCAGATTGGCACATAAACACTGTAATATATGCATTTAATCATCATCATGAGAAGGGCCATGGAAGCAGTTTATAAGAACTTATTCTTCAGAATGCATCAGAAGCCAGCACTCCTCAGTCTGCAAGCCAGCAAAATGTCTTTCTAGTTCTCAGGAAACTCTGTCCTTAGTAAAATATGTTCACTTTGGTTATTTCCTACAACCAGTTCAGTCAAGTGCTTACTATTGTTTAATAACATTCTTGAAGTATGCAGACAGAATTTCAATTCCATATGTGATTGTTTCAATTCCACACGTGAGTGTTTTTACCTGTATTTCTTTTATTCGGGGCTATGTTGTGAAATTCGTTCTTATCTACAACTTTTATGGAATGCTAATCACATTCAAATGTTGATAGTGAGACACAGTCACAGCTGGGGCACGCGAGAACAATTGAGGTGATCACATTGATATTTTATACACACCTCAATAGAAAATATAGATGATGATCCTGATTTGCCTGAAATAATCTGAGTTGTATTGAAATTTTTTTCCTTCATTAATAATAACCTTTAAGGTCTGTTTTAGTCAAAAGCCAAATTTATTACGGAGCTTTGCTTATAAAATCCAGCATAGTCTGTTTCCTTGGGCTCATTAACAAAATGAACTGTTAACAGGTCCAAATGGTCACAATGACATTTTTTAACACAATTTCCTTTTTCAATTTTGAAGGAATAAATGGAAGCTTATTTTACTTTGAAAAGAATATCTTCATTGTATTGGTAATTATCACTTATAATTGCTTTAAACAAAATGACTTACTATGTGGCAGAAAGTGCTTAAACATTCTACGCACGGTTTCCACAATCGAGAAACAGTTGCAATTTAGCAAACTTACCAATGGGAAAAGTGAAATCACATGTGGAAACACTTCCCAACATCCATGAATTAGGAAGTGAACCCTAAAAATATTTAACATATTTAAAAAAAACTAATGGGAATGTAAAAATGCAAATTGTTAAGGTAAATAGAGATTTGTTTGGGTCAGGACCTTTGCAAAAAGCACAAGATCTTTGTGAAAAACAAAAGTGATATTTATCACACACTATGGTTTGTGACAAAATCTGGGAAATGTTCATTTTTAAAGATAAAATGTATCTGTGGTTATGTAAGTTAATTCTTTCAACACTAAACTCACTTGAAATGATCCAAGGATCAACCTAATTTTAAAGCATTTTTCTCAATGAACTGTCCCTAATACACATTCCCTATAAAGAAAAAGTATTCTTTTAATAAGATACACACTTTGTAAAACTGTAACTATATATACTACCTGAATGTTTTTGTGTAGCATATAAGTTATACATTTTATCTCCTGTAAGGAGTTAAGTGTAAAAAATGTTTCAAGGAATTAACAAGCATTTAATTTCTTGGGATGTTCCTTTTTAAAATATTTTGTATCATTGTTTCAAAATATTGGAAAACCCCTTAAAACACTCTGTTCCTTGTTTAGTTACAGTAGTTATTTCTGTGCCATATAGATGTGTATGGATGGTTTAATGCAGATGAACTTTTTAAGTGGCTACTTAGATTTTTGTTTTTAAACATTCAGGGCTGCTGAAGAACATTCCACTCTTAAAAAGAAATTTAAAAGTAGAAATTCTTTGCATTTTGTGATTATTTTTAAGATACATGACTAGATTTTGAGATAGGCCTTTTTATCAGTCATTAAGAAATTACCTGAAGATTTGAGGCTCTTTTTGTTCTTTGCCCTATTCCATAACCTTTGCGGGTTTAAAATTAGATTTTGCATACATTGAGCAAAGTTGAGTACTTGGAGTATTTATTTTGCTAATGTGCCTATCTGCAGTATAAATCAGCTGTGTCTTTGCTTCCAGCTATAGTCAACCTCATTACAGATACCTATTACATTCCTTCCTCCATACAGTAATGAGACCTCTTGCTGCAGTCTGGTCTTCGGCGCTGAATTTAGTTTAAAAGTCTAGCAGGCTTTATGGGCTGCAAGCTCTAACTTCTTTCCCCTTCAGATGGTTTAGCCAGTTAAGAAAATGCTAATTGAACACTGCTAATAATTTTTTAAAGGCATGTATAAATTACCTGAGAATAATGGCCTCATGGTGAGTCACAAACTAGCCTCAAAAAATATTTTTCTTTTCAAGTAGAGGAAAAGTATGTTTTTACAGGACATTTTTTTAAAAATCAGAATTCTCTATTGAACTCAGTGCTAAATTATTCTTTTTCCAGAACCCTAAACATCAACAACAAATGTGGAGCTTTTTAGCAAATGCTGCATTTGTTGATGTTCTAACAGTAAATTATTTCCGGGGACACAGACTTGAAGATGTTTTGTTCTCACACTCAACTGTGCGCGTTTAACAAAGAGCTGATGTGCAGCTGTCATTGTGTCTGTTGGAACTGATTTGTTGCCATCACTCCATCTGTAAGTTGACAAAAAGCAGTTACGAGTCAGTAATATCCAGGCGAGCACAGAGAACCTGAGTAATTATTGGGAATTACTTTTCACCCCAACCACCCAAAAAATGGAAGGTAGCAACGTTGCTGTATGTTGGTTTCTCATTCCTGTATAGCTATTTATTTGATCAGGTGTGAATTAGAGTTCTTCATTAAACATAGTTGTTACTCGGCACAAGAGGGTAAGGGGAGACGGAGGAAGTGGCTGCCTACAACAGTAATTAAACATGTGTAACCAATTAGAGGGTTTTCCACTATGGCACAAGCATATAATTTGCTAAGTCTTCTATGAGAATAGATGAAAATAGGTACAAAAAGTGTGTCTGACTACAACATTCTCATGTTAAACATGTCAACATAAATGAACTTTAAATATATAATTTCTAGTTTGTTAACAAACCACTGAATTCTATTGGCTAATAACAGTAACATGTAATTTTAGTTCATTTTGCCAAGAAATATTGCATCTGACAGAGCCAATTAATTGTATTACACATGATGCATTTTAGGCCTAGACTGTATTGATTTGGCAAAGTCTAAAATGTAGAAGTGTACCCTATCTGGAAGAAAGTACAAGGGTGGGGGGGGGGGAACTGCTCTGTCGCTCTGAGTTGGCGGAGATTGTTTTTCTGAGCTGATGTAAGAAACGCTTATGTTTCCTTTGTTACATTCACAAATGAGAGCATTTAGCCAAAATTGCCTACATAAAGTAAATGCCCATTGGCTCAGAGGTTCTGTAAGTAACCTTACCTTAAATCTGGAATGTCTCCGCGCTGCGTAAAGATGAGAAATCCGCGTGGTGGGGACCACACCGGCCACAGCGCGGCCCCCTGTCAGGTGTTGATGTGAGTTTGAAAGGTTACAGATTAGTTTAGCAATGTTAAGTGAACTGGCAAAGGCATCTCTAATTTTGCTGGAAATGAGGAAGCCGGATGGTAAAGGGGAATCCTAATGAGCCCATCGAAAGCCGGCTTTGTACTCAACAGACAGGGTAGCCGCAGATTGTATGAAAATATTGGAAATCAATGGCTTCTATGGAATTTCATTAAGAAGCAGGATCCACAATTGATAGGGCCTCATAATTTGATGGATTGGGCTAAGAAAATGATTAGCTAGCTAGAAAGAGTCATAGAATACGCACGCTGGGACGTCAGAAATGTCGAAGTGGGGTAATTTGTACAAAATAAAAAATATTGATTTTACTCGTGCAAAATTTTGAGACGGAGGGCGGGCGCCGAGCCCCGGCTGACTCACTCTCTTGGTCTTGCAGCCGCCCCGGGGGAAGGTGCGGAGGACGCAGACAGCGGGCCCGAGAGCCGCAGCGGGGGCGAGGAGACCAGCGTGTGCGAGAAATGCTGCGCCGAGTTCTTCAAGTGGGCGGACTTCCTGGAGCACCAGCGGAGCTGCACCAAGCTCCCGCCCGTGCTGATCGTGCACGAGGACGCGCCCGCGCCGCCCCCCGAGGACTTCCCCGAGCCTTCGCCCGCCAGCTCCCCCAGCGAGCGCGCCGAAAGCGAGGCGGCCGAGGAGGCGGGTGCGGAGGGCGCGGAGGGCGAGGCCAGGCCGGTGGAGAAGGAGGCCGAGCCCATGGACGCGGAACCCGCGGGGGACACGCGCGCGCCCCGGCCCCCGCCTGCGGCCCCTGCACCCCCAACGCCCGCCTACGGCGCGCCCAGCACCAACGTGACCCTGGAGGCGCTGCTGAGCACCAAGGTGGCGGTGGCGCAGTTCTCGCAGGGCGCGCGCGCGGCAGGCGGCTCGGGAGCAGGTGGAGGCGTGGCAGCTGCAGCCGTGCCCCTGATCCTGGAACAGCTCATGGCCCTGCAGCAGCAGCAGATCCACCAGCTGCAGCTCATCGAGCAGATCCGCAGCCAGGTGGCCCTCATGCAGCGCCCGCCGCCGCGGCCCTCACTCAGCCCCGCGGCCGCCCCGAGCGCACCGGGCCCGGCCCCCAGCCAGCTGCCCGGGCTGGCCGCGCTCCCGCTGTCGGCCGGGGCCCCTGCCGCCGCCATCGCGGGCTCGGGCCCCGCCGCCCCGGCCGCCTTCGAGGGCGCGCAGCCGCTGTCCCGGCCCGAGTCTGGCGCCAGCACCCCCGGCGGCCCTGCGGAGCCCAGCGCGCCCGCCGCCCCCAGCGCCGCCCCTGCCCCCGCTGCCCCCGCCCCGGCGCCAGCGCCGCAGAGCGCAGCCTCGTCGCAGCCGCAGAGCGCATCCACGCCGCCTGCCCTGGCCCCGGGGTCCCTGCTGGGTGCGGCGCCCGGCCTGCCAAGTCCGCTTCTACCTCAGACTTCCGCCAGCGGCGTCATCTTCCCCAACCCGCTGGTCAGCATCGCGGCCACGGCCAACGCTCTGGACCCGCTGTCCGCGCTCATGAAGCACCGCAAGGGCAAGCCGCCCAATGTGTCGGTGTTCGAGCCCAAAGCCAGCGCCGAGGACCCGTTCTTCAAGCACAAATGCCGCTTCTGCGCCAAGGTCTTCGGCAGCGACAGCGCGCTCCAGATCCACCTGCGCTCGCACACAGGCGAGCGGCCCTTCAAGTGCAACATCTGCGGGAACCGCTTCTCCACCAAAGGCAACCTGAAGGTGCACTTCCAGAGGCACAAGGAGAAGTACCCCCACATCCAGATGAACCCTTACCCGGTCCCCGAGTACCTGGACAACGTGCCCACCTGCTCGGGCATCCCCTACGGCATGTCGCTGCCCCCCGAGAAGCCCGTGACCACCTGGCTGGACAGCAAGCCCGTGCTGCCCACCGTGCCCACGTCCGTGGGGCTGCAACTGCCGCCCACTGTCCCTGGCGCGCACGGCTACGCCGACTCTCCCAGCGCCACCCCAGCCAGCCGCTCCCCGCAGAGGCCCTCGCCCGCCTCCAGCGAGTGCGCCTCCTTGTCCCCAGGCCTCAACCACGTGGAGTCCGGCGTGTCGGCCACCGCCGAGTCCCCACAGTCGCTCCTCGGCGGGCCGCCCCTCACTAAAGCCGAGCCCGTCAGCCTGCCCTGCACCAACGCCAGGGCCGGGGACGCTCCCGTGGGCGCGCAGGCTAGCGCTGCACCCACATCGGTGGACGGCGCACCCACGAGCCTCGGCAGCCCCGGGCTGCCCGCCGTCTCCGAGCAGTTCAAGGCCCAGTTTCCGTTCGGGGGGCTGCTAGACTCGATGCAAACGTCGGAAACCTCGAAGCTGCAGCAGCTGGTGGAGAACATCGACAAGAAGATGACGGACCCGAACCAGTGCGTCATCTGCCACCGGGTGCTGAGCTGCCAGAGCGCGCTGAAGATGCACTACCGGACGCACACGGGGGAGCGGCCGTTCAAGTGCAAGATCTGCGGCCGCGCCTTCACCACCAAGGGCAACCTCAAGACGCACTTCGGCGTGCACCGTGCAAAGCCGCCCCTGCGCGTGCAGCACTCCTGCCCCATCTGCCAGAAGAAGTTCACCAACGCCGTGGTCCTGCAGCAGCACATCCGCATGCACATGGGCGGCCAGATCCCCAACACGCCGCTGCCGGAGGGCTTCCAGGATGCCATGGACTCCGAGCTGGCCTACGACGACAAGAACGCGGAGACCCTGAGCAGCTACGATGACGACATGGACGAGAACTCCATGGAGGACGACGCTGAGCTGAAGGACGCGGCCACCGACCCGGCCAAGCCACTCCTGTCCTACGCGGGGTCCTGCCCGCCCTCCCCGCCCTCGGTCATCTCCAGCATTGCCGCCCTGGAGAACCAGATGAAGATGATCGACTCGGTCATGAGCTGCCAGCAGCTGACCGGCCTCAAGTCCGTGGAGAACGGGTCCGGGGAGAGTGACCGCCTGAGCAACGACTCCTCGTCGGCCGTGGGCGACCTGGAGAGCCGCAGCGCGGGCAGCCCCGCCCTGTCCGAGTCCTCGTCCTCGCAGGCCCTGTCGCCGGCCCCCAGCAATGGTGAGAGCTTCCGCTCCAAGTCCCCGGGCCTGGGCGCCCCGGAGGAGCCCCAGGAAATCCCGCTCAAGACCGAGAGGCCGGACAGCCCAGCCGCCGCCCCGGGCAGCGGAGGCGCCCCTGGCCGCGCGGGCATCAAGGAGGAGGCGCCCTTCAGCCTGCTGTTCCTGAGCAGGGAGCGGGGTAAGTGTCCCAGCACTGTGTGTGGTGTCTGTGGCAAGCCTTTTGCTTGCAAGAGCGCGTTGGAAATCCACTACCGCAGCCATACTAAGGAGCGGCCATTCGTCTGCGCGCTCTGCAGGCGAGGGTGCTCCACTATGGGTAATTTAAAACAGCACTTACTGACACACAGATTGAAAGAGCTGCCTTCTCAGTTATTTGACCCCAACTTTGCTCTAGGTCCCAGCCAAAGCACTCCTAGCCTGATCTCCAGCGCCGCACCCACCATGATCAAAATGGAAGTGAACGGTCACGGCAAGGCCATGGCGCTGGGCGAGGGTCCCCCGCTGCCCGCGGGCGTCCAGGTCCCCGCCGGGCCTCAGACAGTGATGGGCCCGGGCCTGGCGCCCATGCTGGCCCCCCCACCGCGCCGGACGCCCAAGCAGCACAACTGCCAGTCGTGCGGGAAGACCTTCTCCTCGGCCAGCGCCCTGCAGATCCATGAGCGCACGCACACCGGCGAGAAGCCGTTCGGCTGCACCATCTGCGGCCGGGCCTTCACCACTAAGGGCAACCTCAAGGTAAGAGCATGGCAGGCTCCAGCCCCGGCTGCGGTGCGGCCGAGCCACGGTGGCTTTCTCCATCACCTGCCGCAGACACAGCGGCCGAGGTCCTGCTCCTATCCTGGCCAGGGGGGTGAGATGCCACGCCTGTGGGTGTGTGTGCGTGATGTGTGCGTGTTATAGGGTGTGATATGTGTGTGTCGGGTGTGCGTGTGGGTGAGTAGCGTGTACCTATGTGTGTGCAGGTGTGTATGGGTCGTGTGTGTGTGCATGTGTAGGTGCCCTATGTGTGGGTGTATGTAATGTATCCATATATTTATAACGTGCGTGTGCAAATGTGCATGTCGTGTGTGGTGTCTGGCATGCCTGTGTGTCCCTGTGCACACACACTGAGACTACATCCTGTTAATCCGCTGTGGGGGGAACAGGAGCCTGGGCCTCTCCCGGGGAACACGTGCAGCTGGGCCTCTGATGCCTTCAGCCAGGTTAGGCATTCCTTAGGGGTGAGAATGCTCACTTTGCAACTTGGTAGGCAGGTCCAGGGCCTGAAGCCCTCTTGAATCTGATAGAAAATAAACTTGGTTTTAAAACTCACATGTAATACAAGCAGTACCAAGGCGAGGCCACTCAGCAGGCCCTGTCGTTCTGTCCGTGTGGCTGCCAAAAGGGCCCATGGGAGGGGCGCTGGGTGAGAAGCTCCTGGCGTGGGGCAGAGGAGCCAGCGCTGTGCAGTGTTCCTGTATGAGATCGCAGCAGCAGCGGTAGAGCGGGTGTGTGACGAGTACTGGGTGGCTCAGGCCTGTGCCTTGTGCTGTGTTGACTGATGGCTGCTTTCTGTCGTCTGTGAAGTGCACGTTTGCAAAGCCAGCCTGTCTGGGTTCCGGCAGCCTCTTCAGACAGCCCAAAGATCGATGCCTGTGGTTTCTACCTGGCGTGCGTGGGCTGGATAAGAACTGCCCGCAGGGCCTGCTGGCAGGTGGCCCTGGGATGTTCTAGAATTAATGTTTCTTTGTTTGAGAGAAAGCAAGAGGAGAGGGGCACAGTCAGAGAGTCCCAGCAGCAGAAGATGCAAAGTGGGGGACAGTAGAGGTCAGAAGGGAGCCAGGGCTTGGGCAAGTGAAGGAGCAAGACCCGGACCCTTCGAGCTCCAGAACATTCTCTGCGTGGCCATGTGGGTTTTACACCTTAGGAGAAAATTACTCGAAAGTTTGTCAACTGAAAGACCGCACTCATTAATTTATATTTGTTGGTTTTGCTTATTGTATTCAATAAAACAAGATGTTTGCATGTAGAAATATAAAGTGCCCAGAAAAGTCCACCTGTGTTTTGTTGTCCGTAAGTCGCGCTTGGGAGCGGGGTGGACCTCTGTCTGCTGCGCTGGAAGCGGAGCAGCTCTGCCTCCGTGTCTAGGCACTTACTCGTGGGCTGTCTCCGTGTCTCGCGCAGGTGCACATGGGGACACACATGTGGAATAACGCCCCCGCGAGACGCGGCCGCCGCCTGTCTGTGGAGAACCCCATGGCTCTCCTAGGGGGTGATGCCCTGAAGTTCTCTGAAATGTTCCAGAAGGACCTGGCAGCTCGGGCAATGAACGTCGACCCCAGTTTTTGGAACCAGTATGCTGCAGCCATCACTAACGGGCTCGCCATGAAGAACAACGAGATCTCCGTCATCCAGAACGGCGGCATCCCCCAGCTCCCCGTGAGTCTTGGGGGCAGCGCCCTCCCCCCTCTGGGCAGCATGGCCAGTGGGATGGACAAAGCACGCACTGGCAGTAGCCCACCCATCGTCAGCTTGGACAAAGCGAGCTCAGAAACAGCAGCCAGCCGCCCATTCACGCGGTTTATCGAGGATAACAAGGAGATTGGTATCAACTAGCCAGTGACTCGCTCATCTGCCCTGCCCAGGCCCACGTTTTGAAGTTGGAGCATCAGGCCTCCGACCTTTCTTGCCTCGGTTCTCATTACACTTTCACCCATAGCAGAAAACACTTTGTGCGGCTGCCGAGAGGTGGTCTTGTAAGCGCTGCATGGCGCTCCCTTCAACAGCAAGCCTGACTGTTCTCGAGAACTCTGCAATCTTTTAAATAAGCTTCCTTCAAAAAAAAAAGTGCTTGGAAAACCGCCTTAGGAACAGAAAGAGCTCAGACCATGTCCACTTCCTTTCTCCTGAAACCTAATAATCTCTCCGAGGGAGAAAGGGGTTCTCTGCGGTATTCCAGTGAAACTCATTTGATGGTTTCTTTTGAATTAGTTAGACACTTGAACGGTGTTTTTTAGAACTCTTCATGTTAAAGACGTGGTTTAGTACTCCCAATGCTGTGTATCATGACACTATCTTCGTCTGTAGTATTTATGATGTTAAGATAATGCGGGTAACAGACAATATAATAGCCCCGACCTTAAACGAAGCTTTTGTACTGCAGAATACATCTGGCTGTGTGATTTTTTTTTTTAAGCAAGATTTGTTTTACTATAAATAAGTGGATTATTTCAATGCAGGCAAAATTGTGAAGTTCTGTTGGGAAAGATAGCATGCTTTTCGTGTGCAAGTACCTGTCAGTAATAAGCCTTTTTTTTTTTTTTTTTTAATTTAAATGTTTGTAGCTGCTATGTGGACAGTTGTTTTCTAGTGTGGTCTGTAGCCCAATAACTGGGGAACGAGTTACAGACAAACATCACCGTAAATGACTCACAACATTATAAACAGTTGTGAGAAAATATTTCACATTATCAAAGCTGTACAATAAAAAGGTAATGTTTGTATAATGTGGTTGCAAACTCTTAATTTATACTATTGCACTTTTAGTATTTTGTATTAGGGAGGTTTGTCTATAATTTGAAAATTTAAAAAAATGTAAAGTATTTTATAAATAGTACTTCAGTTTAAGGAAAATGGGAAAACTGTTACAGTTCCTTGTTTTGTCTTATGGTCAAACAATATTAGAAATCTCTGCCACTTGAAAAGCCACCAAGACTTGTCAGCTTTTCAGTAAAGTAGGGCCTGCCGTTTCTTAAATTAAAATGATTTATTTAACTTTTCCACAAAGCCCACTTTAAAACTGTGACCGCCCCCTAACGAAACCTTGGTGAATTCATCCTAGGACTATGACGTCAGTACAAGCCAGGAAGGAACTAGGATAACCTTCTGCAGGTCTGATTTTCATGTAAGCGGGTCTGTCTCTCTCTCTCACCCACAGACAAGATTGTGGCTGCCTGGTGGCACTGGTCACATGTACAGTAAACCCAAGAGAAATGGCAAGTATCAGGCAGTACAATCAGTCATGACTTTGAAATTTTCCGAGTTCCTGATTTATTTATTATCTTCTCAGATGAAAGCAAAGCACAGTGTCCTCTGATTTTTCAGAACACAGCCTGACGCTGATGGCTGAGCTGCATCCAGCCAGGAGGGCCCCGGAGGCTGGGGCGGCCGAGGCAGCACAAACACGGCGTCGTGAACTACCTCATTTTCGTGCGTTGCAAGTGTGCTGGCGTCTGACACTATGAACTTCCAACAACAAAATTGTTCAAGAGATGCTCTGGTAGCTGGGTAACTGCAAGGAGTTGCATGCCCCTGAAGAAAGAATCAGACAGTGAAGTCTTCTCGGTCGAGACAGAAAAATAGAACAATCTTCTCCTAACAACCACAGCAGCATCAACAATCATTGTAAGAGGATGGGCTGTTTGTGCCAGCGTGTCACTAAACAAAAAGTATCAAAGACTCATTAGCTGTTTATTTCTATTGGAAATCAACACTGAACTCTACAGCTCTGTTTTCCACGGTGATGAGATGTAACTTCGCCCCACCATGCCACCTCTTCTCACGGGATGAGGGCTCGGGGTGTCTCAAGCATTAGGCAGAGAAAACTGAGGTGGCTTAAGGTCACTGTGTTTCAGCAGTTGAATGTTTTCATTATTTATCTGTGTCCTTTTTGGTGTGTGTGTGTGTGTGGTTTTTTTGTTTGTTTGTTTTTGGTTAGTATTTGGTACCATATAGTGTTCTCTCTTCTCCCAAAAGGATGTGTATATAACTAAAGAGAAATGTAAAGTGTTGTAAATAAGATGGCTCATGAAGGTACAGTGAGACTGACCCTCCTGTGTGCAGGGCTAGGCCATCCCTCTGCATGGTGAAGAGAGACACTATTTTTATACTGTAATGCCATGCGGGGCTGGGACCTCTCTGAGCAGCTGGGGATTGTTACCTAGACCCAATATTTTTTATTATTAAATCTTGTGGCTTGACACATCTGCTGACTGAAATGGATGTCTTAGTCTAGGTTACTATTTTTGTCATATGGAATTGAATAAAATGCAGGATGTAATGTTATTTCTGAGTTGCATTCCTTGATTTTTCTAATGGAGAAAGTGGAATTTGAGGAGGTCATTTGTGGTGGGTGTGTATCCGTGGTATTTCCACCAGGAACGTCAACACAGCTTGGCAGCTTAGATTTAAGCAGTGTCTCAGTGCATCTTGATTGGTCTTGAAATTTTTGTTTTTTGCTTTTTTCCAAAATAAAAATTCAGCCTCCTAGTTGTGGATTCTTTTTACATCTGTGATGGAAGAAGATGTGGTAGAAAATTCCTACATATCAGAGACTCCGCAGTGCCCAAAAGTGACCACTCGGAATTGCCTTCCCGTTGTCAGCATGAAGTGAAAATACCGGCTTTTCAGGTCGCTTGAACAAATAGATGTGCATCAAATCACATGACAGGACAGGAGTGGGTGGGACGGTGCTTACAGTGTGGCAGCAGCAGCAGCTTTGTGAGCTCATGGTGGCAGCTCCACACAGCTTAATTCCAGATGGAGAACGTCCTTAATTTAAAATAAGCTTTACTTCACTGATAACGGTTGATAAGAATGATTTTATAGCTCCTGGATTTCAAGATATGTAATCAATTTCTTCTTTTTCTTTTTTTTTTTTTTTTTAATTTTTAAAATGAATAACTACTGATAACCTAGAAGCTACAGTAATTTTTACCTGGGACGTGCCAGGTGGATTTTAAGGAATGATAAAGGTACTAACCACTAAACTAACCAATCCAGGCCAACCTTCCAGCAGATATTATAAGCCTTAGAAATCAAACCATGTAGATTTCAATGCTAGAATAGAAATTATAAAATGTAAACTGACTAGTAAATTCAATTTTTTTAAAGTAAGGAATTAGCAAAAAATGTACAGCCATCTAAAGTAATTAATATAAACTAACATGCAGGAGAGAAGGGATTTACTACTTGTATTTCAAAAATACTTCCAGAGGTAAGATCAGAGGTGTTTGGCTTGGCAAGCCTGGGTGTTTGCTGCTTTCTCATGCCAACTGTGGTGATGTAGACTGTGTATCAAAGAATCATAAATGCCAACAATCCCTAAAAATTATTTAAATACATTTCTAGGTTCATTACAGGAAACATTAACATTTAAGCTAATTAATAAGTACTACTAAAGGGCTAAAAAGCAATTGTCTTCCAGCTCTCGCTGTTTAATTTTGGCCCCATGGAAGCTCGGAGGCATGGAGCCCCTACCTGCTTTTCTGCGTTTGGCAGGCGTTGCCCAGTCCCCATCTTGTGTTTTACGAAGCCACAGTGAACATCAGGGCCATTTCTTTATTGCTAGGCTGCATGTATGTTTCCAGCCCAACCAGCTTCAAATCCCTGTATTCACTGTGGCTGTTTGTCTAACGCCGCAGACGTCCAGACCTCTCATCTTTCTGGTGCACGCGTGAAGCTGGAGACCGTGCTGCACATGTGTCATTCTCGCCCAGCCTGTCACCCGCCAGCTCACCGCCAACCTGAGGGCCCCGTGTTCAGGCCTTTGTGTTACAACCTTGTGCTCATTTGCTAATTACTGAGACAGGGAGCCAGTACTTGTTTATTCCTTTGAAAAGTTTCTTAGGACACAGTGCTTCATTGAAAAAAAGAGGGCATGAAGCGTTTATACCGGCAGGTGCTTCATTGAAAAAAAGAGGGCATGAAGCATTTATACCGGCAGACCTGTTTGCTGCTTTTTAGCTGTGTTAAAACTTGGTCTACAAAATATTCTATATAACATGAGGAAGGAAATGACATTCCCCTTTTTCATTTAAGAAGGAAATATTGGGCATTAATTCTCAGTATTCTTTATGAAGTGAAAACTTTAAAATGAAATCACAATAGAGGCTTTTTTTTGTTTTTTGTCTTTCTCCTTTCAGCATTTCTGTACCAAGCGAGGCTTGGGGCGTGACCTCGTCCTCCCTGCATCGTCCTGGCTGGTACAATCCACGCTGGGACCCGGGGAGAGGGCCCTACTTGGAGAGGGTTCTCATTCCTCCTGTGCCATGTAAAATCTGCTTTCCCATCTGTAGGAAGAGGGTAGAATTTGATGACATTCAAATCCTTTTCAGTTGTAAAATTCCATGTTTTTTTTTTTAAAGAACTACCACTAATGTACATCTTTCTCTTTACCCAAAAATAATCATGAAAAAAATTGATGGTATTTATATAGAGAGAGAAAATATGAGTTATTACCTAAAAATATTCTCCCATAGATATGAAAAATCAATTACAAATAAATTTGCTAAAGAAACTACATGGAATCATTTTTGGATCATGAAAAATGTGTTTGTATCTTTTATAAGAAAAAGCCATTGAACTTATTGATGTTAAAAATGCAACTATACTTGGTAAAATAAAATCAAGCTGTGAACTGATGCTTACTGCATATTCTGTTAGATAAGAGGTGTTAGAAACATATTTGATTTTTCCATGAGTCCTGCACACAAGTACACGCACAGCCCCTTATTACAGCACTATATATTCAAAAGAGTATGCAATTGAAAACAATGTGGTTTTTTTTCTTGTTGTTCCTTAGTAGAATATCAGAGAGCCTAAACTATGAACATTGGTGTTACTGTCCTGATTTCTACCACCGTCTGCATCTTTGGCCTGTTTTCATTGGAAGTATCATAGATTGTCATTTGGACAGACCATTCCTAGCGAATACTGGCCTTTCGCGGAGCTTGGAAAACCCTGTGGGAAAATCAGAAAGCTGGTAAGATAAGAGGAAGAAGAGATGTCACGGTGTCAGATTATGTTTGTATTCTGTTCTGTCCAAAGTTCTTTACATCAGTAAATGAAAAACAAAACAAATGATGCATAGGCCACGCCCTGCAGTGAAAGATGCAAGAACTTGTTCATATTGGTATGAATCGTTCACTGTATATGATTCAAACATGTGGAAATAAATGTTTGATTACAGTCGTTCCAAATGTGATTATTTGTGAACATGGGAAATGGGTAACCCTTCCCCCATACTTTCTAAGTTGGTATGATGCACCTATTTTAAATTACAGAATGATCTATAAACTAGAATTTTTACAGAAAAGTGTAAATTATTTCCTTCATTCCTCGTGGTTATTTTAGGTATGACTAATTCCATTTTGTGTTCCTTCTAGCTTAATTAAAGAACATCTGAATTTTAATGCCAATACCTTTTTACAAATAGGGATAAAATATCTAAATGACAAAATCATTTTTATAACTGACAAGGTCTTTTAATGTTTCTGTTATTTGATTTTTTTTCTCTTTGCCGTATCAAGGACGGTTTAAGAACAGCTCCCGTTGTGACCTCAATTTACCCAGAAGAAACATGCCTGCCCCCCGTCACGCCGCTGCTGCAGCAGAACAAGCAGGCCTGGAAAAACATTTTCCATGTCAAATGGTGACAGTCTCATGAATACACAATTAGAAAGTGTAGAAAGACTTCCCCACACATTGAGATCATTTAAGGAAGATTTTGCACATAAGCCTCTCACCCTTGTTTGTTTTTCTTTGTGATTTTTAGTAACAGAGCATCACACTCCACCATGAAATACAGCTGACAGGTCTGTGGAACTGCACAGCTTCAGCCTACTTAAAATGTTAGGTTTGGAACCATCAAGAAAAATTTTGCAACCCAGACCCTTTATATTTGGGATTCTTAAAAATCCTACTGGTAATTCAAGAGCTGGGTACTGTTAAAGCATATTCTTCTAAAGATAAACAATGCAGTTATTATTGGCCATTATAGACACATGCTGAGTAGTAAGTTGAATAATCAGCCTATAATTTCACCCAAGAAACTACTAGATCTTTATTTATTATTGAGAAATAGAGTGCATAAACCTCAGATGTTAATTCGGGACTGTAGGTAATTTGGGCAAATGAACTTTTATTAATAAATATTTGTAAGTAATTAGTTTTTCCCAAGCAAAACTCTAAACATATTCTCATCTCAGAACATGTTATAGGATCTGAAAATAAAATCTAACCTGTTGTTGAAGTTAATGAATCCCCCACCTCATTCATTCGGCACGAATTCCTTGCCTAAAGACCCTGTGTATGTATTCACGTGTGCGTTGCCGTCTCTCACTGAGAAGTTATCTCATGGCTTGGTTACTCTGTTCTTTCAATTTATGTTTTAACCTTGACACTGCCACCTCCATCACCGTCTGCTGAAGAGTAGCTGTAGACCAAGTTTTAAATTACAACAATAATGTGGTTATTTTCAAGGATGGTCCCTGAGACCAAGCTCTGAACCCAATAACCTTTTCCTTCCACTGGCCTGAATTAGTCTTAGTTTTAGAAACACTCAGTTGTCTCTGAAAAACTGAAAATCATGGCTAGACTTAGTATTTAGCTGAAGGCAAACTGAAGATTTTCTCAAAAGCCCTGAAAAGGGGACCTGACAGAGGAGTTCGTGTCCTCACGTCCTCCCTGGGCTCGGGTGTCAACTTGGCACAAACCAACCATTGTCAGTGGGCTCAGACCTTGTCCTGGTGGGTGCACAGCAAATTCACGAGTGCACGTGGTGCCCTCCATACGTAGGCATCGGTACACCAGCTGAAAAGTGTGTGTGTGAGACAGACCACACGTGTTTGCTGCCTGCCTTAGGGATCGATGCCTATTGCTCCAGGATCGATCTGATCGCAACCACAAATACTAAAGGATTGGCCAAGTCAAAGCTCAATTTGCCCACAGTGTGTGGCTGATGGAATCTAACTCGATTGGCTCTGGGAGTGTTAAATGAATAATTATAAGCCACATAAAAGTAATAAATGCATGGAAATAATATTTGTAACCACAGGGGCAAAAAGCATCACCACACCCAGATAGCTCATCTTTGAAGGAACCAGAAGGAGAACATGGGCATCAGAAGGTCTTGCAGAAAGGGGGTATTTCCTGCCTTTTGATAAAAGTTCACTTCAAAAAAGCTTCTTAACTCCCAATCTTTATCTTGCAAAATTGTTCAGAACTACTTTTAATTATTTTAACCTTCATTATAATATTTAATCGAAATTTCTACTTTATTATAAGCTGTGTGGACAAGAAAGAGTGACTATTTGAAGTAACAATCAACTGTCTAAGAGGAGGTGCACTTAGCTCAGCAAATGTCCAATTGTCCAGAATAACAAGTTAAACTTTTTAAGTAGAAAATAATGCTGAGCTTAATTATTTTATTAATGCATACTCCCTGACATCAGAAAATCCTAGCTTTTCTAAACTTCACAGACACAGATGAAACATTTGACATATGTTTGCAAGGCTGGCTTAATTATTATTATATTAGAAAATATTCAATACAAAAATTAGCCGAGCCTGTAATCCCAGCTACTCAGGAGGCTGAGGCAGGAGAATTGCTTGAACTCGGGAGCAGAGGTTGCCGTGAGCTGCGATCACACCACTGCACTCCAGCCTGGGTCACAGGGTGAGACTCCATCTCAGAAAAAAAAAAAAAAAGAAAAAAAATTCTCTATTTCACAAGCATTTAAATAATTGTGTGTTTGATATTACTCGTGTTTCCCATGCTTTTGTAATTAGAGAGATGGAGCTTTTCTCTTGATGTGTTGGAATTCCATCCGCAGAAGGCTACGTGTTGCAGAGACACTTCTGGAATACTCAATTCACTGATGCGAATATAACCCGTTACTTGGTCCTTCAGGATGAGGCACCAGCCACAGGATTCCTTACCCAGTGGGGCAACTTCCTCCATGGCTTTTTCTTTTTTTTTTAGACGGAGTTTCGCTCTTGTTGCCCTGGCTGGAGTGCAATGGCACAATCTCAGCTCACTGCAACCTCCGCCCCCCAAGTTCAAGCGATTCTCCTGCCTCAGCCTCCCAAGTAGCTGGGACTACAGGGATGAGCCACCACACCCTGCTAATTTTTTGGGGTTTTTTTTTTGTTTTGTTTTTTGTTTTTAAGTAGAGACAGGGTTTAAGATGTGGCAGAATAAGTCCTCTGGCAACACGAACGCCAGGCTTCCTGAAGCCACAGGTGAGGGGAAGGAGCCTGCCGGGTGGGCAGCCGTTTCTCGGGCTGTGCTGTGGCCTGCGCCGGGCCTGGCTTCGAGGCCGAGTTCCGATCCAGTGGCGAGCTAGCAGGGGTCGGTCCGCTTTTGACAGTCCCTTCTTAGGTAAGTCCCCGAGTCTCGCAGCGGCCTTGCTTCTTCACGAGCGCTCACGCATGTGTCTCCGCACGAAGCCACGGAGGCCGGCGGAGCAGAGGGAAGTCAGCAGACGCTCCTGAGTCCCCTCCCCAGGCTTTCTGGGGACCGGGACTCTGGGGCAGAGCTCCGAGCCCTGGGCCAGCCCCGAAAGCAGATGCCCCTGCAGCCCACGTGCAGCCCTCAGTGACCCCGACCCCAAGGCTCTCGTGGGGGTGGAGGGCGCGTGGGCTCCGGAGGCGTCGAGCACCGGCCAGGGCGGAGGGCAGCTCCTCCCCTCCCAGGTGCGCAGCCGTCGCGCCGCAGGGAAGCCTGTGACCTCGGCTGTCGGTGCCAGGATGGTTCCTGCAGGCGTGTCCGGGGTGAGCCCTCACTCTGGCTGCAGAGCCCGTTCGATCCAGGCCCTGCGCCGCGACATGGAATGAACCGCGGGGGACCGAGGCGCCGCCCTGGGAGGGAAGACCCGGCCCTGGGAGCGGGGCCCATCCTCGGGGCCCAGGGCGAGCACTGCGCAGGGACGGCCTCTGCCACCCCCAGGCATGTCCCCTGGCCGGCACGATGGCTCCTCGCCAACTGTAAAGGCAACGCTGCCTCCAGACCGCCAGAATTTCGGCCACAGTCAGCACCCGATGAGCCCCGCGGGGCAGCGTGCGGCCGTGGCTTCTCACCGTGCTGCGGGGCTGCGGGTCCCGGGTGGGCCCATTGCCCGGTCACACTCGGATCTTGGAATAAAATGTGGGCGTCCATGTGAGGCCGAAGCAGTGGCTGTGACGCCCCACGCGGGGTGCGATCTCTGCGGGAGCCGGCCGCACGCTGACCCGGGCCCGCCCTTCTGTGCTGACCCGGAGCCGCCGGCCTCCCTGGGATGTCATTTTAGCACGTGAGGCTCAACCTCTTTTCCGTTCGGTCCCACACGGCACCAGGTTGCGACTCACGGTTGTATTTTAAATAACGTCTCTCTCCTGTTCCAGTTCCACAGGCTCAGGAGGCTGTCCCCGCACGCAGGTCTGGGCACCCAGGCCACTGCTGAGCCCTTCCTTTTGGGGGGACACAGAATCACAGCAAAACTCTCCCGTGGCGCGGTCACCCCAACAGCTCCACGTGGGGGTCAAGTCTGAAGGGTCAGCCTCCTAAGCCCTAGGCTAGTCAGCTGTGATGACCCAATGGGACTGCGGAGTTGGGTCCAGAATTAACCTAACAGTTAAAGGTACACCTCACAGCTTAGAGGGAAGGGTTCCCGCAGGAAACTTGGCCCACCTCTCTGCAGGCCCATCGGATCAGAATGTCCAAGGGCAGCCCACGTGTTGATCAGTGTGAGGCCAGGATTTAAAACCGCTGGTCTGCACTGGACTTAGTGCTGTGACATCGGCACAGGGCCCTGGCCATGCGTCAGATGCAGATTCCAGTTCTCCAGGTCTGGGTGGGGCTGGGACTCTGTAAGTCTGACAAGATCCCAGGCGGCTGGTACAGCTGCTTCTGGTCTTGGGACCACTTTAAGGAAGCTTTGAACAGTGCTTAAAGAGGGAGCTGGCCCTGTGCTGTGATGAAGTAGAAGTATGTCTCCAGTGCTGCCCAAGGCACCCAGTGTCCTTATGTCCTTTTATCCGAGGCCCTTGTTCTATCAGTAAAGTTTGCATTTGACTACAAAGAATGGAAACCCCATATCATAGCTTCAGTCGGAGTTTGTTTTTCTCACATAACTCGAAGTCCAGAGCGAGGGGGTTGCTGGGGATGACTCAGCACCTCACGGACACCCCCACAGGCATTAGTGTGTGGGTTGTTCTCACGCTGCTCCCCACGTGACCACAGGATGGCTGCTGCAGACCCAGCCATTGCATTCACGCTCCCTCAGAAAGAGAAAAGAACGAGGGCACCAGGCCTGGAAGCCAATCCTATCTCTTGATCAGAAGAGTGAAAGCTTTTCTGGAAAAACCCCATTCAGCTGACTTCTGCTTAGGTTTCTTGGACCTACACTGTGTCCTGGGGCGACTCCCAGCTGAGAAGTGAGCCAGAAAGGCTCACTATCAAAAGAAAAAGAGCAAAAGAAAAAGAGGAGAGGTAGAAGAGATTAAAACTTCTGGCAGATTGGCTTCCCAGAAGCCGAACTTCTGTAAAGTTTGAAGAATATTTCTGCATTTATAACACTCATATCAGTTCATCAACAAATATTTACTGGACACTTGTTACGTGCAAGGCTTTGCGGCTGGCTCCACTAAGGTGAGAACCTATATATGTTCCCACAGATTACACACAAGGCGTTGAATTGAACGCCCGATTCTATTCAATGGAGGAGAAGAGTCGTCGGCCATGCAGTGGCTCATCCTGGGGCCCTCTGGCTTCCTGCCCTGAGCCTCTGTGCCGCCAGCCTCACGCATGCCTGGCCAACAGGACCTGTTCAGCCCTCTCCATGCTGCCCGAGGCTGCTTCCTGCCAACCCCGTGAACTAAGTGGGTTAGTGGGCATCATGCTAATCCTAGACGGCCTGGGCTCTGATCAGAGAGTCCTCTGTTTAGTTTCTAGCTTTTACTCGCACAGCTTTTACCCACAGGCCGTTGCCTGTGCTCTCTGAATCTCAAAAGCGGGGTTTGTGAAGTGGAACCCAGGGGTCCGCCTTGCCGGGCTTCTGAAACGGTCACCAGCCTGACGCCATCCATTCCTGAGGGCTCCCTCTGCCCAGAATGCCTCCCCCGGCTCTTTCAGGCACCCATCCCTCCTAAAGGGAACCATCGGCCATGTGTAAGCGGAGCAACGAGGAGACCAGATCCGCAGTCCAGAGATACTGCTCCAGCAACCCGGTCAATGTGTGGGAGGGAAGCGGGCGGTGGGCTCTGCACCGTCCATGGCTGGCTCCGGGCGACTTCCAGCAGAGCCAGCTAAGTGAGGCAGCCTGAGGCATGGGGCCAGGGCACAGCACCCCACAGACTCCAGACCCCGACCCCAAAGTTAGGGCTGAGGCTCAGCCTCGCCAGGGGGCCAGGGGATGCTGCAGCCTTTGGGGGAGTTAAATTTGATAATGGGGGTAGAGTGAAGCCATCACACTCTGAGCTCTGATGCAGATAGCCACAGGCAGGCCCAGGACTGGAGCCAGGACCAGCAGGACAAAGCCACTCCAGTGGCCTGTCTGCAGGGTGAAGGGGCCACTGGGCCACCTTTCGCTCCAGAAAGCGATATGCGAGGTGGTTGCAAACGGTCCCGCTTCTGGATGATGCTCCCGCCACTCCCTGGCCTGTGTCTGCACACTGTCCATGTATTCCATCTTCCTCATCAGAGGAGCCCGCGTGGCCCACTGCGGGATACTCACCTTGCCAACCGCTGTGGGCCAGGGTCGTGTTAACACCCGAGAGATGCTTCGGACGCAGGCCTGCGTGTTAGTTGAATTATCCTACGCGTGATTATGTGAATTGTGTATCACAAGGGAAATATATGTACGTTCTCACCTTCGTGGAGGCAGCCGCAAAGCCTTGCCCGTAACAAGGGTCCAATGAATAGTTGTTGATAAGCTGATATTTGTGTTATAAATGCAGAAATATTCTCTGAATTTCACAGAAATCTGGCTGAAGAGGGAAGCCAGTCCACCAGGGAACTTTAATCTCTTCCACCTCTCCTCTTTCTCTTCTTTTAATAGTAATTATTGACAGGGAATGCTGAATGGTTTTCTGCGGTCACATTCCCGTGTTCAGTTTAATGATATGGGGAACTGCAGATGGAGGTGAGGATAACTTGAAAAGAAAGGGTATTATTGGTAAATGCGCTGGAAGCCTTGCAAATTTGAGAGGATAAATTGAAATTTTACAGGACTAATGAGTTTTTGAAAACTGTTAGCCAGGCTTGTCCAAACCTTTCTCTCCCTATTTAAGATTTTCTAAATTAGAAACTCAGAAATTTCAGTAGCTGTTTTGGTCCTGGAATGAATAAACAGCCCAAGTAGATGGTGTGTTTCCATTTGTTAAACGTACACTGTATCTTGCTTCCATTGTAATCATAGAGCATTATTCTTACTGCAATTAATAGTCTGTTCAGAGCACCTGCTTTGTGGAGCCAAGATCTAGATACTTTGCAACCATCGCTGGAATTCAGCTGTCAACAGGGACTGAATTCTAGGCATTTACATTTAATTTTCATATGCACTATGGTATCCTGGAACATTTCCATATGAACCTAAAATTAAAATTTGAAGCAAATGCAATATATTTCTGAAATCATTCTTGGTTCTAGGAGTTTATAACCCAGTGGTTATTAGAATCTTGAGTCTGATTCTTGGGCTTAAGCCTTAGTGTCAAATTTGAATTTGGATTCATCATTGAATTGTCACGGACCTACAGCCACATTTAAAAATCTTTGAATCCAAAGGGTTGCTTGTAACGGTGAACCTTTATACACTTTGAGCTGTGAAAGTGACCTTTATTTTTATTACTATCATCAACCATTTCATCGGATGCCACTGTCAACTGGCTTAAATATTATTTGCCTCAGTGTATGTAAGCCCTAGGGAATTGTTATCCCCATTCATCAGCTGAGATTGTATTTTACTTAGCATTTATATCCTTCCATTATGTAACATTATGTAGCTGAATGTAAGGAATATGCTAACTATCCTTAAATATAATTTTCCTCCTAAGCAGATCATATGAGATTATTCTGCCTCTTGCAAAAACTCCTCTGTTAAATATTTTATCTCATTGCCTAGAAATATTCTTAAATATGATACAGATAAATCAAAAAAATTAAGTTGCTCACAGTTTTATTGGCAATAATGTGAGAAATAATTATAAATTCTAAGTTGTGGGGTTTTTGCTGTTGTGGTTTATTTATTTGTTTCCCATATCAAAATTTACAGCGATATTTTATTAACATGTTAGAAATCTTTCAGACTACCAATAAAACTTTAATCCATATCATCGTTTCCTATTGACTTTAAAGCTAGAGTAATTTATCCTGAAATTTTTATCTATCATCTTCAGAATAAGCGGTTTGTATAGATGTCGCTGTCTCTCTTTTCAACTGAAACTGCACCCTCGTTCTGTTACATTTGTGATGAAAGAGAGTTAAGGGTTTCTAGCTAAGTGGCAGTTTTCAAAATGTGGGTCACAGCTCATTTGTGGGTCATGAGATCAGCTTAGCGGCTCTAAACCAGTCTTGTGGGGTTTTTTTTTTTTTGTTTTTTTCTTTTTTAATGAAAGAAAATCGAGTAGGAAGTGTCAGGCTTTGCGGCAAATTGAAAGCGTGAGTCCCGGTTGATGTTCCTGCATGGGTGTGGCTGGGCTGTCCATGTGAAGTGGGTCATGACCAAACCGTTTGAAAAACATCGCTGTATGGATGCATCTTTTCCTTTGCGTCTTTCTTTTCTTTTCTCTCTTCTGCTTTGAGCCATCACCTTGCTTAGGAAGGATTCACGGCTCGGGGTATGAAGCTGACGTCAGATTGCCAGGATTCAGATTTGAGCTCTGTCATTTCCCTCATCTGGGAAATGGGCATAAGGACACTGCCAGCTTCACAGACTCCTTGTGCGGGTGACACTCGTGGAAGGGAGCCGCGTGCCGGGTGACAGCGGCATAGTCAACAGCAGATCACACGTTCCCCGCTGGGCCCATCAGATCACAGTGGAGCTGGAAACTCCCCATTGCCTGGTGATGCTGGGACCGCCGCATGTAGCACAAAGGGTGACTCACATGTGTGTGGAGATGCTGGTGTACACAAGCAGACTGCACTGCCGGTCTGTGAAAGTCCAGCACACACAGCTGTGTCCAGTACATGATGCTCCATAGTCATAATAAAAAGCATTGTTCTGCTTTATGTACTTACTATACTTTTTATTGTTATTTTAGAGTGTTCCTTCTACTTACGTATGTCTATATAAAAAGGTAACCGGAAAACGGCTTCAGGCAGGTCCACCAGGAAGTGTCCAGCATAAGGCATTGTTGTCACAGGAGAGGACAGCTCCGTGCGTGTTATGGCCCCAGGAGACCTCCCAGTGGGATGAGATGTGGAGGCAGAGGCCATGATACTGATGATCCTGACCCTGTATAGGCCAAGGCTAATGTGTGTGTTTGTGTCTTAGTTTTTAACAAAAAATTTGAAAACTTTAAAAAAAATTAACTAGAAAAAAGCCGATAGAATAAGGATATAAAGAAAGGAAATATTTTTGTACAGCTGTACAATGTGTTTATCTTTTAAGCTGTTATTACAAGCTCCAAAAAGTGTTTTTAAATTAAAAAGTTTATAAAGTAAAAATGTTACAGTAAGCTAAAGTTTATCTAATGAGCTGAGCGTAGCCTAAGTGTGCAGTGTTTATAAAGTCTACAGCCACGTCCACACCCTCACTCACAACTCACCCAAGGCAGCCCCCAGTCCTGCAGGCCGTGTTCATGGTCCGTGCCCTATGCAGTGTATCATTTTTTATCCTATCTACGGTTTTTACTGCACCTTTTCCACATTTAGGTATGTTTAGGTGCATAATACTTACCATTGTGTTACAATTGCCTGCAGTACTCAGTTCAGGCAGTGCATGTCTGCAGCCCTGGGCCATGGGCCATGCTTGCAGCCTTGGTGTGTATAGGCTGCACTGCCCAGGTTTGGGTAAGGACACTCTGTGTTGACCCCACAAGGACAAATCGCCTAATGACCGATTTGTCAGAACACACCCTCATTATTAAGTGATGCCTGACTCTTTATGAAGTGCTCAGAGCAGTGGTTGTTATATAGTATTACATAAATGTTAGTGATAACTTTATGCAACTCTTGAATCATCTATTGCACCAATATTTGCTAAGTTTCTTTTTTCATTGTTTCTCAATTTTTTTTACCATTTGCTCCATCCCTTAATTATGTGTCCTTCTTTCAACATTTTATGTTTTGGGTTTGGTTTCTAGACAAACATTTATATCCCTTCATATTAAAATTGTTTATATGGAAATAAAAATATTTGCAGTTCCAGATATAAAGGTTTATAAGGTATTATATAGTAAGTAACTCTCAATTGAATTTAAATCTATTGGAATAACTTAAGGAGGTTTTCAATTATGAAGAATTCCCTGAATGCATGTATCACTAGTACAATATGGTGAAGGGTTTTAATCACACTGGTTTTGAATACAACAGTGAAGGGTTTTACTCACACTGGTTTTGAATACAGTGGTGAAAGGTTTTAATCCCACTGGTTTTGAATCATGAATGTACTTGGGGAAGGGTCATAAATGACTTGGTAAGAAAATGATGAAATGCAACAATTTTTAAGGTGAGACACATGTAAGAATGAACATTGGGATCTTTTCTTGAGGTTTCTGGAGGGTTATTTATAATTCATACAGGAAAGGGCAGGTATAGCTATTCCAAAGAAATAGAAAAACAAGGTGTAACCATCCAACCAGAGATGGTACAAAATTCCAAAAATAAATCACTGATTTTAAGAAAAGCGAAAATAAAGGGGAGGATTGTTACTCTCGGTAGTTCTGTCCTGCAAAAATGTTTAAGCTTTAAGAAGACAAACACAATCAAAACCATAATTTTGCACCCTTAACCAAGCAGAAAGCTGGAGGATTGCATTGAACACTCACAGGTGAGTGTCCTATCCCCATAAATGACTCTGGCTTCTGATACGGGGTCTTTTTAGCCATGGAGAAGGGAAGGTATCACAATCTGGACGCCAAAGAATTAAAAACAGAATAATGTTGGAGGAGATATAAAATTGAGGAATCACCATCACTATACACAGCACAGCTCCCAAGTAAACAATTGTCTGGGCAAATATGTACTTTTGATACTTCTGAAAACCCAGGAGAAGCACTTTCTGTAAATTGTGAAAGAATGTGTGTGCTGTTTGCCTATACACACAGCATTTCCCACCCAAAGCTTTCTTTCCCTTTGTGCTGTAAATCCAGCTCAGTGCTGAAGAAGTCACTTCCACAGCCGAGATAAAATATTTATCTTCAGCAAAAAGGGCATAAACAATTGTTGAGGAAAATATACAATAAGTTCTTAAATGTCTGCATAATTGAAGCACTTAGGTGTGTTTTGGGTAATAGAAATAATAGCAGAACCAAAACTCTTTTTATAAAGGTAACATTTTTCTTAAATGCCGAAAGCAAACTCTTGAAGTCCCATCAGCCTAGCGACAGTGAGAACCTTCCCGGGCTCCGGGACCCATGGCAGGAATGTGAAACTGTGCCAGGGCGAAGGACTTTCAACAGAAAGAAACACGCTGCTGAGGCAGCTGAACAGAGACTTTTAACACAGGAAATGGTAACTCCATTTGCTCCAGATGCAGCGGGACAGACATCTGCCAGGCCCTGAGTTATGCCAGAGCATCTCCCGTGGAATGGACCAGGGTATGCCTGCCACCTGCCCGACGGGTATTTGGTTCAAAGGCCACATTAGAAATGAACACCTAATTAATTGGATTTGGAAAAACCTGAGAAATCAAACACACTGCATGACCGGGTGTGTGATCAGCCCCCTCCTTACTACTTAAATCAAACACACTGCATGACCGGGTGTGTGATCAGCCCCCTCCTTACTACTTAAATCAAACACACTGCATGACCGGGTGTGGGATCAGCCCCCTCCTTACTACTTAAATCAAACACACTCCATGACCGGGTGTGGGATCAGCCCCCTCCTTACTACTTAAATCAAACACACTGCATGACCGGGTGTGTGATCAGCCCCCTCCTTACTACTTAAATCAAACACACTGCATGACCGGGTGTGTGATCAGCCCCCTCCTTACTACTTAAATCAAAGACACCTCATGACCGGGTGTGTGATCAGCCCCCTCCTTACTACTTAAATCAAACACACTGCATGACCGGGTGTGGGATCAGTTCCCCCCTTACTACTTAAATCAAACACACTGCATGACCGGGTGTGGGATCAGTTCCCCCCTTACTACTTAAATCAAACACACTGCATGACCGGGTGTGGGATCAGCCCCCTCCTTACTACTTAAATCAAACACACTGCATGACCAGGTGTGTGATCAGTCCCCTCCTTACTACTTAAATCAAACACACTCCATGACCGGGTGTGGGATCAGCCCCCTCCTTACTACTTAAATCAAACACACTGCATGACCGGGTGTGGGATCAGCCCCCTCCTTACTACTTAAATCAAACACACTGCATGACCGGGAGTGTGATCAGCCCCCTCCTTACTACTTAAATCAAACACACTGCATGACCGGGTGTGGGATCAGTCCCCTCCTTACTACTTAAATCAAACACACTGCATGACCGGGTGTGGGATCAGTCCCCTCCTTACTACTTAAATCAAACACACTGCATGACCGGGTGTGTGATCAGTCCCCTCCTTACTACTTAAATCAAACACACTCCATGACCGGGTGTGTGATCAGCCCCCTCCTTACTACTTAAATCAAACACACCTCATGACCGGGTGTGTGATCAGCCCCCTCCTTACTACTTAAATCAAACACACTCCATGACCGGGTGTGTGATCAGCCCCCTCCTTACTACTTAAATCAAACACACTCCATGACCGGGTGTGTGATCAGTCCCCCCCTCCTTACTACTTAAATCAAACACACTGCATGACCGGGTGTGGGATCAGTCCCCTCCTTACTACTTAAATCAAACACACTGCATGACCGGGTGTGGGATCAGTCCCCTCCTTACTACTTAAATCAAACACACTGCATGACCGGGTGTGGGATCAGTCCCCTCCTTACTACTTAAATCAAACACACTGCATGACCGGGTGTGTGATCAGTCCCCCCCTCCTTACTACTTAAATCAAACACACTGCATGACCGGGTGTGGGATCACCCCCCTCCTTACTACTTAAATCAAACACACTGCATGACCGGGTGTGGGATCAGCCCCCTCCTTACTACTTAAATCAAACACACTCCATGACCGGGTGTGTGATCAGCCCCCTCCTTACTACTTAAATCAAACACACCTCATGACCGGGTGTGTGATCAGCCCCCTCCTTACTACTTAAATCAAACACACTGCATGACCGGGTGTGGGATCAGTCCCCTCCTTACTACTTAAATCAAACACACTCCATGACCGGGTGTGGGATCAGCCCCCTCCTTACTACTTAAATCAAACACACTCCATGACCGGGTGTGTGATCAGCCCCCTCCTTACTACTTAAATCAAACACACTGCATGACCGGGTGTGGGATCAGCCCCCTCCTTACTACTTAAATCAAACACACTCCATGACCGGGTGTGTGATCAGCCCCCTCCTTACTACTTAAATCAAACACACTCCATGACCGGGTGTGTGATCAGTCCCCCCCTCCTTACTACTTAAATCAAACACACTGCATGACCGGGTGTGGGATCAGTCCCCTCCTTACTACTTAAATCAAACACACTCCATGACCGGGTGTGTGATCAGCCCCCTCCTTACTACTTAAATCAAACACACCTCATGACCGGGTGTGTGATCAGCCCCCTCCTTACTACTTAAATCAAACACACTGCATGACCGGGTGTGGGATCAGTCCCCTCCTTACTACTTAAATCAAACACACTCCATGACCGGGTGTGGGATCAGTCCCCCTCCTTACTACTTAAATCAAACACACTCCATGACCGGGTGTGTGATCAGCCCCCTCCTTACTACTTAAATCAAACACACTGCATGACCGGGTGTGGGATCAGCCCCCTCCTTACTACTTAAATCAAACACACTCCATGACCGGGTGTGTGATCAGCCCCCTCCTTACTACTTAAATCAAACACACTCCATGACCGGGTGTGTGATCAGTCCCCCCCTCCTTACTACTTAAATCAAACACACTGCATGACCGGGTGTGTGATCAGTCCCCTCCTTACTACTTAAATCAAACACACTGCATGACCAGGTGTGTGATCAGTCCCCTCCTTACTACTTAAATCAAACACACTGCATGACCGGGTGTGGGATCAGCCCCCTCCTTACTACTTAAATCAAACACACTGCATGACCGGGAGTGTGATCAGCCCCCTCCTTACTACTTAAATCAAACACACTGCATGACCAGGTGTGTGATCAGCCCCCTCCTTACTACTTAAATCAAACACACTGCATGACCGGGTGTGTGATCAGCCCCCTCCTTACTACTTAAATCAAACACACTCCATGACCGGGTGTGTGATCAGTCCCCTCCTTACTACTTAAATCAAACACACCTCATGACCGGGTGTGTGATCAGTCCCCTCCTTACTACTTAAATCCAACACACCTCATGACCGGGTGTGGGATCAGTCCCCTCCTTACTACTTAAATCCAACACACCTCATGACCGGGTGTGGGATCAGTCCCCTCCTTACTACTTAAATCAAACACACCTCATGACCGGGTGTGTGATCAGTCCCCTCCTTACAACTTAAATCAAACACACCACATGACCGGGTGTGGGATCAGTACCTCCCCTCTCCGCTCCGCCTTACTACTTTTCAGAGTATTTGGAGTTATCAGGTCTTTGATCACTCAAGAAATAAAAGAAGCCTCATAATCTCTTGGTTATTAAAAATGTGTGCTTTCAGCTAAGTGCAGTGGCTCACACCTTTAATTCCAGCACTTTGGGAGGCGGAGGTAGGTGGATCACCTGAAGGCGGGAGTTCAAGACCAGCCTGGCCAGCATGGTGAAACCCTGTCTCTACTAAAAATACAAAAATTAGCCAGGCTTGGTGGTGTGCGCCTGTAGTCCCAGCTAGTTGGGAGGCTAAGACAGGAGAATTGCTTGAACCCAGGAGGCAGAGATTGCAGTGAGCCGAGATTGCACCACTGCACTCCAGCCTGGGTGACAGAGCGAGACGCCATCTCAAAAAAAAAAAAAAAAAAAATGAGTGCTTTCAAAGTGGTTGCTGATGCCACTCTCAATGCCAGCATTGCTATGAAGGGAATCTTTTAAGAGGTTTTAATACCAAATCTCCCAGCTTAGGTCTGGATTTGAGTATAAACAGTAACTTAGACAATTTAGTATTTGACATTCCTTTAATTCTAGGGAAAAATCAACAGAATGGCATTTCCCAAAGCAATCTTTGACTAACTTTGAGTTTTAATATTGGCCTAATGAATGTTGAGTGTGTTTTGATCGATGGTTACCATCCCCAGGCACAAAGCCCTGGTGTCAAATGCATTACCCTACTTGCTCCCCACGTAAGTCACAGTGATGCCTATTTTCCAATGTGGTGCCAAAGCAGAAACTGCAGTGAGGGGCAAGACACTGGCCTGGGAATCAACTTATTTTGGAAAACACTGAATGAAAGGTAAGGTTAAGCTGCTTTTCTTTGCTGAAGGAGATCTTAGAGCCTTAAATACACTCATGGACTTATAGCCAAGAAGTTTTAGCTCTCCAAGAGTGGAATGCAGAGTGCACAGTTCCCAAAAATAGTCGACCCCAGAGCTCGTCTTAGGAAACCCTGAACTTTGTGATGACTACAACACTTTGGTGTGGTTGGGTGCCAACACCCAACCATTCCCCACGATTCCCCGGGTGACACTCAGACACTTGAAGCAGGTGAACCTCCCACCACTTCATCAGCTAAGGTGCTGCCTTCCCGGTCTCTCGTTTGTGGGCACCCCCGTGTCCCCCCAGAGTGGCATGTGTAAGTGTCCTGGGGCCGCCATGACAAATGACCACAAGTTGGGGGCTTTCAACACAGAAATTCATCCTCTCACAGTTCTGGGACGAGAAGTCCAAGATCAAGGTGTTTGCAGCCACGCTCCCTCTGGAGCCATGAGGGGGGTCCTTCCTTCCGTCAACCAGCGGCTGGTGGCTCCAAGCACTCCCTGGCATTGGTAGTCGCCTCCGTCCAACCCCCGCCTCCATCTTCACATGGCCATCTCCCCCGATGTGTCTCTGTGTATCCCTTCTTGTCTTATGAGGACACCAGTCACTGGGTTTAGGGTCCACCCTCCCCCACTATGATTTCATCTTAATGAATCACATCTGCAAAGACCCTCTTTCCACATAGGGCCACATTCACAGACTCAGACGGCTCATCCTGGAACTCATCTTTTGGTGGGACACAGCTGAGCCCACAACAGGCCCCTTCTTATATTAGGGCTCCCATTGGTCAGGGCCCTGGCAGGAAGCAGTGGGAGCACAGAAGCCTTTCACAGGAGCGTTCAGTGGCGGACTGCTCACAGAGGGACAGCAGGGCTATGGGAGCCAGTGGCGGCCGAGCCTCCCAGGGACCCAGCAAGAGCGGGGCTTGAGGGTCCTGCCGTCTGGATGGAGCAGTGGGTGGAGCAGAGGACAGAGGCTGACACACACAGTTGCCACCAGACCACACCGCAAGAAGAGATCGAGGGGACGCCACTGAAGCCCCTCCTCCTCCCCCACAGACCTCCTGCCCCCTGTCTCTGGGTCCACTTGGCCCTCAGAGGCCAGTGCGCCTCAGCAGTCAGCTTCCCGGGCATAGCACACGCAGAGGCAGACAATGCACCTGCAGGGACGAGGAGAACAACCAGCACGTCTCGCGCTCCTCAAGCCCAGGCTCTCTCCCTGGGAGTGCTCAAATTCAGGCTCTAAAGCAGAGCTTGCAGAATGGTGGGACGGGCCGACCTCAGCACGCTAGCCCGGATGAGTCCTGCCCACTATGCTCTGCTGTTCTTTTTAATTGGCTGGGTTATGAAATTGTGCCCCATTTACCCCCAAACCCAGATTTCCCACTTCTGCAAAGCAGACTAGATCTGGACCTGTTGGGCCTGCATTCCTGCACCGTCACCCTTGCTTGGAGCTGAGTCTCAGCTGTCCTCTGCACAAGTGCAGGGGTCCCATTTGCCAGTTCTCACCACTTCTGGTGCACCCTGAGTTCATGTGCTGTGGTCTGAATGTCCGTGTCCCTCCAAAATGCATACGCTGGAAGCCAGTCCCTAAGGTGATGGTGCTAGGATGTGGGGCTCCTGGAAGGGACTAGATCACAGGGCGGAACCCTCATAAAAATGTGATTAGGGGCCTTATAAAAGGGCCCGAGGGAGCTCATTCATCCCTTTCACCTCGTGAGACCACTGCCAGAAGGTGCTGGCCATGAGGGATGGTCCCTCACTGGACACCAGATCTTGCCACACTTTGATCTTGGACTTCCAGCCTCCAGAACTGTGAGCAATAGGTTCTGCTGCTTATAAATCACAGTCTCAGGTGTTTTTTTTACAGCACCCTGCACAGATGAAGGCGGTGTGTGCCGACTGTCTCATCGTTTCGCTTGGCCTGTTGCTTTTCCTTTAAGTCAAGTATCCTCACGCCTGGCTGCTTATGATACACTGTCCTTTAAGTCAGGTATCCTCAAGCCTGGCTGCTTACAATGCACTGCTCTGCGGATGTCTGTCTGTGAGTGCTGCTTTTGGGCACAGTGTTGATGTTTTTAGTACGTCAGTAGCTTTGGCTATTTCTGTTCTTATTTCCTGCACAAATAAAAGCAAGTAGGAGTCTCATGTTTTACAGCAATGCCTGCTATGTGGGCTCTGCACCTCTAGCTAAGGGGAGTCTGTAGACACCTGGGTGTTGTCAGGGTGACCTCCAGTCTGCAGCCACCTCTAAGAGTCCCCTCCACTGCAGGTGCCATTCCAGTCTATAATTACTCCCAATCTCTCAGCACCAACCTCTCTCCTAGCAGGAGCTGGGCTTTATTTTTTTTATTTATTTATTTTTATTGAGACGGAGTCTCGCTCTGTCACCCAGGCTGGAGTGCAGTGGCGTGATCTCGGCTCACTGCAACCTCCACCTCCCGGGTTCAAGTGATTCTCCTGCCTCAGCCTCCAAGTGGCTGGGATTACAGGCGCCCGCCACCAAACCTGGCTAATCTGTGTATTTTTAGTAGAGACAGGATTTCACCATGTTGGCCAGGCTGGTCTCGAACTCCTGACCTCAGGTTATCCACCCGACTCGGCCTCCCAAAGTGCTGGGATTACAGGCATGAGCCACTGTGCCTGGCCCCGGAGCTGAGCTTTAAAAACAAACAAAATATTCATATCAGGCTTGAGTTTCATTGTTTAATTTTCATGCTTATTTGTAGTCACCAAAGTATAGACATTTGTCAAACCAAAATGGGTTGTGAAGAGCTGAGCTTCCAAGCTGGAAGCCATGAGCTCACCTCCACATTGGAGCTTCCACCTGAGCACATGCTGCTGCAATTGGAAAGTGGGAATGAGAGCCTAATCCACAAGCGGGCGGCAATCTGGTGACTGTGCACACTCCACTGAGGGGCCAGGCCTTCCGGGCTTAGAAACAGCAGAGACAGCTGACCCCGATTAGAGGGACTGCTGTTATACGCATTCACAGGCACAACCAGGCTCAACACAGCTGCCCCAGGTGGAACACGCCAGGCCAGTCCGGGCTGCTGCCCAGGCTTCTTGGTGTTGTCGCCTGAGGCAAGACCCTTCTGTTCTGGAGTCACACAGCAATTGTCCCCTCCACAGCCCATAATGTCTCTCAATACCTGTCTACTCCAACTGAATCCTGCATGTTTCTTCTTCTTTTATTTGCACTTATATTTCCTCCAAATCCTTTGAGAAACAGACCCTGCCTGCTTGTAATATTACAACATGAAGAGGTTGGGGATTCAGCTCTCTGTTGTACGTAAGTGGCTACAAAAATCCCTCTGTGGCCTTCAGAAAGTTACCTGGTCTTTCTGAATCTGTTTTCCTATCTGGCCAAGGAGGAATAATAACTGTTACTCTACTCGTGCATGCTATTATAAACAACTTCAGAATATCTGAAGATTAGATTGTTATTATTTATACCCAGAACATGTTAGGCACTGCCAAGAACTGGGAAGGAGCTGGGATTTTACCCGTTACAAGCTAAGAGTTGGCCTGCACACGTTCAGGGATGCTGGCAGAAGATACGAGACTCCTGGGTCAGAGAGAAAGGACAGTCTATTACTCACACCACCAGCAGGAGCCAGCACCCCAGCACCTTGCAGCAGTTCCCACGGGGTGTGCGATGAGGACCAGGCAGGGCCTGCAAACTGCTGCAGGGCATGGGAGGAGCCTGGGCTTAGGGCCCCCGAGCCTTTTATAACAGGCACTGAGCTTGCCTGCCCTGTGCCCCAAAGGAAAACATCATTCCTGTCTTCCACGGCTGTGAGCAAGCCTGCCCATGGCTCCTGGGGAGACACTGTCTTCACCTTCCGAGGCTGCTTGCTACATAAACACCCTTGAAAAGATCATCCAGAACAAAGGGAACTCAGTGCCGGCTCAATGTGAGAAATCCTTTCAGAATTGTCTCCCAGAGGGAACTCAACCTGACTCCAAAAATGCCTTCATCTCATAGACAGACTCCACTCGTTTAACAAAATGGGTACAAGCATCTCTAATACAGCGAGATATTAAGTTAAAAAGCAAACTCTGACTTTCATTAGCTAGAAAGATATAGGGCCTTGTATCTAAAAATCTGAATCAATACACAGATTTATGACTCTTCTCCAGCGCATAACCCAAGTGTGATCGTCATGTCCATTTTCTCCTTTCCATTTTCTGTCATGAAACGTAACATGGAAAACCAAAGAAAGGAAAAACGGTGCAGTCACCTCGATGTTGTGGCTAGATTGGCTAAAACTGATATAATAACGGCATTAAAGTATCTCTCGCAAGCGTCATTGCCTAAGTCGCCTTCTCTGAGTGACATTGATGGGAAATTCCTTTCAAATGGATGACTTTTTATGTTGAATTAATTTGGTTTGCAAGAAAAAGACATGGAATCCAACAGCCGGCTGGATCAGGGGCGCGTCTTCAACAGTATCTCTCTCCGGAAAGTGTTGCTCTCCTTTCTATTGTGAAGAAAAATTTCTGCTGGAGGACGGGTGCCCTGTGAGCCGTGGCCACGGCTATGAGCCCACGGACCCACGAGAAAGCCAGTGTGGCTGGGCAGCAGGTCCTGCTCCCCCCGGCCCGTGGCCAGGCAGGTGCGCAGGGGCCGAGTCCTGCCCGTGGCTCCACCCAGCTCCAGCTCCGGGACCCGCGCGGGGAGTCAGGGCAGCGGGTCCTGGGCCGTGGCGCCTCCGTCTGCAGGGACTTCTTGTAATCACCAAGCAGCGCGGTTGTATTCTTCACAGTCCCCCACATTGGCGTGGCTGGAGCCTCCCATTCGAAGCTCAGATCTGGGCACTCACCGAGTATACTAACGTCTCACTAAAAGCTACCAGGGTTATTGATACAAATCAAATTATCCCGAACAATTCTGGTATGTTCCCAGAAAAGTATGGCTAAAAATAACTCAGCCGCCTATCTCTCCCTTGGTAGTAGGTTGCTGGTTTTCCGAATTTTCACTATGAAAAATAAAATACTTGAGGCCTCAAGAGCTGTTTTTAATTAAATTGCCAAGTTTCCCATTGAGGGTTATCTGCAAATTATGCTGCTTTCTTTTTTATGTGAAATGAGCATTGTTCCACGGGCAGCGTTGTGAAACCCAGCCCTGCAGAGGAGCCAGCAGCCTGGCAGGATGTGGACGCTGGAATCCCTGTCACCGTGATTCCACGCAGTATGAACACAGCCGAGTGGAGGGCGGGGCTGCTGGCCTTGGGTGGCTGACCTGGAGACTGGATGCTGTAACTCTGTCACCCTCGGTCAGAGGTAGAAGCACAGAGCCTTTGCTGATGCAGGTGACAATCTATTATCTTCGAGAAACTTGAACTGCTTTGAAGACCGGAAGTGGTTCTATAATTTATTGGATGGTAAGCCCGACCAGAACTAGTGGGGGTATTTATAGTATGTATGTGTGTGTCCTATATATATCCTGTATATGTACACACACAGACACACATATGTATACACACACATACATCTAACATCCTATATATACACATACATATGTATAAATACACATATACACACATAGGTACATACACACAATGTATATACATGCATAGACACACCTATACATGCACATAAACATACACATATATACATGTATACATACACTCGAACATTGGGATATAATTGATAAACCCATCAAAAGTTGAAAATATCGTAAGCTGGGAATGATTTTAATACACCTCACCTACCGAACATTCTGCCTTAGCCTCGCCTACCTTCGACTTGCTCAGAACTCTGACCTAGGCCACAGCTGGGCAAAATCACTCGGCAGCAAAATCACCTGGCAGCATGGTCAGTGCTCGCAGAGAGCAGTGGATCCTGGTGGCACGTGGCTGACTGGGGACTTCAGCTTTCTGCTGCAGAGAGGAGCCTGGGAAAAGACCAAAATCCAAAAGTCAAGGTATTGCTTCTACTGAATATGTATCACTTTCACACCATGGTAAAGGAGAAAAATTGTAAGTTAAGGCCAGGCACCATGGCTGATGCCTGTAATCCCAGAACTTTGGCCAAGAAAGGAGGATCACTTGAGCCCAGGAGTTCGAGACCAGCCTGGGCAATATAGCAAGACCCTGTCTCTACAAAAAAATACAGAAATTAGCTGGGTGTGGCGGCTCACACCTGTAGCCCCAGCTGCATGGAGGCTAAAGTGGGACAATAGATTGAACAGGGAGGTCGTGACTGCAGTGAACCCTGATTGTGCCACTCTGCACTCCAGCTTGGGTGACAGGGCAAGACCCTGTCTCAAAAACAAAACTGTAAGTCGACCCATTGTAAGTTGGGGGCCATCTGTACACACGTGCGTACATATACACACATACATATACATATACACATACATGTATATAAACATATGCATATATGCATATACACACGTGTGTATATACCTACTTACATCAACCTAATGAAGGTGAGTATTTGCTAATGGTGAATATTCGTGTTTCCCTTCAGAAGTATATGACTGACTGTGACTGTGGGACGCTCCCAAGAGCCTCTGAACGTGTTACGTGGGACATGGAATGCACACTGCATTGCCTTTCTCATATTCAAAGTACGCTAGATTTTGGCAAGGTGCGGTGGCTCACGCCTGTAATCTCAGCACTTTGGGAGGCTGAGGCGGGTGGATCACGAGGTCAGGAGATCGAGACCATCCTGGCTAACACGGTGAAACCCCGTCTCTACCAAAAACACAAAAAATTAGCCAGGCGTGGTGGCAGGCACCTGTAGTGCCAGCTACTCAGGAGGCTGAGGCAGGAGAATGGCATGAACCCGGGAGGTGGAGCTTGCAGTGAGCCGAGATTGCACCACTGCACTCCAGCCTGGGCGACAGAGCAAGACTCCGTCTCCAAAAAAAAAAAGGGTATACTGGATTTCAAAGTGAAAGAATTCAGATTGGGCATGGTGGCTCACGCCTGTAATCCCAGTACTTTGGGAAGCCAAGGTGGGAGGAGTCTAAGAGTTCAAGATCAGCCTGGGCAGCAGGGCGAAATCTCGCCTCTGCAAATAAAATGAAATAAAAATTAGGCGGGCATGGTGGTGCACGCCTGTGGTCCCATTTACTCAGGAGGTTGTGGTGAGAGGATTGCCCGAGCCCAGGAGGTTGAGGCTGCATTGAACTGTGACTGTGCCACTGCACTCCAGCCTAGGCGACAGAGTGAGACTCTGCCTCAAAAGAAAAACAAAAACGAAAAAACCAAAAAGGTGAAAGATTTCAATAAATGGTGGATTATTCCATGTTCACAAATTGTAAGGATTTGGTCTATAGATGGATTCAGTGCAATACGATGGAAATCCAGATTGCTATTTTATAAGTTGACGAGCAGGTTCTAAAATTTATATGGAAATGCAAAGATTCAAGAACAGCCAAGGCAATCCTGAAGACCAAGTTTGATGCTCACATCACTCAACGCCAAGACGTGACCCTAGTGCCATCGTGCAGGACAGTGTGATTTCAGCGAGACAAAGGACATGTGGGGCAGAATGAAGAGTCGGGAAACACACATACCCACATATGAATACTTGATTTATGACCAATTAACCTTGCAGAGCAGCAAGGGAAGGGTGGTGGTTTTGATCCACGGTGCTGGTCATTGGGATAACCACAGGACAAAACTGGAAACTTGGCCCTTGTGCCACCCCATACCAAAAAAAAAAATTCAACCCCAGGTGAATTGTAGGCCTAAATGTGAAAAGTAAATAATAAAGCTTCTAGAAAATCACATAGGACAAAGTATCTTTATGGGCTCAGTGAAGATTCTTCAAAACAGATTATAAAAAATATTAAAAACAAAAAATTGATCAAAATTAAGATCTTCTGTTAATTAAAAGACACAGTAGAGTGAAAAGACAAGCAGCAGGATGAGCAATGACACGACAAGCACACACCAAAGCACACACCACTGACTTCTGCTTTCAGGAAGGTGAGTGAACACACATTTTCTTCTCCCTCTCACTAAATACAGCTGAAATCCCTGGATATCACATGTAAAACAAACCCAAGAAGACTCTGGAAGGTGGGGAGACAAAAGCAGACAGGTTGGGAGCTCAGGACCTGAGGAATGGGGCAGAGCCTCCCCTAGGTTCTCTCAGACGTGGGGATGAGAAGCTGGTAGCAGAAAAGCCCAGGCACAGACAAAAAAAGGATTAACAAAAGCCTGTATTCTCCAGCCTAAGGGCCAGGAAAGGGGCTACCCAGCATGAGAGAAAATTTTCAGACCATCTACCAGCTACTTCAACGAAATTCTGTCCCTACCCCTAACCACACCTGCAGCCTCCCTCACAAGACTGCAACGAGGATCCCAGTATCCCACCAGTGTGGTTTCAAACAAGGACCTTCCTTCCTGCCAGCTAAAGATGAGGACCCCACCCTGCCGTGGCAGCAGAGAGCATGTGGGGAGCCTGACGTCCACCCCCACTGGCAGCAACAGAGGCCCCCTCCTACTCCATACTAGGAGAGTCTGGACTTTCTCCAGCCCCTAGTGGTGATATGGACAAATACCACCATCACCCCCTACCCATTTCACTCTCCCGCCGCCACCATGGTGCCAGCAGTGATCATGCTGGGAGCCAGGACTGCCACAGCTGTTCAGCATAACAATGACACCCCCCATGCCCCAATCTCAGGCATCAACAGAGGCTGTGTGGGGAACTGGACTCCTGCCCCCACCCGGCAGGAACAAGGGGGCACCTCCACTCCTGTTGCTGGAGTGCTGTCAGAAAAAATCAGTTACAAGAGAAGGTTTAAATAAGATCCAGAGTCTCCTAACATGATGTGAAAGGGTCCAGGTTTCAATCTAAAGTCACTTGTGGCCAGCTGCGGTGGCTCATGCCTGTAATTCCAGCACTTTGAGAGGCCAAAGAGGGTGGGTCACCTGAGGTCAGGACTTTAAGACCAGCCTGGCCAACATGATGAAACCCTGTCTCTACTAAAAAAAAAGAAAAAAAAAAGTACAAAAAATGGCTAGGCATGGTGGCATGTGCCTGTCGTTCCAGCTACTTGGGAAGCCGAGGCAGGAGAATCACTTGAACCTGGGAGGTGGAGGCTACAGTGAGCTGAGATTGGGCCACTGTACTCCAGCCTGGCCAACAGAGTAAGACTCCATCTCAAAAAATAAAAAAATAAAAATAAAGTCACTTGTCACAGCAAGAACCAGGAAAATCTCAAACTATGAGAAAAGGACAATCAACAGAGGCCAAGCTGAGAGGGCAGAGATGTTAAAATCCTGACAATGATTTTATAGCATCCATGATAAAATGCTTCAACAGGCAATTGCAAATATGCTTGAAACAAATGAAAAAAACAAAAAACAAAAAACAGAAAATCTTTTTTTTTTTTTTTTGAGATGGAGTCTTGCTCTGTCGCCAAAGCTGGAGTGCAATGACACAATCTCAGCTCACTGCAACCTCCACTTCCCGGGTTCAAGCAATTCTCCTGCCTCAGCCTCCTGAGTAGCTTGGATTACAGGTGCCCACCACCGTGCCCGGCTAATTTTTGTATTTTTTAAAGATGGGGTTTCACCGTCTTGGTCAGGCTGGTCTCAAACTCCTGACCTCAGGTGATCCACCCACCTCAGCCTCCCAAAGTGCTAGGATTACAGGCGTGAGCCACTGTGCCTGGCAAAAAACAAAAAATCTTGACAAAGAAATAGAAGATATAAAGAAGAATCAAACAAATTTTAGAACTGAAAAATATAAAAGCCAAATAAAAAGCTCAGTCAATGGTCTCAACAGCAAAATGGAGGGTGAAGAAAAAAGAATTAGTAAAATGGAAGATAGAATAAGAGAAATTACCCAACCTGAACAATAAAGACAAAATAGACTGAAAAAAAAGAACCTGAGACACCTGTGAGATGATAAGAAAAGATCTAACACTCCCATCAAGAGAGTACCAGAAGGAAAAGCAAGAGTGGGACTAAAAAAATACTGAAAGAAATAATGGCTGAAAATTTTCTAATTTGATGAGACGACCTACAGATTCAAGAAGCTGGAAAAACCTCAAACAGGGTAAGCCCAAATCCACACTAAGCTATGTCATAATTAAACTTTTGGAAACTAAAGACAAAAAGCTTTGAAAGCAGCCAGAGAAAAACAGAACTTCACTTATAGGAGAAAACAATTTAAATGATAGCAGATTTCTCATCAAAAAACACGGAGGCCTGAAGAAAGCAGCAAAATATTTTTCAGGTGCTGAAAGAAAAGAACCATCAACTCAGAATTCTATTCCCAGCATGAAACCATGACCAAAATCAGGACGATGAATAGATTCATAGCCACAAAAGTTGTTTAACAACCTTTGTAATCATGCCATCCTCCTCCCTCCTCACCCAGTTCTCAATTGCTTATCTTCTCTCTGTTGCTAAATATTCATTTGCATTTACTTGAATTTTATATAAAGGAAATACAGTATTTTTTTAAGGAATCCTGTGCCCAGAAAAAAAATGTTCTTCAGGAACCAAGGGGAAATCAACTTTGTCAGATGAAGATGAACTAAGAAAGTTTGTTGCAAGTAGGCTTACTCTAAAAGAATGGCTAAATGAATTTTTATAAATAGAAATGGAATGACATAAGAAATAACCTTGAATCATCGGGAAGAAAGAACATGGTAAGCCAAAATATGAGTAAATATAATAGGCTTTCATTCTCCTCTTAAGCAAATTATATTCGACTGTTGAAGTAAGTATAACATTGTCTGATGTGGCTGTAAATAGGTAGAGAAGAAATATTTAAGAAAATTACATTATAAATGGTGGATGTTAAAGAGAAGTACTGGCCGGGCATGGCGGCTCACTTGTGTAATCCCAGCACTTTGGGAGGCCCAGGTGGGTGGATCACTTGAGGTCAGGAGTTCAAGACCAGCCTGGCTAACATGGTGAAACCCCATCTCTACTAAAAATACAAAAATTAGCTGGGTGTGGGTGGGTGCCTGTAATCCCAGCTACTTGGGAGGCTGAGGCAGGAGAATCCCCTGAACCTGGGAGGCAGAGGTTGCAGTGAGCCAAGATTGTGCCACTGCACTCCAGCCTGGGTGACAGAGTGAGACTCCATCTCAAAAATAAATAAATAAATAAATAAAAATAAAATAAAGGGATGGCCGGGCACAGTGGCTCATGCTTGTAATCCCAGCACTTTGGGAGGCCAAGGTGAGCAGATCACAAGGTCAGGAGTTCAAGACCAGGCTGGCCAAGATGGTGAAACCCCATCTCTACTAAATACAAAAATTAGCTGGGTGTGGTGGTGGGCACCTGTAATCCCAGCTACTTGGGAGGCTGAAGCATAGAATTGCTTGAACCCAGGAGGTGGAGGTTGCAGTGAGCTGAGATCATGCCACTGCACTCCAGCCTGGGCAACAGAGCAGGACTCCGTCTCAAAAATATAAAAAATAAAAATAAGAAAATAAAGGAATGTACTACTGGGAGATAAGATTGCTATACTCCAACTGAACTGGTAAAATGAGAACACCAATAGACTGTGATCACTAGACATATATAATGTAATACCTAGAGCTGTCACCAAACAAGCTATACAAAGAGATACACTCAAAACATTACAGATAAATCCAAATGGAATTCTACAAAATCCCCATGCCTAAGCACCCACCAATCTGCTCTTTGTTTCTTTGGATTTGCCTATTCTGGAAATATTATACAAATAAATCCATACAATACAAGGCCTTTCACGACTGGCTTCTTTTACTCAGCATAAGTTTTGTCTGCATTGTAGCAGGTACCAGTGCCTCATTCCTTTTCATGGTGAGTAACATTCCACTATGTGGATATACCACATTTTGTAACCCATTCATCAGGATGAACATTTGGGTTGTTTTCACCTTTTGATTATTATTACTAATGCTTCTATACATATTCATGTACAAGTTTTCGTGTGGACATATTTCTTTTCTCATGGGTATATCCCAAGGGGTGGAATAGGTATGTTAAATGATGTCTACATTTCACCCTTTAAGGAACTGCCAGACTGCTTTCCAAAGCAAAGGCACCATTTTGCATTCCCACCAGCAGTATATGTGAGTTCCAATTTCTCTCCATCTTTGCCAACACTTGTTATTGTCTGTCTTTCTCACTGTAGTCATCCTGATGAGTGTAAACTGTTGCCTCATTATGACTTTGATTGGCATTTTCCTAATGGCCAATGTTGAGCATCCTCTCATGTGCATGTTGACCATTTCCACATCTTCTTTGGACAAATGTCTATTCAAGTCTTTTGCCCGTTTGTTATTTGGGTCATTTATCTTCTTATTAGTGAGTTGTAGGGTTCTTTATATTTTCTAGATGCAAATCCCTTGTTAGACATATGGTTTTCAAATATTTCTTTTTCCATTCTGTGGGTTGTGTTTTTGCTTTCTCAATAGCGACCTTTAAAACACGAAAGTTGTAAATTTTGCCATAATTCAATTTTTCCATAGAAATCGTAGAGCTTGAATTTCTTTCATGTTCATTCCTTCCAATCCTATAATTCAACCACATAAATTAGTAAAGGCCCACAGGATAACAGACCTGAGAGAAACAAAACTGGGACTTGGAATTCAGAAAAGTGAGCTGTGATGTGAAAATAATGCCTGGCAGGGCTGGTTGGAATGATCTCTGGGCGACTGACACTTGTCTCTGGGGGCTGAGGCAGTGGCGTTGACGAGTGTGTAGAGGGAGGCAGGAGAGCCGCAGCTGAGTCCGCAGGTGCTCTCTGCTGACAGTGCTGTCCTGGAATGTGCACGGTGAGCACGTGCAGGCATGTAGGCTGTGGTCTGCCACTTGCTGGGTCTGACGGATCTTCAGCAAATGCTTCTCACTCAAGCAATGGTGCCCCCTCACTTCACGCCTCAGCCTACATAAAATTATGAAATGAGATGGGTGAGAATGTGATGATCTCTTCAACTTTTAAATCCCATGGCTGTGTCTGGGACCTTCTGAAGGAAACACAAGTCATCTTCTGTTTAGTTGTCCCAACAGCCACATCCTCATATTCCTAGGTGGCTGAGAGCCAGTGTGAAAAGAATGTGTGCCTAGTTGCCCACATTTCGCATTCCTGAACAATTATTTGTTGACATCATAGGAAGAGCCCAATTTTCATACTTTAATCAACATAATCAAGATTGACAAAAGCAGGTTTCACGATTACTTTTTTTTTTTTTTTGAAATGGAGTCTCACTCTGTTGCCCAGGCTGGAGTGCAGTGGCACGATCTTGGCTCACTGCAACCTCCGCCTCCTGGATTCAAGCGATTCTCCTGCCTTCCGCCTCCTGAGTAGCTGGGATAACAGGCATGCACCACCAGACCCAGCTAATTTTTGTATTTTTAGTAGAGATGGGGTTTCACTATGTTGGTCAGGCTGGTCTCTAACTCCTGACCTCGTGATCCGCCTGCCTCGGCCTCCCAAAGTGCTGGGATTACACAAGTGAGCCACTGTGCCCGGCCAGTACATCTCTTTAACATCCACCATTTATAATGTAATGAGTCTTTATTAACCAGGCACACGTAACCAAGTATTTGGTTAGTGCACAAATAATTTTTGCCAACATAATAAAATATGATGCACGGATGGAGGACAAATCCTGCGATTCCCACATGGTCTGAAATTTCCACTTTGGCCACAGGGCTGACAAAGGTCAACATTTCTGTTTCAAGGCAAAGACTGTTGTCTCATGCCCCAGCTCCAGCCCTGGGCCAGAGGGTTGGGTAGACAACTGTATTAGTCCGTGCTCTCACTGCTATGAAGAACCACCTGAAACTGGGTAATTTATGAAGAAAAGAGGTTTAACTGGCTCATGGTTCCTCAGACTGTACAGGAATCATGGCTGGGGAGGCCTCAGGAAACTTACAGTCATGGCGGAAGGCAAAGAAGAAGCCGGCATGTCTTCACATGGCCGGAGAAGGAGGAAGAGAGTGAAGCGGGAGGTGCCACACACTTTTCAACAACCAGATCTCACGAGAACTCACTCACCATCACAGGAACAGCAAGGGGGAAAGCCACCTCCATGATCCCATCACCTCCTCCCAGGCCCCTCCTCCAACATTGGGGATGACAATTCAACATGAGATTTGGGCGGGGACACACATCCAAACCATATCAACAATGCTGAGCCCCGCCTCCTACCTGGTGAGACCCCGACCCCTGGCAGAGGACCATGCCTTCCTCCCTGCATGTTCTCAGAAAAGAACCCATCATCGTCTTCATTTTAGGGGTTTTTTACAAATTATATGTGTTTCGCCACAAGGGTTTCTGAACTTCACATTTTTATTTTTTACTAGGAAATTAAAAAGAAAAATTTCCCCTTGAAGAACTCCCACTTTTAAAAGTTTTTTCCTTTCAAATTTTGATACTATTCATGTTCATTGTAGAACACATGGCAAATATAAATAAAAATAAAAAGGAGTAAAATCATCCCAAGTCCCACTACTGTTAAATATTTTGGCTAACATTTGTGTGCATTTCTTTCCAGTCTTTCTTGATATATACATTACCTACATATAAACAGATCCCCACGTGACATAATTAGGGCAATATCATGCTGGGCCTAGAGTTTTGTTTCTTGCTTTAGGGGTCTAGTTCTAAAAACATGCACTGCTGTCGGGCCTGTGCTGATTGCTTCTGCGGTGCGTTCTGTGGTGTGGGTATAGATCGAGGTGCTCCCCATGGTTGCCATGATCACACCAGGAAGGTTGTTGTGTTTATATGGGGCTCTGTAATGATGTGATCCTACTACAAGAAGCTAAAATGTGCTTATCCAGCTCCCACTGGGCTGGCCAAAAGGTAAAAATAAAAAAGTGCAGTGATTGCACGGGTTTCTCTGTTTTCGTTTTTTAATTTCTGAAGGCTTTCCATTCCACAAGCACTTATAGGGCTTACCTTATATAATACTTCATACAATACTCGCACTGTTCTAAGAACTTCAGAAATCATGAGTCATTTATTCCTTCTAACAACCTATAAAATTGGGACTATTATTATCCCCATCTTACAGATGAAGAAAGCAAGTGATAAAGAAGTGAAATACTTTGGCTAGGGTCACCAAAGGAGAAAGTGGTGGAGATGAAATTCAAACTCAGGCATCCTGGTTCTAGATTCAGTCCTCATGGCTGCCATGTCTCATAGCCTTCCACAACTCTCACCCTCCACCCAGGCATCCTGGTTCTAGATTCAGTCCTCATGGCTGCCATGTCTCATAGCCTTCCATGACTCTCACCCTCCACCCAGGCATCCTGGTTCTAGATTCAGTCCTCATGGCTGCCATGTCTCAGAGCCTTCCATGACTCTCACCCTCCACCCAGGCATCCTGGTTCTAGATTCAGTCCTCATGGCTGCCATATCTCAGAGCCTTCCACAACTCTCACCCTCCACCCAGGCATCCTGGTTCTAGATTCAGTCCTCAAGGCTGCCATGTCTCATAGCCTTCCATGACTCTCACCCTCCACCCAGGCATCCTGGTTCTAGATTCAGTCCTCATGGCTGCCATGTCTCAGAGCCTTCCATGACTCTCACCCTCCACCCAGGCATCCTGGTTCTAGATTCAGTCCTCATGGCTGCCATGTCTCATAGCCTTCCATGACTCTCACCCTCCACCCAGGCATCCTGGTTCTAGATTCAGTCCTCATGGCTGCCATGTCTCAGAGCCTTCCATGACTCTCACCCTCCACCCAGGCATCCTGGTTCTAGATTCAGTCCTCATGGCTGCCATGTCTCAGAGCCTTCCACAACTCTCACCCTCCACCCAGGCATCCTGGTTCTAGATTCAGTCCTCATGGCTGCCATGTCTCATAGCCTTCCACGACTCTCACCCTCCACCCAGGCATCCTGGTTCTAGATTCAGTCCTCATGGCTGCCATGTCTCATAGCCTTCCATGACTCTCACCCTCCACCCAGGCATCCTGGTTCTAGATTCAGTCCTCATGGCTGCCATGTCTCATAGCCTTCCATGACTCTCACCCTCCACCCAGGCATCCTGGTTCTAGATTCAGTCCTCATGGCTGCCATGTCTCATAGCCTTCCACGACTCTCACCCTCCACCCAGGCATCCTGGTTCTAGATTCAGTCCTCAAGGCTGCCATGTCTCAGAGCCTTCCACGACTCTCACCCTCCACCCAGGCATCCTGGTTCTAGATTCAGTCCTCATGGCTGCCATATCTCAGAGCCTTCCACAACTCTCACCCTCCACCCAGGCATCCTGGTTCTAGATTCAGTCCTCATGGCTGCCATGTCTCAGAGCCTTCCACGACTCTCACCCTCCACCCAGGCATCCTGGTTCTAGATTCAGTCCTCATGGCTGCCATATCTCAGAGCCTTCCACAACTCTCACCCTCCACCCAGGCATCCTGGTTCTAGATTCAGTCCTCATGGCTGCCATGTCTCATAGCCTTCCACAACTCTCACCCTCCACCCAGGCATCCTGGTTCTAGATTCAGTCCTCATGGCTGCCATGTCTCATAGCCTTCCATGACTCTCACCCTCCACCCAGGCATCCTGGTTCTAGATTCAGTCCTCATGGCTGCCATGTCTCATAGCCTTCCACAACTCTCACCCTCCACCCAGGCATCCTGGTTCTAGATTCAGTCCTCATGGCTGCCATATCTCAGAGCCTTCCACAACTCTCACCCTCCACCCAGGCATCCTGGTTCTAGATTCAGTCCTCATGGCTGCCATGTCTCATAGCCTTCCATGACTCTCACCCTCCACCCAGGCATCCTGGTTCTAGATTCAGTCCTCATGGCTGCCATGTCTCATAGCCTTCCATGACTCTCACCCTCCACCCAGGCATCCTGGTTCTAGATTCAGTCCTCATGGCTGCCATGTCTCAGAGCCTTCCACGACTCTCACCCTCCACCCAGGCATCCTGGTTCTAGATTCAGTCCTCAAGGCTGCCATGTCTCATAGCCTTCCATGACTCTCACCCTCCACCCAGGCATCCTGGTTCTAGATTCAGTCCTCATGGCTGCCATATCTCAGAGCCTTCCATGACTCTCACCCTCCACCCAGGCATCCTGGTTCTAGATTCAGTCCTCAAGGCTGCCATGTCTCATAGCCTTCCATGACTCTCACCCTCCACCCAGGCATCCTGGTTCTAGATTCAGTCCTCATGGCTGCCATGTCTCATAGCCTTCCATGACTCTCACCCTCCACCCAGGCATCCTGGTTCTAGATTCAGTCCTCATGGCTGCCATGTCTCATAGCCTTCCATGACTCTCACCCTCCACCCAGGCATCCTGGTTCTAGATTCAGTCCTCATGGCTGCCATGTCTCATAGCCTTCCATGACTCTCACCCTCCACCCAGGCATCCTGGTTCTAGATTCAGTCCTCAAGGCTGCCATGTCTCATAGCCTTCCATGACTCTCACCCTCCACCCAGGCATCCTGGTTCTAGATTCAGTCCTCATGGCTGCCATGTCTCAGAGCCTTCCATGACTCTCACCCTCCACCTAGGCATCCTGGTTCTAGATTCAGTCCTCATGGCTGCCATGTCTCAGAGCCTTCCACGACTCTCACCCTCCACCCAGGCATCCTGGTTCTAGATTCAGTCCTCATGGCTGCCATGTCTCATAGCCTTCCACAACTCTCACCCTCCACCCAGGCATCCTGGTTCTAGATTCAGTCCTCATGGCTGCCATGTCTCATAGCCTTCCATGACTCTCACCCTCCACCCAGGCATCCTGGTTCTAGATTCAGTCCTCAAGGCTGCCATGTCTCATAGCCTTCCATGACTCTCACCCTCCACCCAGGCATCCTGGTTCTAGATTCAGTCCTCATGGCTGCCATATCTCAGAGCCTTCCATGACTCTCACCCTCCACCCAGGCATCCTGGTTCTAGATTCAGTCCTCATGGCTGCCATGTCTCATAGCCTTCCATGACTCTCACCCTCCACCCAGGCATCCTGGTTCTAGATTCAGTCCTCATGGTTGCCATATCTCAGAGCCTTTCACAGCTCTCACCCTCCACCCAGGCATCCTGGTTCTAGATTCAGTCCTCATGGCTGCCATGTCTCATAGCCTTCCACAACTCTCACCCTCCACCCAGGCATCCTGGTTCTAGATTCAGTCCTCAAGGCTGCCATGTCTCATAGCCTTCCACAACTCTCACCCTCCACCCAGGCATCCTGGTTCTAGATTCAGTCCTCATGGCTGCCATGTCTCATAGCCTTCCATGACTCTCACCCTCCACCCAGGCATCCTGGTTCTAGATTCAGTCCTCATGGCTGCCATGTCTCATAGCCTTCCACGACTCTCACCCTCCACCCAGGCATCCTGGTTCTAGATTCAGTCCTCATGGCTGCCATGTCTCATAGCCTTCCACGACTCTCACCCTCCACCCAGGCATCCTGGTTCTAGATTCAGTCCTCATGGCTGCCATGTCTCATAGCCTTCCATGACTCTCACCCTCCACCCAGGCATCCTGGTTCTAGATTCAGTCCTCATGGCTGCCATATCTCAGAGCCTTCCACGACTCTCACCCTCCACCCAGGCATCCTGGTTCTAGATTCAGTCCTCATGGTTGCCATATCTCAGAGCCTTCCACAACTCTCACCCTCCACCCAGGCATCCTGGTTCTAGATTCAGTCCTCATGGCTGCCATATCTCAGAGCCTTCCACAACTCTCACCCTCCACCCAGGCATCCTGGTTCTAGATTCAGTCCTCATGGCTGCCATGTCTCATAGCCTTCCATGACTCTCACCCTCCACCCAGGCATCCTGGTTCTAGATTCAGTCCTCAAGGCTGCCATATCTCAGAGCCTTCCACGACTCTCACCCTCCACCCAGGCATCCTGGTTCTAGATTCAGTCCTCATGGCTGCCATATCTCAGAGCCTTCCACAACTCTCACCCTCCACCCAGGCATCCTGGTTCTAGATTCAGTCCTCATGGTTGCCATATCTCAGAGCCTTTCACAGCTCTCACTCTCCACCCAGGCATCCTGGTTCTAGAAGCAGTCTTCCCCTCTGCAATGTCTCAGAGCCTTCCAGGGGACTGCGACCCTCCACCCAGGCATCCTGGTTCTAGAAGCAGTCCTCCCCTCTGCAATGTCTCAGAGCCTTCCAGGGGACTGTCACCCTCCACCCAGGCATCATGGCTCCAGAAGCATTCCTTATGGCCACCATATCTCAGAGCCTTCCAGGGGACTGTCAGTTTCCACCCAGGCATCCTGGCTCCAGAAGCAGTCCTCCCCTCCGCCATATCTCAGAGCCTTCCAGGGGACTGTCAGTTTCCACCCAGGCATCCTGGCTCCAGAAGCAGTCCTCCCCTCCACCATATCTCAGAGCCTTCCAAGGGACTGCCACCCTCCACCCAGGCATTGTGGTTCCAGAAGCATTCCTCATGGCCACCATATCTCAGAGCCTTCCAGGGGACTGTCAGTTTCCACCCAGGCATCCTGGCTCCAGAGGCAGTCCTCCCCTCCACCATGTCTCAGGCCTTCCAGGGGATGTCACCCTCCACCCAGGCATCGTGGCTCCAGAAGCATTCCTCATAGCCCCCATATCTCAGAGCCTTCCAGGAGACTGTCAGTTTCCACCCAGGCATCCTGGCTCCAGAAGCAGTCTTCCACTCCGCCATGTCTCAGAGCCTTCCAGGGGATGTCACTCTCTATGTTCTTTCCAGTGGTGAGTGAGAGGGCTTGCTCCCTGCGATGGGTTTCTTTGAGTGGCCTTGTCATGTTCCCACCATGAGGACAAAATACTGAAGTTATTTATTTAATATGGATATTTAATATGGATTCAAGTAAATGGCATCTATATCCACAGGTGTTTGTGTAAGTGCTAGCAAACATAAGTTTAAATGTTCATGCATTATATTTTAATTTTATGGAAAATCATTTTGAAATAGTGTGGCTTCTTGTCATGAATCTGGCTGCCCCCATGTCTGGAGTTTTATTTTGTTTGTCTGATGTTTTGACATCATCCTTTCTTTTCTCTAGGGAGGGAAAGAGTTGTCAACATATGATTTTATGTTTTTGTATTACATTGAAAAATAACTTTGGTGCCTATTATCCAGCTGTTTGCTGAGAACAGGTGAGCACCGTACTTGAGGCTGGCTGGGCGCAGCTCACTGGGCAGGGAGCCCAGGCTGTGAGCTGCAGCCTCCATTCTGGTCTATGCTGCCTCTGTTTAATGGAGCAGTTACTTATACGTCTCAGTGGACAGAATCAAAGGGTGATCTGAATTTATTCCAGGCAATTTCTCCTTTTCTTTTTCTTAACTCATGAGTGTGAATATTCTTTAATGAGGATTTTTTTATTTTGAGATATTTTTGGTGTTAGGAGGACACTCTCCTTCCCTCCTTCCTGGGAGTGCTGAGCATTTGTGAACAGCTCCCTCTATGGAATGAAACATCCACAAAGTGCATCTGCAGCTTTTCACAACGAAAGGAGAAGGAAGAGGCTGGTGCACGCTCTGATAATAGTGGATAGTACTATATGCAAAGGTTCTTGTAGAAAGTACTGTATGCTAAGGTTCTCGTGGATGGTACTCTATGCTGAGGTTCTCGTGGATGGTACTCTATGCTGAGGTTCTCATGGATGGTACTCTATGCTAAGGTTCTCAGATGGTACTTTATGCTAAGGTTCTCATGGATGGTATGGTATGCTAAGGTTCTCGTGGATGGTACTCTATGCTAAGGTTCTCGTGGATGGTACTCTATGCTAAGGTTCTCGTGGATGGTACTCTATGCTAAGGTTCTCGTGGATGGTACTCTATGCTGAGGTTCTCGAGGATGGTACTCTATGCTGAGGTTCTCGTGGATGGTACTCTATGCTGAGGTTCTCGTGGATGGTACTCTATGCTGAGGTTCTCGTGGATGGTACTCTATGCTAAGGTTCTGATGGTACCACATGCTAAGGTTCTTGTGGATGGTACTCTATGCTAAGGTTCTCAGATGGTACTTTATGCTAAGGTTCTCATGGATGGTATGGTATGCTAAGGTTCTCGTGGATGGTACTCTATGCTAAGGTTCTCATGGATGGTACTCTATGCTAAGGCTCTGATGGTACTATATGCTAAGGTTCTCGTGGATGGTACTCTATGCTAAGGTTCTTAGATGGTACTTTATGCTAAGGTTCTCATGGATAGTACTGTATGCTAAGGTTCTCATGGATGGTACTCTATGCTAAGGTTCTCGTGGATGGTACTTTCTCATGGATGGTACTATACTGCTAAGGTTCTCGTGGCTGGTACTGCATGCTAAGGTTCTCGTGGATGGTACTTTCTCGTGGATAGTACTATACTGCTAAGGTTCTCGTGGATGGTACTCTATGCTAAGGTTCTCGTGGATGGTACTTTCTCGTGGATAGTACTATACTGCTAAGGTTCTCGTGGATGGTACTCTATGCTAAGGTTCTCACGGCTGGTACTTTCTCATGGATAGTACTATACTGCTAAGGTTCTCGTGGCTGGTACTGCATGCTAAGGTTCTTGTGGATGGTACTCTATGCTAAGGTTCTCGTGGATGGTACTTTCTCATGGATAGTACTATACTGCTAAGGTTCTCGTGGCTGCTACCCTATGCTAAGGTTCTCGTGGGTGGTACTGCATGCTAAGGTTCTTGTGGATGGTACTCTATGCTAAGGTTCTTGTGGATGGTACTTTCTCATGGATAGTACTATACTGCTAAGGTTCTCGTGGATGGTACTCTATGCTAAGGTTCTCGTGGATGGTACTTTCTTGTGGATGGTACTATACTGCTAAGGTTATCGTGGATAGTACTTTCTCGTGGATAGTACTATACTGCTAAGGTTCTCGTGGATGGTACCCTATGCTAAGGTTCTCGTGGATGGTACTTTCTGGTGGATAGTACTATACTGCTAAGGTTCTCGTGGGTGGTACTTTTTCATGGATAGTACTATACTGCTAAGTTTCTCATGGCTGGCACTGCATGCTAAGGTTCTCGTGGAACATCAGTATAGTCTGGGGACTGTGACATCATTCTGATGCCCTATCTTGCACTCTGTTGTCTCCTGTGAGGCAGACCTGATACATGACACGATGCTCAGCAACATAAATGTCTGAACTGAAGAGACGATGGAGAGGAGACGCCTTAGAGGAGACATGGCCATAAGTTGAGGCAATGGGTTGTGATCATCTCCAGCAGCTATTATCATTTACTAATGAGTCGGCACTCTGCTAAATGCTTTATTTGCATTCTGTTATTTAATTCTCACATAAATCTTTTGAAGTTAGTACTATTATCATCCCCACTCTTTGGATAAGGAAACCGATACTCCAAATTTAAAACCTGCTCAAGATCACATGGCTGCTAAGTGGAATGAAAGGGAGTAAAACCCAGAGGTCTCACTGCAGGGCATTAACTCTTAAACACTGAGCTGTGTTAGCTTCCCAAATTTCATAATGGTATCACTACTCCTTAAAATACATCTGAACATAAATTTGTCATGATCTTTGATGGGTATTAAGTTTCTGCAGTCAAAAATTTGCAGTAGAGTGAGAGTTATAATAAAAAATAAATGTGGTAAAAATAATACTAGGCTGGTGCAGTGGCTCACGCCTGTAATACTAGCACTTTGGGAGGCCAAGGCAGGCAAATCACTTGAGGTCAGGAGTTCGAGACCAGCCTGGTCAACATGGTGGAACCCTGTCTGTACTAAAAACACAAAAATTAGCTGGGCGTGGCAGCGCACACCTGTAATCCCAGCTACTTAGGAGGCTGAGGCATGAGAATCACTTGAACCTGGGAGGCAGAGGTTGCAGTGAGCCGAGATCGCACCACTGCACTCCAGCCTGGCGATAGAGCAAGACTGCATCTCAAAACAAAACAAAACAAAACAAAACAAAAAGGCAAACAAACAAAAAAAATGACGTATAATCCCTAGGGGGAATTCAAGTGAACAAGGGAGTCTGCGATGCAGAGCGGGAGCAACCTGTGCTGCTCACAGCACCCCCAAGCCACACTGCAATGAGGAGGAAGAGAGAGAAAAGCTTAACCATTCAACCCTGCAAGTACTTACTAAGCACCTCTTACAGCAGGTGCGGTGGTCACTGGAGAACACTAAGGAAAATTAGACACAGTTCCTTTCTGCAAAGAATGAATACAACAACTGCACAAATAACAAAATACAAATGTGACTGCCTTGCGTGAGAAGTTCTGCCACGTGCTGGGAGTTCAGAGGAGGAAGAGATGTCTAATGCAGAGGGTCCCCGAATGTGACCATGAGGCAGTGACATGCAAGGGGACTCGAGCCTGGATTTCAGCAGTGACCATGGAGGCAGTGACATCCAAGGGGACTCAAGCCTGGATTTCAGCGGTGACCATGGAGGCAGTGACATCCAAGGGGACTTGAGTCAGGATTTCAGAGGTGATCATGGAGGCAGTGACATCCAAGGGGACTCGAGCCAGGAGTTCAGCGGTGACCATGGAGGCAGTGACATCCAGGGGGACTTGAGTCAGGATTTCAGAGGTGATCATGGAGGCAGTGACATCCAAGGGGACTCGAGCCAGGAGTTCAGCGGTGACCATGGAGGCAGTGACATCCAAGGGGACTCGAGCCAGGATTTCAGTGGTGACTGGGAAAGGGGGGGCCCCAGAAACAAAGGCCTGGAGGTGACAAATCCCAGAGCAGCCAGGCCTGGCTTGGCTGGAAGGTCAGGGATGTAGAAGCACACCAAGGGCAGAGGCCTCAAAAGCTGAGGTGCGTCCTCCCCATGCTGATGAGCAGCCCCCACAGCCTAGCCCGGCCGTCAGCAATCTATGCTCTCTCTCTCTCTCTCTTTCTTTTTATTCTGGACGTTTCATATAAATGGAATCACACAATATGCAGTCTATAGAAGGATGAAGAGGGACTTTACCCAGAAACGTGGGAGTTCCCAGGAGGCTCCTGAAGGCAGTGAGACCCAAGGGGCGGGGTCAGTTGGACAGAGGGGCAGCAGCTGTCGTGCAGGGGCCTGGCCTATGGTGGCCACGCTCCCTGGGACAGTGGGAGGTGTCGCAGGAGGCCCCGTGGGCTGGTGGTTGAAGGAAGGTGTCAGCCACGCACCCAGAGCACAGCGGGGCATCAGGAGGATCTGAAACAGCGAATGATCTCCTTGCACCTTCTGTTTAGACGGCCACCCCAATCTGTAGACAATATCGAAGGGCCACAAAGGTGGACAAGGAAGGGAACGGGCCCTGAGGCTCCTTTTGTTGCCCGTGACTCCCAGACATAAGCAAATCTCAGCACCGAGGCTGCCGGCTCATCCTGCCTACTGCACAGCTTGGCCCAACCCTTTTCCTCTTTCCAGTTGCTTCAGCTCCACTTCCACTCAGAGCTTAAATATAATAGAAGAACGGGTTCTTAAGGTACAGTCCAGACTATTTACAACTAGCTAGCTAAAGATGGAAAATGAGACGATGTAATGATGTGTGGTTTGACACATAATAACAGAATGCTAGGCTGTAACCTTGCTTTTTTCTGATTTACATTTATATTGCAGAAGCTGACAACATCTGGAATAAGTAAACATTACATTTTCTGTCATGAAATATCTAAAAGCCACATACTAAAACTTTTAGTTTTTTAAAAAATGAAAGGCAGTAGAAACATCTTTGCATTCTGACATAAAGGAAACTTTGAATGCATCTGGACATTGTTTTACACAATTAATATGAAAATTTAATTTTGCCCTATGTAAACTTGCTCAGCTGTAAACAAACAAGCCATCATGGAGACTAGATCAAATAATAAGCTCGTTGACTCCACGCTAGAGTAAACAAGGACATCAGAGTAAGTCATAGCCCTACAGATGTTAGACAAAAGGAAGGATTTTTACGTCTTTATTGATGTAAATTACATACTGTAGGAGTCACCCATCTAAAGTCCACAACTTAATAGGTTAATATCTTCACAGAGTTATGTAGCCATCACCATGACTTCATTTTAGAGCATTTCCTTCACCCCAGAAAGAAACACCACACCGGCCAGGTGCGGTGGCTGACGCCTTAATCCCAGCACTGTGGGAGGCCGAGGCAGGTAGATCACGAAGTCAGGAGATAGAGACCATCCTGGCTAACATGGTGAAACCCCGTCTCTACTAAAAATACAAAAAATTAGCCAGGCGTGGCTGCGGGCACCTGTAGTCCCAGCTACTCAGGAGGCTGAGGCAGGAGAATGGTGTGAACCTGGGAGGCGGAGCTTGCAGTGAGCCAAGATCGCACCACTGCACCCCAGCCTGGGCAACAGAGCAAGACTCCGACTCAAAAAAAAAAAAAAAAAAGAAACACCATTCCCATTAGCAGTCACGCAGTCACACCCCAACCCCACTCCATCCCCCATCCCAACCCCCACCCCAACCCCCACCCCAACCCTCACCCCATCCCCCATCCCAACCCTCACCGCATCCTCCACCCCAACCCCCACCCCAACCCCCACCCCAACCCCAACCCCAACCCCAACCCCATCCCCCACTCCTAGCAACCACTCATCTCCTTTCTGTCTCTATCGAATTCACTGATTCTGGACATTTCACCTAAATGGAATCATACAAGATGTGGCCTAAGAAAGATTATCTTTCATTGTCATATTAATAGCTATAAACCCATAATAAGAAATGTCTTACACTACAGCTTAAATTGCTATTCCTAATGAGAAACATGGGGAAGAAGTCCCGTTAGGCGTTGTCACAATGTCTAAACAAGGGTCTCTGAGAAGCTTCTAGCTCTGCTGAGTCTAGCATGGGAGTTCCTGCAGGCTGCTTAACGGAGACCTCATCTACTTTGTCTAAACAAACCAGGAACGGTGTGGGTCCTGGTCACCTCCCAGGTGCCCTCAGCGTGTTAGGGTCTCCTTCAGCCTCTGATGACTCAACAGTCTGGTGTCACTGGACATGTCCTAAGTATGTACTTTCTAGTGGTTTGCAGTCAATATCATGTAAAGTGTGGTACACACACTAACACACACACAATCATAATGTAACAGTTTCCACCTGCAGTGACCTGTGTCTATTAAAGGGCTGCCTGACACGGACTCACAGCATTGGTCTCTTTTCAAAGTCATTCTGTCACTTATATTACATAGATTTTAAAGTCTGATAAATGTTACCAATCTTAGAAAAAAAAATTCAGGAAAATAGCTTCTGTTCTGACTAGCTTAAAATTTTTATTTGCTATTAATTTTAATTAGTGTAGGAAGTTAAAATACAAAAGAGAGAGCTAAGAAAATGACTCAAATTGATTGAATATGTTGTCTTCAGACAACTGGTATACCCTTTGGGAGGCCGAGGCAGGCGGATCACAAGGTCAGGAGATCGAGACCATCCTGGCTAACACAGTGAAACCCCGTCTCTACTAAAAATACAAAAAATTAGCCAGGCATGGTGGTGGGTGCCTGTAGTCCCAGCTACTTGGGAGGCTGAGGCAGAAGAATGGCATGAACCCGGGAGGTGGAGCTTGCAGTGAGCCAAGATCACACCACTGCACTCCAGCCTGGGCGACAAAGCGAGACTCCGTCTAAAAAAAAAAAAAAAAATAGAAAGGTGCCAAAAACAAAAAAAAATTATTTCGATTAATTATAAAGAGCCAAAAGAGCAACAAACAAGAAAAGGAAGGTTAAAATGTTGTCTTTACTGAAAATTCATTTTTCGTTATTGACAATTCATCAGTAATATTTATACACATGCATATCCGATACAAATGTGTAAGATAAAATTTTTGAGTAAACATTTTAAAGAGAAGACTAAGTTTATTTTCTATTAGGAAATTTCATATCTTTTAAGAGGAATGAAAACGCCTATGTTTATTTTTAAAAGTACACGTACGTACAGAAAAGGAGAGGAGAGAGAGCAGGGCTTGCAACAGTGCTGACAGTGGCCATCTCTGGGCAAAAGAAATGTGGACAGTTTTCATTTCAATTTTTTTACTTCCTCGAAGTTTAAAAAGCTCTATAATGAACATATATTACTCTTGGGCAAGAAGGGATTTTTTTTTTCCAGAAAAACACTAACAAGTGCTTTCTTTGTCTTTCCTCAAATTTTGTGCGTTTTTCTCATTGACAATGGATGGTTGGTTTTCAGAGATGACTTTGTCATGCTAGTAACAAGTTTTCTGGAGCTTTTTGAGATTAAGTTCACAACATTGCTGTAAGTCATGTTTGGAATCACTTTCTGCCCTTCCAGTTGTTGTAGAAAGCAAATCGCCACCCATGGCCCTTCTCTGCCTCCGGCTCCCCGACCACAGGTTGCAGAGAAGGATGGGGTGCATCTGTGCCCAGGTGTGTGCGATGCCTCACCACATGGAAGGACAGCCAGCTGGAGGCACAGGACATGCCTGAACTGTGCTGCAAACTAGAAGACACAAAATATCTGGGTTTTTATTCCAGAAAACTGTCACGGACACCTGTAATCAAGACCGGTATTTCTCTGTCCATTGTAGAAAGAGATCCAATCCTCTTAGTCCCAACTTAAACTAAGATTTTCACAATATCAAATTTTCATGGAAACTGCCTTCAGCATAATAAGTACAAGTAATTTATCTGATAAAAGAATGTCAACAGCAAGTACAGTATAATTTGTGTGGTGACAAATTGTACCCATCCTTTCCAGGAAGAAAGACACACTGCTGTGTGTGGAATGAATTGGGGCAAGGTCAAGTAGAAGCACTTGTGTTTAATATGCAGCTCCCAGAAACATCACTCTATCCTTTCAGAAGATAGATGCAAATTATAGCTAATAAAGTTATTATAAATAATTGCTGCTTCTCCTCTCCTGCATATTCAGTGAGTTTGGAATGGGAGGAGAGGCAGTTATGAATGAGACACCTATAAATTATGAATTAGGAGACATCTGATGTGGCACTTGTCATTGTCCCTAAATTCAGAGATGTATTTTCATAGATTAGCAATATCAGATATGACATCTGAGGTCAAATTGACTGAGAGATTTAGCCAGCCAGGGTGAGAAGTACAAGGTTGAGAATGTCTCTAAGATGCTCACACAGCACCCGCAGATATCTTCGGGAATGACAAGGAGAGGAAAAGGAGCAGGTGTTAATTTTTCACATAATAAGGGCTGGAACAAATAGCAGACATGAGTACTACGAAGGGGAAAATTAGTCACCCTGTAGTATTACGGGCACAAATATCTCACAATGAGGTGGGAGGATCCGAGGTCCTGACAATGTCTGTGGAGACCCTAACCTGTGTCAGGTCCTGAGCCAGGTGGGGAAGGCAGGAATTCGATTCCAGCAGCTTCTGCTGATAATCAAGGCACAATGCCAACAGGAAGCAAGCGACAGAGGCTTGCCCGGTGCTGTGGGGGGAAGGAGGGGTCCACCCGGCGTCAGAGACATGAGTACCAGGCAGCCCTCTTCCAGGAATAGTGTCCAGCCTGCGACTTGAAACCAACAGCCAGGGTCAGCAGGAGACCCAGGGCAGACAGAGTCTGAGTGGAGGCTGCACGGAACCGGGGCAGGTGACAAGCAGGTTTCCAGAGAGCAACCAGAGTCAGTCTCAGCTGCAGGGAGGGCAGCCTCGAGGGGAGGACCCGCGAAGGAGCAGAAACTGCGGGGGCAGCAGGGTTCAGCCCACTGGAGCGACAGCATGAGAAGGGGCGAAGGGGGCCGGGTCCAGCACGTGCCTTGCCCTGTGAGCTGGAGGGAGTAGGGCAGCATGGCCTCCGCTGAGTCAGGCACGGTGAGGGCACAGACCCAGGGAGGGGCCAGACGGGACTCACAATTAGGCCCACAGCCAGCAAGCCACGGACAGGACTCACATCCAGGTGTCTACAGTAGTCAAACTGTTGGAGGCTGAAAGTAGAGTGGTGATCACCAGCTGTGGGAGGGGGACTGGGAGTGTTGCCCGACAGGTAGAGGATTTCAGATTTGCAAGATCACAGAGAGAGATCTGCTGAACAACAATGTGAGCAGAGTCGACACCACTGCAGTGCACACTTAGCAAGAGCTGAGAAGGTACATTGCATGCCGTGTGTTTCTGACCACACACACACTAAGCGAGATTCAGGCCCAAGTCGACCTCCAAGTCCTTGCTCTTTCGCAGCAGCCGCTAGCCCTGTGATTGAGACCCAGCTCCTGCCTGCCGGGCCTCACGGGCCTCTGCCGTCAATCAAGTGATAAGATTTCTCAGAACCGCAGAAGCCCTAATCTGACCTGTTACTCTTCGACACCGTTTAATATAATGTTTTAGACGTGTTTGCCACTTTTTATATAAACGCTTATGAAAATCACGTAGAGACTGTTAACTAAGTAGACGCTCAGGTACACTCACCATTTTCAGCAAGATAAAAATGGCCAAGCGCGGGTCCCGCAGCTGCTAAGCCTGTTCTGTGTCCCGACCTCCTGAGAGAGTCCCCAGGCTTTGCCTTCCCGGCTTCCCGGGGTTGACCCCAAATTCATGTGTTCCTGGCGCTGGCCCCGTCTGTTAACTCCAGCTACGGGAGAGGCGCTCTGTGGCACTCCTGGAGCAAAAACATCCGGAAGTGGCCCAAATCCTGCGGAAGGTTTTCCGGGAGAATGGGAGGTGCTCGTGTCACAGGGCACCCGAACTCCCAAGGAGAAGATGAGGACTGGAGGAGGCCCTGGAGGCGACGTGCGCGCCCCGCGGTGGGGCCGTCTCTGTGCGGTGAGGCTCCCGCCTGTATCTCGCAGCGGGAGGTCATCGGGCAAGTGCGTTGCTGCGCTGCTGGAGAGAACGCTGGAAGAGGCGGGAATCGTGCCACGCCGGGGGGCGCCATCTTTGTAAGAGGTCAGGACCAAAGTGGGTCAGAACTCCGTTCCTACAGTGTACGTCGCATCTCCCTCTGGTAGGACCTGCTGTCTTAGTTTTCGTTTGTGGTTTGGTTTTGTTTTTCGGCCTAGAAGTTGGTGAGTGATGCTGTGTGATTCCAGCAGGAAGTCCCGGGTGCTGTCACCACGGTGGGCACCCAGCGGCCCCGGGCAGGGCTGACTGCATGAGTCACTGCCACCGCTGCTGTTTGTGGCACCCTGCCATGTGACCGTGATCTTCTGTGTCACATGACACAGGTTTTTTGTCTTTTCTCAAATTTTATGCCTTCTCATTGACAGTGGATGGTTGGTTTTCAGAGATGAATTTGTCAGGTAAGAAATTTTCTGAGGCTTTTTGAGATTAAGTTCATAACATTGCTGAAAGTAATGTTTGAAATCACTGTTTGCCCTTCCAGTTGACATAGAAAGCAAATCACCACCCGTGGCCCTTCTCTGCTGCCAGTTCCCCCACCATAGGCTGCAGAGAAGGCCAGGGGTGCATCTGTGCCCAGGTGTGTACAATCAAGCATACACTTCAAGGTGTTCCTTGAAACAGTCAAGAGAAGTCCTTTATGCCTCCCCGGGTTTTCTCGACTGTTTCAAGGTACACCTCAGAGTGGGGTGTACCGCCCAGGTTGGCCAAGATGCAATGGCCAGCCTTGACAGTCTCGGCCGTGGGCTTTTGAACTGAGCCGCATTAAATCCCAGCCGGTGCTGGAAGACACTCAGGCATCCCCACAGACTTTCATCAGACCTCCCAGGGCAGCCCCCAGCCCTTCCACATCCATTGGTCAGCTGTGGTCTGCGGGTCCTCCGGAGGGCAGGCAGTAGTCACAGCTGCAGTTGTGCCCCTTGGGACATCACGCTGGCCTTGGGCAGAGCCTCTGGGAGAAAGGGCCCCCAGGGCGCAGTCCTCAGTTGTGTTGCCTTGCTGCATTTCCTCAGAGCCCAGGGCGAGGCCACTCCAGACGCAGCTCTGCTCAGCACAGCTCCCGAGTCTCTGACGTTGGCCCTGGAAACGAGGACACGTCAGCCACGAGGACCTGGCTCTGTCTGTCCAGCTCCAGGTAGTTTAATTGCCGGAGCAAAAGCCCTCACTTGAGATTTTGGCCGATGGTCCCTCTGCCCTCTTCAGAGCTTAGGCGTGGGTTGGATGAGGGTGGGCTGTGGGCATGTCACAGATCCACTGGGCCAGGCTCTGAGCAGCCGCCCTCCGGGAACCAAGCCCCCCTTTCTGGGCTAAGCCCATGGTGATGATTTCCTTAGCTTCTTGTCCTAGGAGCCCCTCAGGTCTATGTTTTTGTAACAGCTTTTTTGAAATGCAACTCAAATGGCATAGCATTCACTCATTTAATGTGTACAATTCAGCAGGGTTTTTATGATTATTAATTTTTTGAGACAGAGTCTCTCTGTTGCCAAGGTTGGAGTGTAGTGGCATGATCAGAGCTCACTGCAGCCCCAACCTTCCAGGCTCAAGTGATCCTCCTGCCTCAGCCTCCCAAGTAGCCAGGACTACAGGCATGCATCAACACACCCAGCTAATTTACTTTCTTTTTTTTTGTAGAGACAGGGTCTTGCTATGTTGTCCAGGCTGGCCTCAAACTCCTGGCTTCAAGTGAGCCTCCAGCCTCAGCCTCCAAAAGTGCTGGGATTCCAGGCATGAGCTACCACGCTCGGCCACAATTCCACAGTATAGCACATTTTAGTATTTTCATCACTGCACCCAACTTTAGAACATTGCACCACTCCAAAAGGAAACTCATGCCCTTTAGCTGTCACCCTCACACCTCACACACACCTGTGTGTGTCCCTGGCCCCACACAGCCATTGATCTGCCTCTTTCTCTGTCTGTGGACTTTGCTATTCTGGCTCACATAAGACCTGGCCTTCTATGACTGTCTTTCTTCACTGAGCGTGTTCTCAAGGCTCATCCACAATGCAGCCTGTGTCAGCACATCAAGTTACCATGCAGTATTTCATTTTATCACAATTAGTTTATTCTTTCATGAGTAAATAGGCATCTGGGTTATTTCCACCTTTTAGCTATCATGAATAGTGTGGCTATGAACATTCGTACACAAGCTTTTGGCAAATTTTCATTTCTTGGAAGTTACATGGAATGCATGGAGCTGCTGGGTGAGATGGCTGCTTCCTGCTTCATCTCTTGAGAAATTGCTGCCTGGTTTTCCACAGCGGCTGCACCATTTCCCTCCGTTCTCTTGTAAAGCAGCTTCTTGTGGTCTCTTTTACCAGCACTGTAGAAATGTCCAGGCGTATTGAAGTCCCACTAAAGCTGAAACTGGAGATGTTGCTTTAATTATACTCACACAAGCTAGGCACAGTGGCTGGCACTATGCCAGCTACTCAGGAGGCTCAGGCAGAAGGATTGCTTGAGCCCGAGAGGTAGAGGCCGCAGTGAGCCATGATTGTACCACTGCACTCCAGCCTGGGCAACAGAGCAAGACCCTGTCTCAAAAAATAATAAATAAATAAATAAATAAATAAAGCAGAACACCTAAGCAAGAGAATCAGAGTCTGCCTTTAAAAAAATTTATACTAGCTGACTGGGCGCGGTGGCTCACACCTGTAATCCCAGCACTTTGGGAGGCCGAGGTGGGCGGATCACGAGGTCAGGAGTTCGAGACCAGTATGCCCAACATAGTTAAACCCTGTCTCTACTAAAAATACAAAAATTAGCCGAGTGTGGTGGTGTGTGCCTATAATCCCAGCTACTCAGGAGGCTGAGGCAGGAGACTCGCATGAACCTGGGAGGCGGAGGTTGCAGTGAGCCAAGATCGTGCCACTGCACTCCAGCTGGGTGACAGAACGAGACTCCGTCTCAAAAAACAAACCAAACCAAACCAAACAAAACCAAACAAAACAAATTTATACTAGGGTCCAGGCGTGGTGGCTCACGCCTGTAAGCCCAGCACTTTGGGAGGCCGAGGCGGGCGGATCACAAGGTCAGGAGTTCGAGACCAGTCTGGCCAACCTAGTGAAACCCCGTCTCTACTAAAAATACAAAAATTAGCCAGGCGTGGTGGTGCATGCCTGTAATCCCAGCTACTCAGGAGGCTGAGGCAGAAGAATCACTTGAACCCAGGAGGTGGAGGTTGCAGTGAGCCGAGACTGTGCCACTGCACTCCAGCCTGGGCAACAGAGTGAGACTCTTATCTCAAAAAAAAAAAAATTATACTAACACTTACATGGTATTTTTATAATGTTTTTTCTATAATTCCTTTCTGTCTAGTCATTTATTTTCTTCACAAAATATCTGTGTGCTTGGATACCGTTATCTGTATATGAAATAATGAAACAGAAGGTTTTAGAGTTTTGACCAAGTCACATAACAAATATCTAAACCGAAGAGTTGCACCAGGTTTCCAACCCAAATTTCAGTGTGCAATTTAAAGTAATAACAGAGGCTGGGTGTGGTGGCTCACACCTGTAATCCCAGAGCTTTGGGAGGCCAAGGTGGGCAGATCACTTGAGGTCTGGAGTTCGAGACCAGCCTGGCCAATATGGCAAAACCCCATATCTACCACAAATACAAAACATAAAAATAAAAAATTTGCCAGGTGTGTTGGCATGCACCTGTAATCCCAGTTAGTCAGAAGGCTGAGGTAGGAGAATTGCTTGAACTGGGAAGTGGAGGTTGCAGTGAGCCAAGATCACACCACTGCACTCTAGCCTGACCAACAGAGCAAGACTCCATCTCAAAAATAAATAAATAAATAAATAGCATAAAGTAATGACAGAGTAGGGGAAAGGGAGATTAAAAAGAAGCATATGAATGTATTTATTACCACTGAACTGCACACTTAAAAATAGTAAAGATGGTAAATTTTACATGTATATTTTACCTCAATTTTTTTAAGTATAAAAAGTTTTAAATTAAAAAAAAAATTGTGGCTGGGCTTCGTGGCCCACACCTGTAATCCCAGCACTTTGGGAGGCCGAGGAGGATGGATCGCCTGAGCTCACGAGTCTGAGACCAGCCTGGGCAACATGGTGAATCCCCCATCTCTACAAAAAATACAAAAATGAGCCAGGTGTGGTGGTGCTTGCCTGTAGTACCAGCTACTTAGGAGGTTGAGGTGGGAGAATGATTTGAGCTCAGGAGGCAGAGGTTGCAGTGAGCCAAGATCACACCACTGCGCTCCAGCCTGGGTGATAGAGCCGGACCTTGTCTCAAACAACAACAACGACAGCAACAACAAACTTAAAAAAAGGACATAAAATGAAAGTGCATTCATGGATGAATCTAAAATGAAATCTGCATTCAAAGAGACTGAAAAATAATAATAAAGTAATGGCAGGGGTGGCAGTGGTTGGGTGGCATATTGAGGATGGAGCTTTGTGCTTTGGAGCTGCGGAGGGCCAGGGGCCACACGGGGCATGCAGCGCCGGCAGTGACAGCAGGTGGGTGCGTGCTGCGGAGAGCACCACAGCACTCAGGCAGGATCCTGGGGGTGCAGCAAGGACTGTGGATGCACCTCAGTGTTTCTTACAGTGTCGTACTCTGCACATAATAGAAATTCAAAAATATTCTTTGATGGACTTGTTCCAAACATCCAGGAAACGACTCCCCTGCTGCTTTTGGCTGAGGCTGCCAGGGCACACGCACAGGTTGTCTTGCAGAAGGGCAGGGTGTCTAGTTGAAGACGGGGTGTCGGATGAGTGCATTAGGCTCCATCCACCCATAGCCCAACTTCAATGAGAATAAAGGGATTGTTTGAGGGGCATAAACCTACCAAGGAGAAGAGAATGGGAGAAGACAAACAGCAACAGAAGTTTGGAAGATGAAGTGCAGGTAGATAAGCAGAGATGACCCACAGGACGGAGGAGGCTGAATTCTAAGTCAGCCCTGCAAAAGCCAAGGGACAACCCCAGTGACACCACAGGACACCCCCAAAGGCTTAGAATCGGAGGCACTGGCACCATTAAAAGTGAGGATGAAGGTGACACCCAAAAACAGAAGAATCCCTTGAAAATCTGTTTTTTTTTTTAAGAAAATCAGACCAGCAGACCCCTCTCCAGCAACCGGACATTAGACTCTAGGGACGCCCCTTGCGTGTAGGTAGGTGCATGGCCTGCACTGCGTGCACGTTCACATGCTGGGTTCTTCCCCCAAAGGGAACCTAAAGGGCAGAGTTGGAGAACCCGTCCCTATCCTGCTTTCATCGGGGGATGCAGACGTTGGAGTTTTCCTAAGAAAACAACTCAGCTCAATCATTCATCCCACGTCGAAGATCAGAGTCCACAGGCCCCCGTCACCCCCTCGGCCTTCAACCAGCTTTTGGGAGTCCTACTCTAAAATGTGAGCAGACAGCAAAGACAGGCAGATGCAGGGAGGAGCCCTCTGCCACGCAGAGAGAGGCCACGGTGAACAAACTGCTCAAACAGCTCTGAGGACATGGAGGCTCCTCGGAAGGTAACAACTGAAAACCATCACTAGTATCTGGAGACATGAGAGAGAAAAGTGCATCAATGAGCTGAAAGCAGATTGCTCTGAGAACCATCAGAGAACCAAAATGCTTTCGGAAATAAGACCATGTTAGGAAAACCTCGAAAGACTCTGCAGTGCAGGAGGAAGTGAATGGGAGGACAGAGGAAATGCTGGCGATCAAGAGCTTACAAATACCAAGCTTGGTGGAAGGCGCATTACAGCATTCTCTTGACTTTTGCACATGTTTAAATAAATCGTTTATTTCCCATAATATAAAAGTTCTAAACAATATGATAGCAAAACTGAAAACCTCAATAAAAGTGCCAAACTATAAAAGTAAGTAAGAAAAATAGATAATCCAAGAGGTAATAAGAATTCCAGAAAAATGGAATACAAAGGCAGATATATCAATCAGAATGTGATTGGAGAAACAGAACTGCTACTAGTGAAATAGAATAAGGAGTTTATTTTAGGTTTTGGACCTCACATGACTGTGAGAGCTGGGGGAGCTGTGTGAAGCCCTGAATGGCAGTCAGGCCAGAAGTTACCATGGCTCAGCCACCCAGGGAGGGTTAGGTGAACAGGTACAGACAAGAGCAAACATGGCTGAAACCCACGAGGGGACCCTATGAAGACAGCCCGACTCTCAGCACAAACCGGAACCCAAGTCTATCTCTCACCGCCTCCAAGTCAATGCTGTGGGAACTCCTTCTCCACAGACCCACAATGCACTTGGATCAGGATTCCAAGAAGGTGCAGGAGAGGACCTGGTGGCAGCCAGGGGGCTGTGAGGCTGTGAGCTGCCCAGCCAAGGTCAACGATTGCAAGCTGCCAGGGCACCCAGCACTGACCTTCTGGACACAAAAATAAGGTTCTTGTTTCCCTTCTGCCTTCTCAATCCTTCTCAAAATGTCTGTGGCCAATTCCAACCCAGACCACATAGGGAAGGGAACTCAGGGAAGTTTCTCCCCTACTGAATCAAGCTGGTTAGGTACAAGGTCAGCACAGCCGCTCCTGTTGGCCATGCACTCCACACCCCTTGAACCACACTTAACTTTCAGGGAAAGGTAGTAACAAAATCACGCTTTCATCCAGTATGGCTTGTAGTAATCACCTGTACAACCAATGATGGACCAACTTGTTCCCCAAAGGGGTTGTAACGTCCCCTTTACATCTTTCGAGATGTTTGTTCTCTTTCTGACTGAGTCAGCCCTCTGATACCCTAAAACTTAAACACTGAGACAGCAGGATAACTACCACTGACACATCTTATATCATGGAAGAGGAGAGGAAGAAAACGTTATGTCCGTAACTATTCCTGCCTTTGTTTCAGTGACCGTTGGAGCTGGCATTCATGACCGCATTCTCTTGCCATCCATCGCTAACCCTCTGCTCTCAGCAAGTACCCTGCAGTTTATGTTCCTTGCCTGGTGGGGTGACCCAAACCTTTATTCCGGAAGGGTCTGAGCCATTCGCATTCCTGCCTGTATTCTAGAATATTCTTCCCTGCCCTCATTGTTTAGAAGCAACCTAATTTCCCCTGGATAGTTGGGGCTAAGCATTCCAGCCAGTACAGTGACCCCCTTCTTTGCTGGTTCAAGCTCCCCTGACAGGAAGTGCTCAGAGTGCTAATGGGGTTGACTCCACTGCCAGCCCAGTGAACCAGTCCTGTGGGGGTATGTCCTGAGATGGGAGCATCCCGCCAGGGAGCTAAGACCTCAGATCAGCAGATCCTAAAGTTTCAGGGACAGGAAGAACATGTGTCAGTAGCAGAGCTCAGGGAGAAATCATGGGAGAAGTCATTCTAATTCCAGCCCATGAACCCTGGTTGTGGAAAAATAGAACCACACACTGGCCACCGAGCGGAGCATTTGCACCCTGCCTCCTGGGGAGTAAGATTCCCACCCAGCAAGGCGCTTGTGTCTTCAAAAGGCCATTTCACCCTTTCATCAAGCCAGCTCCTTCACAGTGCGGGGGGACCTGGCAATCCCAGCATATTCAGGTCCCCAGGCTTCTATAGAAAGTCACCACAGACTAGGTGGCCTAAACAACATGAATTTATTCCCCCACTGTTCTGGGGGCCAGGAGTCTTCAGTCAAGTTGTTAGCAGGGCCATGCTCCTTTCCCAGGCTCTAGGGAGGACCCTTCCTGCCTCCTCCAGTGCCGTGTGGCTCCAGGTGCTCCTTGGCTTGTGCCTGGCCATGACAATCTCTGCCTCTGTTGCCACGTGGCTGTCTCCTCTGTGTTGCTCTTATAAGGACACTTGTCATTGCATTTAGGGCCCACATGGTAATGCAGGATCGTCACATTCTGAGATCCTTAACTGCATGTGTACAGTTCTGTTTTCCACATAAGGTCACATTCAAGGTTCCAGGGGTTAGGACATGAACATATGTTTCAGATGCCATCATTCAACTCACTTCACTCAGCAAATTCCATGGGTATAATCCAGGGAGACTGTATAAAATCAGTCTCTTGGATAGAAGCAATGCTGTAGAGAACACCATTCTCTGTGTCCAGGGGTGGTGACTTGGACTGAAATATCAAAGCTGGGGAAGGCAAATCATGTCCAGAGTGCTGTGGTCTGAATGTCCCTGAAATTCACGTGTTGAGACATAATCATCATTGTGATCATAGGAAGAGGTGAGCTTTTAGGAGGTGAATAAGTCATGGCGATGGAGCCCTCGTGGGTGGGATGAGGGCCTTATAGAAGGGCTCAGGGATGAGTTTTCTCTGCTGACTCTCCCACCACGTGAGGGCACAGCACTCATCCTCTTTGCCTTTTTGGCCCCTCCTGACAGACAAGGCTGCAAAAAGGCCCTCACCAGGCACCAGATGCCAGTGGCTTGGTCTTGGACTTCCCAGCCATCAGAGTTGGAAATACATTTCTGTTCCTCATTAGTTACCCAGTGTGTGGCATTTTGTTATAGCAGCACAAACAAAAGAAGACACCCACCGGATTAGATTCTGGGTTTGGTTTCCAGAACTCTCAGCCTTGTGGCTACAGGGGTGAGGGTTTCTTTATTATTAATCTTTATCTTTAGAGACAGGACCTCACTCTGCCACCCACGCTGGAGTGCAGTGGCATAATCACAGCTCACTGCAGCCTCCAACTCCTGGGCTCAAAGGATCCCTCTGCCTCAGGAGGACCTGTAGCTGGGACTACAGGCGAGTGCCACCATACCTGGCTAATTATTTTTTGTAGAAATGAGGTCTCACTCTGTTGCTCACTCTGGTCTGAAACTCCTGGCCTTGAGCAACCCTTCTGCTGTGGCCACCCAAAGTGCTGGGGTCACAGGCGTGAGCCGTCACTCCTGGCTATGTGGGTTTCTTTTAAGGACTCACAGACACTTTCTGGTCACTTACAAGGACCTTAAGCTGGAAATTTGGAATTCTGAGACCACCATTTTCTCTTCCCAATTTTTCCAGTGCTCACAGAAGCAAGCAAGCAACCCTAGTGTATCAATTATTTTTGCAAACAAAATCTGTGGCCATAACTGCTTGTTCACCCACACCCTTGCCTCCTACAGGCACTTGACTAGAGGCATTTACAAATTTGCTTTGAAGAAACAGTTTGGCTGTCACATGCCATGCGCAACCAGTGTTCCATTCACCGTTGTCAACAAAGTCGTTAGTACTTGAAAATCGAACCAGAGAAGACCAGTTCTCAAGAACATGGCACTCATCCAGGAGCCTGTCCCAAGGCTCTGCTCCTCCATGCCCCTTTCAGGACCAGTCTCAGGTGAGGCTGGAGAGGCGGAGCTGCTCTATGGGTGCAGAGCAGGGGTGGGTTATGGGAGTAGACCTTGCACAACTGTGGGGGCTGGGGGCCACTGTGGTCCTGAATGCGGTGGTCAGGAGATGGCTGGCTGTGGACTCGGCAGGACAAGCTGGTCAGGAGACGGCTGGCTGTGGACTCAGCAGGACAAATTGAGATCTGGTGCCCACAGGGCAAAGGAGAGCCTGTGCCTTGTCAGGCCACCTCCAACCTCAAGCCTGTGTATGGCTGGCAGGAAGGGCTGGGCCCTTCGGAGCTGCACACTCTGGTCCAGGACATGGGCATTGGAAGGTCTGGCAGGGGCTGGGGAAGCTGTGGTCCAGGTCATGCCCACCCCACACCCACACTGTGGAGCCTTCTTAGCTCCAAAGTGCTCAGTGCCCCCATATTGGTCCTTTTTTTTTTCTTTGGTGCTGGTGGTGTGGGTGGTATGTATTTAATTAGATAATACATGACCTTTCAAAGGAATCAATGCAGCCTGTATGTAAGCAAGGAAATAAACAAACCCACCATCCTATTTACAAACTAGAAAATTAGCTGGGTACAATGGTGCATGCCTATCATCCTGGCTACTCCTTTGAGCCCGGGAGTTCAAGACCAGCCTGGGTGGTGTAGAAAGACCCTGTCTCCATTTAAAAAAAAAAAAACCTAGACAATTACTAGTGCTCTCTGGTGTGTCCCCCCAACCCGCAGAGATGACTACTATCTTTACTTTTGTGCTAGTTGTTTTCTTCCTTTTTCTTTTTCTAAAAATTGTGGTAAAATAGACATAACA